>NC_000001.11:175911859-176214890 GCF_000001405.40 Homo sapiens | reverse complement strand
AGTTCTGTGTGTGTCTTTCTGAGAAAGATACCTTTTACATTAGTAAAACAAATGGAACATGTAATTTTACAGTTTTGTTGAATAAAATCTCTACTCAAATTTTAACAGCTACTGTTAAAAATGGCTCTTAGATACCTGTATTAATTTGCTAGGCTGCCATAACAACATACCACACACCAGGTGGTTTAAACACCAGAAATTTATTTTCCCACGTTCTCAAGTCTAGTAGTCCAAGATCAAGTTATCAGAAGATTTGGTTACTCTTGAGGTTTCTCTTAAATGTGTAGTAATTTGTTATGGCAACAATAAAAAGTAATACATTGTGGCTGGCACTGCAGAGGATGCCAATACCAAATTCAGCTTATAATTTCTTCAGAGGTATTATCAAGATCTAGTTACATCTTGGTACAAACCAAGTGTTTGAGAGTGGTATCCAGCAAAGAAAGAATGAGGAATGGTGCATGAGAATCGATTTTTACTTGTGACAGTCGTTCAACAGATTGAAGACTAAGATGTGCTCTTGAATCATCTAAAGTAACATCAAACAGAGATGACCCAGATTTGGCAAGGCAACCCTCAGTTGTTAAATATGGGGGTGGAGCGCCAAGATTTTGGCCATCAGCTTTATTGCTTTAACCTATTTTTTCCAAACTGAAGGCGAAATACCAGTTTCTACTATCTCACAACAAAGTGATAAATGCAAATGCAGTTGATGAACTGGTTTAATGGTAGATGCTCAGGCGTCTGTGTGAGGGATGACTTACAGTGATAAAAGACATACCTGCTGTACCTGAATAAAGCAAATTACGAAAATAAGAATTACCATACTGATTCAGAGAATAAGAGGAATCACTGTCAGAGCAAAGCTTGCTTTACTTCAGATCATCCTCAAAGGTTAAAAATATGCCCCCAAAACTAACTTTTCTTCAAGGTTGCTATATACATCTAATCAAAATTATTGTATCCAAATACTATCCATTCTTCATTCAGGGTTCTTTAGACAAGTTCACAATTTAGTGGCACTTTAGCATTCTATTTCTTATATAATTCAGTGGTGTAATTCTTTTGTTGCAGGCTTCTCTCCTGAGAACTTGGGCATGAGTCCAGGGGGATTGGTATGGAAGGCCATCTGAGTACTATTCATCACATTCAAGCTCATTCCTTCTCTCTGATAACCATGATTTATCCCTAAACCAAACTTGTATACATCATTTCTCTTTGCCACCAGTCGAATTTCTTATCATGAAACTTCCAAGTTGCTTAGGTAAAGAACACTCAATCTGTTTAGCATTACTGTACATAACCACACCCATAAAATACTATAGGTTGGGCATAACAAATCAGAACATCCAACATTTTTGAGCACTGACATGAAACCCAAAGGAAATGCTTATTGGAGCATTTTGGATTTCATATTTTTGGATTTGGGATGCTCAGCTGGTATGTGTAATGTAAATTTTCGAAAATCCAGAAAAATCTCAAACATTTCTGGTCCCAAGCATTTCAGATAACAGATCCTCAATGTGTAGCAGTATAGGACTGATGCTGTGAACTCAAGTTAGCTCAGAACCTCTTTGGGCCTCAGACACACTGGACCCTTTCCTCCTTTTCCACATAGTACTAATATTATATTTCATCATTTCATGATTTTGTTCTGTCTTGACTATGAACTTATATTAAGTTCATATTACATAGTATAAAAATAACTTCAGGAGTGATAGGAGTCAGTATTAGAAGCGCTATTATTTACACACTACTCAAGGCATTAGGCAGAAAAGTATCACTCACCATCTAGGAAGGAGTCTTGATGCAAATTATAATGGACAATGTACTGTTTTAAACATTTCTTGATTCCAACTATATCCACTTTTCCAGATCACTTTATATTACATTACAGACACAGGTGGTCAAATCCATGGAGCAAAAGACTTGTAACATTATCTGCTATGTTTCAATGTGAGGTGAGTTTTTTTCCCCTTCTGCCCTTTAATATCACCTCATAATGACACCAATTGATGTGTTCTTACAGAATTCATTAGACCTAATTTTGTTTTGGCTTATGATCTTTATGTGGATCTAAACCTTCCTATACCTTCATAAAATATGTATTCATTCACCATATATAAAACTATTAAATATTTTTCCAATCAATGTTGGTTTTCTTAATCTTAGGCTTTTTTTTTTTTTTTTTAGCTTTCTGTCAGCCCCACCTTAGTGGTGTGATCACAGCTCACTATAGCCTTCAATTCCTGGGCTCAAGTAATCCTCTCTTTTCAACTCCTGAGAAGCCAGGACTAAAGTCATGCATCACCACACTCAGCTAATTTTTAAGTTTTTTTTATAGAGATGGGGTCTTGCTATGTTGCCCAGGCTGATCTTGAACTCCTGGCCTCAAGCAATCCTCCCACCTCAGCCACCCAATGTGCTATTATTACAGACATGAGCCACTGTGCTGGCCCTGGCCCTCTGTTTAGCCTTTTTTTTTTTTTTTTTTTTTTTTTGAGACAGAGTCTCACTCTGTTGCCCAGGCTGGAGTGCAGTGGTGCAATCTGAGCTCACCACAACCTCTGCCTCCTGGGTTCAAGGGATTCTCCTGCCTCAGCCTCCTGAGTAGCTGGGATTACAGGTGCGCTCCACCATGCCTGGCTGATTTTTGTATTTTTAGTAGAGACAGGGTTTCACTATGTTGGTCAGGGTGGTCTCATACTCCTGACCTCGTGATCTGCCTGCCTCAGCCTCCCAAAGTGCAGGGATTACAGGTGTGAGCCACTGTGCCAGGCCTAGTTTAGCTTTTTAATACCATCTTCAGTTTATTTTACATTACTAATTTACCAGGACAACCACATTAACTTAATAACAAAACTTAACAGGAAACTATTGTTCACTCAGATATTTGGTTAGACAGCAATCTGGGCAAGCAGGTAGTAAACCCTGCAGGTGAGTCAGGAATCTGTTACAAAGGGCAGAGCTAGCTGTAGATGGAAACCAGCAGCCTTATCTTCCTAAAATACATTTGGATAAGACACCTCAGAAATAATGCCTGGAAAGTTCAATCCGCTTGGTAATTCCATTCCATCTTAACTCCATTAGACAGTATCAGTGCTTTTGCTAGAAGACTGGATTTTCTCTGGTCAATTTTTGTGGTTTATATTTAACAACATGATGGTATTCTTTTAACTATGTGGGTTTTGTTTTCATTTTACATTATTTTCATTTTTTCTTGTTTTCTTCTCCTATTTGTTACTTCTCCTAAGTTGTCTTCCTTCTTGTGTGTTGTGTGTGTTTCACCATGCTTCCTCTTTTTTTCTTCTGCTTTCCCAGAAGATCTTGCCAGTAGAAATTAATAAGGACTGTGTACTTTCAGTCATTACAATTATGTATTCAGCCAGTACATTTATCTGGTACAAAAATGAAGCTCTATTGCATCACATACTCTCAGCTTCTTTTTGTGAATTTAGATTTTATAAAAAATACATTCCAAAGAGGTAATACTAAGAACTGATGATTTTTTTTTCTTTCCCCCTAGGAGACTTCTCAGTTGGGGTCATACTACTTTCTGTCTCAGCCCATTTTCTGCTGCTATAACAGAATACAACAGACTGGGTAATTTATAAAGAAAATAAATTTATTTCTCACAGTTGTGGAGCCTGGGAAGTCCAAGAGCACGGTGCCTGCATATGGGGAGGGTCACCTCATGGTGAAAGGCCCAAGACAGCATGAGAGACAGAGAGGCAAGATGGGAGCCAAACTTATCCAGTTATTAGGAACCCACTCCTGCAATAACTAACAGTACTCCTCATGACCTAATCATGAGACCTCTTGAAGGTCTCAACTCTCAACACTGTTACAATGGCAATTACATTTCAACCTGAGTTTTGGTGGGTACATTCAAATCACAGCAGTCCTCAGCATAAGCAACTTGGAAGGAAACTCTCACTCTGTCGCCCAGGCTGGAGTGCAATGGCACGATCTCGACTCACTGCAACCTCCACCTCCTGGGTTCAAGCCATTCTCCTGTCTCAGCCTCCCAAGTAGCTGGGATTGCAGGCATGCGCCACCATGCCTGGCTAATTTTTTACATTTTTAGTAGAGATGGGGTTTTACCATGTTGGCCAGGTTGTTCTCAAACTCCTGACCTTGAGTGATCCACCCACCTCAGCCTCCCAAAGGGCTGGGATTACAGGCGTGAGCCATTGCACCTGGCCTGGAAGGAAACTCTTTCACATTCTCTACATTATCAATCACAGGACAGTGTTGTGTTTTTTGTTTTTTTTTTTTTTTGAGACGGAGTTTCACTCTGTTGCCCAGGCTGGAGTGCAGAGGTGCGATCTCAGCTCACTGCAGCCTCTGCCTCCTGGGTTTCTTGGGTTCAAGCAATTCTCCTACCTCAGCCTTCCAAGTAGCTGGGACTACAGGAGCATGCCACCACTCCCAGCTAATTTTTGTATTTTTTTAGTAGAGTCGGGGTTTCACCATGCCAGCCAGGCTGGTCTCAAACTCCTGACCTCGAGTGACCCACCTACCTCAACCTCTCAAAGTACTGGGATTACAGGCATGAGCCACCGCACCCGGCCAATCACAGTGTTTTCAAAGTGTTAGTCACTTGCCTCAGATTCACCTGGGTGCTGGTACAAATGCATATTCATAAGGTGGAGCTCAGAAATCTGGTTTTTAACAAGCTCTCTAGGTGATTCTTCTGGGCACCGATGTTTGAGAATCATGGGGGAAGCAATATGTTTAGCAAATAATAGGTCCATAATAACTATTTGATGATGATATACTATGCCCTTAGTAACTTCCAAATGTCTCTCATGTGCTGAACTTTCTTCTGTGCCTTAACCCTGTGTTTTCGACCACTGCCTATTCTTTGAGTTTTTTTCATCCCACACTCATTCAAAACATTCAAAACTAAACCATCTACTGGACACCTCCAATCTTGTCACTACGTTATTGTTACCCAGAAGTCATGTTTGGAGTCATTTCTGTTTGTGTTTCATCATTTTTACTTAATCAACATATTGACCATTGTGTCAAGCACTGATATAGACAGTGATGAATATGACAGATATGGGTCATACTCTCAAGGATGGTAAAGACAGTTTTACAGAGAGTAATTAAACTTTATACCATCAGTTCCTTAGTGTTTTTCTCAGAATATTCCCTTTCTTTGTCACCATCCTAATCTAGAATCTTATCATTTACGCTCGAACTGCTTTAATTTTTCCTAGTCTTTGTTCCTAATTTCCCACCTCTTCTGAAAGATTAATCTCCTAAAAAATTAATCTTTAAAACATTATAAATGTTTTTACCCTACTTAATGCCTAATTTCCGTGAAAGCTGTCGTAATCAAAATGGAATTATATGGGCTCGGTGGTACACACCTACAGTTCCAGCTACTTGGGAGGCTGAGGCAGCAGGATTGCTTGAGCCCAGGAATTTGGGGGCTGTACTGTGCTATAGACTTGCCTGTGAACAGTCACTGCATCCCAGCCCCATCTCTTAAACAAAAGGGGGTGGGGGGCCCCATCTCTTAAACAAAAGGGGGTGGGGGGCCCCATCTCTTAAACAAAAGGGGGTGGGGGGGCCCCATCTCTTAAACAAAAGGGGGTGGGGGGCCCCATCTCTTAAACAAAAGGGGGTGGGGGGCCCCATCTCTTAAACAAAAGGGGGTGGGAGGTAGTCACTAATATATTTTTTAAAACACTGAAAAATAGATTCAGAGGTCATGAAGAGAAGGGGTCTCATGCTTGCACACCTGATGACAAAAACTATCACAAAAACCTGCAAAAGCCACAATCTTTTTTTTTTTTTTGAGATGGAGTCTTGCTCTGTTGCCCAGGCTGGAGCACAGTGGCACGACCTTGGCTCACTCCAACCTCCGCTTTCTGGGTTCAAGCGATTCTCCTGCCTCACACTCTCGAGTAGTTGGGATTACAGGTGCATGCCACCACACCCGGTTAATTTTTGTATTTTTAGTAGGGACAGGGTTTCGTCATGTTGGCCAGGCTGGTCTCGAACTCCTGACCTCAGGTGATCCACTCGCCTTGGCCTCCCAAAGTGTTGGAATTATGGGCCTCAGCCACCGCACCTGGCCAAAAGCCACAATCTTACACAAAAAATACTTCCGCAAAAACATCTGCCCAGCAACTTCCTGTCCAGTTTCCGACTGGTGTCACCTTGTTATTGATCTTCGTAGCCAAGGATAACGGTTTAAAAACAATTATGTAATTCTCATTTTTTTTTAAATTTTAAAAACCTTTGCCTTCCTTTACCTCCTTGAATACGCACGTAGTTTACTAAGTCATGAGTATTTTCACACTTTATTCCCAAATAAATATATAAGAATCATAGAATGATAGAATTGAAAAGGATAAAATCACACAGTTGTTTCTAACTCCCACCCCTTAGAATGCGGCAAATGAAAAAAATTTTTTTTTTTGAGACAGGGTCTCTGTCTCACAGGCTGGAGTGTAGGGATCTCCGCTCCCTACAGCCTCAACCTCCCCAGCTCAAGCAATCCTCCCATGTCAGCCTCCCGAGTAGCTGGGACTACAGGCCTGCTGCCACCATGCCCAGCTAATTTTTTGTACTTTTTGTAGAGACGGGGTTTCGCTATCTTGCCCAGGCTGGTCTCTAACCTCAGGTTCAGCCTGATCCTCACCTCCAGGCTCAGGTGATCCGACCCCCTAGGCCTCCCAAGGTGCTGCGATGACAGGCATGAGCCACCGCGCCCGCCTATAATCAATTTTCAATATTCTAAAAAAGCCTACCAGAAATTGTATATTTTCTGGTGGTATTAAATGCTAGGTTTCCTTGTTTTGTGCTAGAATTATATCAGATCCACAATAAACCTAGGTTCCGACTGAGCTGGGTCTGATTGAGCAAAATCTGTTTTCCCATTATTGTTATGTTCAATTTGGCAAACAGCTTTTCAAAATATAGGAGTGAAGTCGTGGTCGAACTAATAAAATTGGTAACACTTGCTACAATGTTTGCAATTCGCAGAAAACTTCACTGACTTCATCTTAACTTATTCCTCACAAAGCTGTGGAATCACCATCAGTAGAGCAGGAGTCGTTGGCTCAATGCAGTGCTGTCTGCAACCGCTCGGAGCTTCTAGGTTCTTTCCGTGGGTCTCCAGCTTATGAGCACCTACATTCCGCGATTCGGAAGCACCTGCCTACCCCTCAGAAGAGAGAGACAGCTCCTTCTTCCCGTTCCGGAATGTGGTGCGTTCGCACGCATGCGTGACACGGCTACTCCGCGCTTGCGCCGATATTCTCCGCTTGGGGCGGATACCCTGGGTGACCCGTGAGCGTCCGCGCCCGGCGCGCGCCTGCGCAGTCGCTTTTCGAGAGTTTCCGCCCGCTACGTTCCCGTCTTTCAAACCACCCCACCACCTATACCATTCATTCCAGTCTCCTCAATTCTTTCACTGTATTAAGACGGCCTGCCCTCTGGCACGTTTTCTGGAACGAAAGCGGCTTGGGACAGACAGACTCCCTTCGCCAGGGAGCCCCGACCCCGAGGGCGCGCCCTGAGCGTCTGAGCGCAGCCCCGCTGCGTCCCCAGTTGTATCCCCCGCCACGCCCGCCTCTTCCGCCGCTCGCGCGCGCGCGCACGGCCGGCCACGGCGCGCCGGGGTTGGCTGCTACAGGGACCGCGGTGGCGGCGGCGGCCTCGACAGCGGTAGTGCCTTCTACTCCGCTTTTTTAGTTTCCTCCGCCCCCTCCCGTGGGACGCTGTTGTGTGGCTGCCTTAAAAAAAAACGCAACTTTATTGTTCCTCAGCCCCACCTCCGGCTCGGCGGGCGTCCTCAGGATGCACTGAGGCTGAGGGGAGGGGAGGCGGCGGAGGGTCGAGGTCGCGGTCCCTCTCCTCCGAGCGCCCGGCTGGAGGGGAGGGAGTCACGATGTCTGGTAGCCGCCAGGCCGGGTCGGGCTCCGCTGGGACAAGCCCCGGGTCCTCGGCGGCCTCCTCGGTGACTTCCGCCTCCTCGTCTTTATCCTCTTCCCCGTCGCCGCCTTCCGTGGCGGTTTCGGCGGCAGCGCTGGTGTCCGGCGGGGTGGCCCAGGCCGCCGGCTCGGGCGGCCTCGGGGGCCCGGTGCGGCCTGTGTTGGTGGCGCCCGCCGTATCGGGTAGCGGCGGCGGGGCGGTGTCCACGGGCCTGTCCCGGCACAGCTGCGCGGCCAGGCCCAGCGCCGGCGTAGGAGGCAGCAGCTCCAGCCTAGGCAGCGGCAGCAGGAAGCGACCTCTCCTCGCCCCCCTCTGCAACGGGCTCATCAACTCCTACGAGGACAAAAGCAACGACTTCGTATGGTGGGTTTGAAGAGCACTCCCTCCTTGTCCCTAAATTATGAGTTTCTGCCGCTTAGGCTTGGGGGCGGGGGGTCTGGTGTGGGGGTGGCTTGTTGGAGAGCTTGGGATACTGGTGCTGTGGTGGTGTCTGCAGAGGGAATCGAGCGTTTGCAGGCATTCGAGCTCCTGGTTGGTGGGGTGAAGGAATGTTGGAGTAGCGAGGCAGGGTGGGGATAATAAAGAGGTAGGTAAGTGTTGCTGAGGAGGAAGTGAAGGGAGTTTAACGAATGACGAGGGAAGAGGTGGAAGGTCAAATAAATGGTTTTGGATAACAAAGTTGGCAGAGAGGTTGAGTCTTAAAATTTTTGCCTCTCTGATGAATTGAACACTCAGTCAATCAGGAGTCCTTGTTGAGATGAATGAAATTTGCAAATGGAGAGGACTAAGCTTCCTCGGATGCAGAGGGGTGGAGTTGGTCAAAATTTATTTGAAGTATGGTAGATGATGCTGTAAACATAAGCATGGATGTCTTATAAAGACATGCTTTTTATAATAATGTAAGTACCTATCGTATGTATGTGTAAATATCTTCTTCCATTTCAAAGGATGGGCCACTTAGGAATCGGCTGTTGAGACGACTGTAGTCAAAGTCTGTTAACAGATTTTTCACTTCTCCACCAAGTGTCTTGAAAAGAGAGAACCACGTTTGTTAAATAACATCCCTGTGTCAGATGTAACTGTACTATACTGGATAACAGAGTATACTGGAACTTCTGACTTGAGAAATGCTAGGTATAGACATTTTGTCGTCATAGTTGGCATCTTGAATGATACAGAGTAACATTTAGTCATGACATTTGGGATAGAGAGGTTAGTCATAT
Source organism: Homo sapiens (assembly GCF_000001405.40). Lineage (NCBI taxonomy): Eukaryota > Metazoa > Chordata > Mammalia > Primates > Hominidae > Homo > Homo sapiens. Next base: position 176,205,711 of record NC_000001.11, on the reverse strand, counting down.
GAAGTGAAAGGTGGTGTTGATTGTCTTGCTTGAGAGTGTTTTGGAATTTTTATTGGATTTTAGATATTGGTAGGATTATGAGAAGTAATTGCTGTTAGCTAGCTGCTTAAGAAGTGGTAGTGTTTCGTACTTTCCTTTTTGAGGAAATTGTTGATCAAATATTAGGCATGTAGGAAGTTGGCTGCTTGCACAGTCATTATGAGGGAAGTTGATTCAGATCAGGGTTGAAGATGGTCTGAGTTGGTGTTATTAAATAAGATAGAGCTAGAAGTTGGAACTGTTAGGAAAGTTATTGATTAGACTTACGGTTTCTAGTTCCTGCAGAAAAATGATGTCTTTATTCACCTTTCTGCTTTTTTGTACGTTATTCTTTATCAGAATTAATCTGTTTTTCATTGAACATTTGGGCTGTAATATGATTGTTATTTATAAATAAGCAGTTTATGGTTGGGGCTGAGAAGTGTTTGCACTTCTACACAGTCGATAGTGCGAGTAGCTAATAAGCTAATAAAACAAAGTGGGGTGTGCATAATTTAGTTGTCTTTTTAGCCACTGTTTGCATTTTAATTTTTAGTATACTTAACGAACACAAACATGTTAGCCTCCGTGTAAGTACACTAAAATAAAGTAAAAGATGTGAGGAATAAGGAATCGATCATTGTCATTCAAGAGATACTTGTATGACATTCACTGTCGGCCAGGCACCATATGAAGTTCAGTGCACTGCAGGCTATGCTATAGGGAATTGGGAACTCTTTTTTTAAAAGAGTAAAAATTTGTATTTGAGACGGAGTCTTGCTCTGTCACTCAGGCTGGAGTGCAGTGGCACCGTCTTGGCTCACTGCCACCCCCGCCTCCCGGGTTCAAGCAATTCTCCAGCCTCAGCCTCCCGAGTAGTAGCTGGGATTACAGGCACCTGCCACCACACCTGCCTAATTTTTTGTATTTTTAATGGAGACGGGGTTTCACCATGTTGGCCAGGCAGGTCTTGAACTCCTGACCTCAGGTGATCTGCTCGCCTCGGCCTCCCAAGGTGCTGGGAGGGATTACAGGTGTGAGCCACCGTGGTCCTGAGTATTTCACTTTCTAAGAATCTCATTAGTTAATTATTTCTTTTTCTGGTGAGGTTTAATATTCAGAAGAATTAATTAATGAGAATCTGATTTAAAACTCAAGCCAGGTTTGATTTTGTCCAGACTCTTGGGGTAGGATGATATGGATTAGGCAAGGCCCAAGGAATCCTTTTTTTCTTTTTTTTTCCCCCCGTTTGGCTGTGGGTCTTGTCTTGTATGCCCCAAGGTCAAACTGTGAACCAATTCAAATTATTCTATGCTTTTATATTTAAACGAAGCCCAAGTTCAAATAATGATAATTTCTTATTCATTTATGGGACATTTTAAAGATATGCTTATGCTTCACGTTTTATTTTATCCTTAGAACAATTCTGTGATGTTATATATAACTTATTTTTAATACAATACTAATTATTTTCTCATTGAGGCACAGAGAAGTAATTTTGTTTGTCGTTGGACAGGTAAGGACAAAATGAGAACTCAGATTTCCCAGTTCTCAACTTTGTGTTTTCTTTGTGTGCAATTAGAGAGTTTCAGATCTGTAAGTTCGAGTACATGTATTTAGCCCAGTGGTTCTTAAACGGCACAGATTGGAGGAGAAGCAGCTGTTTCATAATCATATGAGATAAATGTTTTATCCCTCACCACTCCCTTTTCTTACCTGCCCACATCCCAAGAAGACGTACCTGAATTGGAGGCTGGGGTGGGTGGTGTAATTTGCATATGCTCCCCTGGTGATAGGGACCTGTCCTTCTCCCCTCCTTGAGAACTGTTGATTTAAATAGTCACGTACCTAATTTCAGTAATAAACATTGGCCTCTCCTGACTTATATTTGAAAGTAAGTTTATATTTAATTGAAGAATTCATAAACATTTTAGGGGTTTAGGTTGCATTTTTATATTTTATTTTACACAAAAGATTGAAGGTATTATCAAGTTGAATAATTTTAACAGTGTTTTATTGATGGAGAATCTAATACAGGACAGTAGTATTTAGCTTGACATTGGATACATTTTCAACATTCAGAGGAAGTCTTTGTTATTTTGTTTTTTGCAAAATTTTCTTACGGTTCATTTAACTAGACTGTGAGTCTGGTCTGTATTTGAAAGATGACTTCTGTTTTTTATACGGACTCCTTTTTTAAACAATTCTATAACTACTGCCTTTGTATTAGCTTTTCCAGCTATCTCAAATGAAGTTTTCTACCTCTGCAAGTCCCAGCCATTCTTGCAGCAGAAGTATACGTTTGCATGTAGATAGTAAGCTCTTTATGAGAAGGTTGACTTTTTTTCTTTTTTTTTGAGACGGAGTCTCGCTCTGCTGCCCAGGCTGGAGTGCAGTGGTGCGATCTCGGCTCACTGCAAGCTCCGCCTCCCGGGTTCACGCCATTCTCCTGCCTCAGCCTCCCGAGTAGCTGGGACTACAGGCGCCGGCCACCCCGCCCGGCTAATTTTTTGTATTTTTAGTAGAGGCGGGGTTTCACTGTGTTAGCCAGGATGGTCTCGATCTCCTGACCTCATGATCCGCCCGCCTCTGCCTCCCAAAGTGCTGGGATTACAGGCGTGAGCCACCGCGCCCGGCCGAGAAGGTTGACTTTTAATCATCTGCTTGATAGAAAATAGTTAGGATCTACATTAAATAGATCTACCATTCAGTAAATATGTGACTGCCTATTTTGTGTTAAACTAAGATTCTCTCTTCTTAAGGAGCTCATGATTTAATTCGAAGAATGGCTTTTAACTGTGTAATTATAATATCATAACCTGGTATCATTGCCTCTCTTAGTGTCATGACAGATGTTAGTACCATTCCTTTTTCTTAGTGCCATGGCAGATGTTAAATACTCTAATGGACTATGCATAGTACAATATATAGCCATTACCTATTAATTACATTTTAGCACTAAAAATGAAGCCTGTTGACCATTCTTGTTAATATAACTGGTTTCCAATTTTTTTTTTCCTTTTTTTGAGACAGGGCTCTCCCTATGTTGCCCAGGCTAGTCTCAAACTCCTGGGCTCAAGCAATCTTCATGTCTTAGCCTCTCAAGCAGCGGGGATTAGAGACGGGTGCCACCACCTGTAATCCCAGGATATTTTTAATAGTCTGAAAAACACGTGGCTCTGTTTTTCAGACTATTAAAAAGTGAGGGTGGGCACCTTGGTTCACGCCTGTAATCCCAGCCCTTTGGTAGGCCAGGGCAGGAGGATTACTTGAACCCAGGAGTTTGAGACCATCCTGGGCAACATGACGAAACCCCATCTCTACAAAAAATACAAAAATTAGCCTGTGTGGTGGCTTGTGCCTGTAGTCCCAGCTACTCAAGAAGCTGAGATGGGAGGATCACTTGAGCCTGTGAGGTCGAGGCTGCAGGGAGCTATGATCACACCACTGCACTCCAGCCTGGACGACAAAGTGAGACCCTGTCTCCAAAAAAAAAAAAAAAAAAAAAGTGAACTAGAACGTATCATAGAATCTGTCGTAATAAAGACAGTAACAGTTTGTGCAGCAATGTATGTGGAATGTATTTCTCACTGGGTACACTGGTAAAATTTTTTTTAAAGTCACTGAATTATAGGACTGAATTTCCTCTGATAGGAAAGTGGAAAGTTTAAGTGACTTTTCTTTTTAGACCATTGTGAGCTTATAAATATAGGACTAAATATAATTTAAAGAGCTGTTAAAAGCATGTTCAGTTACTGGAATAAACCAGCATTTATTATATTATTATAGTAATATCTGTCAAGAACTTATTTGAATCTGCAAAAGTCAAACTTGATGCTTCTTTTGCTTTATAATACATGTGCCATTTGGATGTCAATGATGAAACATACTCTGCAGGAGATGATGTCATATTTTATCAGACCTATTGGTACTGTCAGACCTGTGGACTATCAGATGGTGGGGCATCAGCATCAATGGTAGCAGGAGACTTCTATGGGTGAATTAAATGGTAGAGAAAATAGATGATCATGAAACAGGATAGGAAGACTATTAACTTGGAATTGTAGTCTATAAATTGAGAAGAAGGTACTTGTGCAATAGTAGTTCATTACTAAAGAATGTGTTGATAAGCAGTTATCTTTTCCTTTTACAAATCTTTATACCTTTTCTGATAATGAGCCAACATTACATAGGTGGATATGTTCCATCTAAGAACTGTTACTGATTAAAGTAACTGTAGCCTTAAACCTTGTTGCTTACTTTTCCTTCTTGTATGTGTATGTTTTTTCTTAATGGTGATTTTTTCATATTTTATATAATTATTTTAACCTGCTACCCTTTTCCTCAGAAAACTTCCACAGCTTGGGAGGAAAGGCTTTTTTGACGGTGGAATTAGCCCATCGTCTTTTTCCTGTTAAAATTTGTATTACAGGGTGAGTATCCTCTATCTGAAGTGCTTGAGACCAGAAGTGTTTTGGATTTTAGGGGTTTTTTTGGTTTTTGTTTTCGAATTTTAGAATATTTAAATTATATTTACCAGGTTAGTATCCTTAATCTGAAAAATCTGAAATCCAAAATGCTCCAGTGAGCATTTCCTCTGATAGTCATGTTGGCACTGAAAAAATTTTTGATTTTGCATGATTTTGGATTTCAGATTTTCAGATTAGGGATATTCAACCTGTATACCAAATAAAATGTTTTTTAAGTTGGGCATGATGGTGCATGCTTGTAGTCTCAGCTCCAGGAGTTTGAGTCCATCCTGGGCAATGTAGTGAAACTCTGCTAAATTGTTTTTAAAGTTCTTGATCTGTTTTTATATGTGATGTTGTATGTAGGACAAAATTCTGTAAGCATTCAGGTTTTTGTGCAGACTTGTCTTTGCCCTCCACCTTACTTGTTCTTTGTCCTCTTTCTTTATGTGTGTATGAGCCAAGTTCTATTCAGATAGGTTGGTACTTTCTCAAACAATATATTCACTGAGAGTAACATGTTTTTCTTTATACTTAAAATATGTTAGTTGTCCTTTCATTTTTCACAATTAAGTTTTATGAACTGATTTTGCCTCTGTTTCTATATAAAGTGAAACATAGAATGCAGTAGGTGATCTGATTTCTGTTTATTGTATTTCTGGTGTAACCATTGGGAATCCATCCTTCTTTCCTAATCTGTGTGGTTTGGGGTGGTACATTTTTTCCCCAAATTCAGAATTGGAACACATGATCCATGCTCAAGTGTCTAGTGCATTGGAATCCTCTGTCTTTAGTATTAATTCACAGATGGGCATTTGGCTCTAAATAGAGATAATGAGACAAAGTAGGCTTTGTAAAAATTACGACTGTTTTGGGGGTTCTTTTAGATATTTGAAACTCAAACGTTCATAAATGCCAAGTCCACTCAAGTGAAGATGGAATGTGTTGTACTGACAATTAGTTTGGGACAAATACTCATAATAATAAGTGCTCAAATATAAATTGCTATTTGCCAGGCACTATTTTAAAGGTTTTACGTTACTTGTTTAATCTTCACAACAACTGTTTGCTGTAGATACTCTTATAGTTCCCATTTTGTAGATGAGGAAATGTGGCCCATAGAGGTTATATAACTTGTCTCAGTTACACGGTTAATAATGGTGGTACCAGTATTTATATTCAGACAATTTGGCTCAGAGGTCAGGTTCTTAACCACTATTACAAATGGTTACCCAAGTTAACCACCCATTTCCTTGCCTTTATTTAGAGGCTGATTTTGTTTAAAATTAGCTTTACTAAGTTATAATTTGCATAAAATAAGTCACTGGTCATAAGTGTGTAGTTGAATGAGTTTTGACACATGAATACACCTGTGCAGTCACCACCCTAATGAAGATATGATACATTTCCAGAAAGTTCACTTTTGCCAGCACTTCATACTCTGTGTCTACCTTCACACCTAACACCTGGCAACCAGTGATCTGCTTTGCATTGCTGTCATTTTGCCTTTTCTGGAATTTCATATTAATGGAGTCCTTTAGTCGGTAGTCTTTTGTGTCTGGTTTCTTTCGTTTGGTATAATGTTTTGAAATACACTGATGATGTTGAGTGTACTGTTTTTTTTCTTTTAATTGCTTAGTATTATCCCATTATATGGATATAACATGAACTGCTTATATATTTGCTAGTTAAAAGATTTTTGACTTGTTTCTAGTTTTTGGCTATTATTTAGAAAATTCTGTAAGCATTCAGGTTTTTGTGCAGACACGTCTTCACATTTTTAGGGTAAAAATATCTAGTAGTGAATTGCTGAGTTCTCTGCCAAGTGTATGTTTAGTTTTAAAATAAACTGCAAAACTTTTTAAAAACTGCCTCTACCATTTTGCATTTCTTTTTTATCTTTTTTTGAGATGGGAGTCTCATACTGTCGCCCCAGCTGGAGTGCAGTGGCACGATCTCAGCTTGGTGCAACCTCTGCCTCCTGGGTTCAAGCAATTCTCCTGCCTTAACCTCCCGAGTAGCTAGGATTACAGGCGCCCGCCACCATGCCAAGCTAATTTTTTGTATTTTTAGTAGAGATGGGGTTTCACTGTGTTGGCCGGGTTGGTCTCGATCCCTGGACCTCATGGTCCCCACGCCTCGGCCTCCCAAAGTGCTGGGATTACAGGTGTGAGCCACCACACCCGGCCACCATTTTGCATTTCTACCAGCAACAATTAAAAGTTCTTTTATTTGGTTTGTATTTATTTCTTGTATTGTTTTATTTGTTTTTAATTGTTTCACATCCTTGCCAGTGCTCAGTGTTTTCAGTCTTTTAAATATTAGTCATTTTTGTGGATATGTAGTTTTATCACATTGTTATGTAACATATTTTTATGTGCTTATTTTTCATTTGCATATCTTTTGTGAAATGTCTGTTTTGATCTTTGGCCCATTTTTTCCCTTAAAATTGCATGTCATCTTGCGTTGTAAGTGTTCTTTATGTATTCTGCATACATCTTTTGTCAGACCTGTGTATTGTGGTATTTTCTCTTAGTCTGTTGCTTATCTTTTCATTTTCTTAATAATTTTTTAAAGTGCAAAAGTTTTTTCTTTTTTCTAATGTATCGATAAAGTTTTCAGTTTTAAGTCCAAATTGATTTTTATTATTTTTAATTTTTGTGTTCTAGCTAAGAAGTTATCTAACATGAAATTAGAAAACATTCTCTTGTATATTTTCTACTAGAAGATTTATAGTTTTCTTATGGTTATGATCCACTTCAAGTTAGTTTTTATACACTGTGTTTGGTAAGGGTTGAAGGCTTCATTAATATTATAACATCATTTGTTGAAAAGATCATCTCTGTTCATTGAATTTTCTTGGCACCTTTCTCAAAAATTAACCATATATATGAGTTTATTTCTGCAATTTTTATTCTGTCCCGTTGGTGTATATATGTTTATCCCTACACAAGTGCCACACTGTTTTGATTATGGTATTATTATAGTACATCTTGAAATCAGGTAGTGTAATTTTTATCCTTTATTTCAAAGTTGTTTTGATTATTTATGTTCTTTGCATTTCCACATAAATCTTAGGATTAGCGTGCCAATTTCTATAAAAAAGGATGTAGGATTTTAATGTTGGTTACTTTGAATCTGTGATTTCATTTGGGAAGATGACATCTTAATATTATCTTTTGAATCATGAACATAGTATATTTCTCCAATTATTTAGGTCCTCTGTAATTTCTCTTAGCAGTGTTTATGCTTTTCAGTTGAGGTTTTTCACCATATTTTTAAAATTTACCCCTAAGTATTTTATGTTTTTGATGGTGTTCTAAATGTTGTTCTTTTAATTTCGATTTCTAATTGTTGCTAGTATGTAAATACACTTTTTTTATGTTGACCTTGTATTTTATGAAATTTTAAGTTTACTTACTAGTTCTAATAATTTTTTGGTAGAACCTATAGGATTTGTAAGAAAACAGTCATGTTATCTGTATATGAATATACTTTTACATCTTTTAAATTTATATGCCCTATTTAAAGAACGTACGTTAATGGATTTATTTGATTGGGTAATTGTTTAAAAGGATTTTTTGGACCTTTATTAGTGAGTGATACTGGTCTGTGAATTTCTTTTAATTTTTTTCTGGTTTTCATATCACAGTGTATTGGTTTGCTTGGGCTGCCGTAACAAAATACAACAGACTAGGTGGCTTAAACAACAGAAATTTATTTTCTCATAGGTCTAGAGACTAGAAGTACAAAACAATGTGTAGGCAGATTCGGTTTCTTCTGAGGCCTGTTTCCTTTCTTTTTTTCAAAAGAGGTGGTCTTGCTGTCTCGCCCAAGCTGGAGTACAGTGGCACCATCACACTGCTTACTGCATCCTCGAACTTCTGGGCCCAAGGGATCCTCCTCCCTCATCTTCCTAGTAGCTGGCTCTACAGGCATGTGTCACCACACCTGGATAATTTTTATAAGTTTTTAATAGAGATGAGGGTCTTGCCATCTTGCCTAGGTTGGGCCACTTGTTGTTGTGTCATAGCTTTGTCACCTCTCAGTCTGCATGTTGCCTGTATCTTAGAAGAATACTGGTTGTATTGGATTGGGGTCCACCAATATGACTGTATTTTACCTTGATTATTTCTTTAAAGGCTTTATTTTCAAATGCAAATTCTGAGATACTGGGAGTTAGAATATAGGGATTTTCTTTTGCGAGGGATGGAAATACAATTTAACCCGTAACATAGGTATTATTGCTGGTTTCACTTTTTCTTTCCCTCCCTCCCTCCCTCCTGCTGGTTTCACTCTTTCTTTCTTTCTCTTTCTTCTTTCTTTTTCTCTTTTTTTTTTTTGCGTAGAGACAGGAGTCTCACTGTGTTGCCCTGGCTGGTCTTGAGCTCCTGGGCTCAAGTGATCTTCCCGTGCTTTGACCTCTCAAAGTGCTGGGATTATAGGCATGAACCACTGTGCCTGGCCAGTGCTGGCTTCTAAAAGACGATATGGAATGTTCCCCTTCTATTTTCTGAAAGAGTTTGTATGAAATTGGTGTTTTTCCTTAAGTGGTTGGTGGAACTTACTGGTGAAGCCATAGTTTTGGGTCTTCATATATTTTGTATGATTTCACTCCTTCCCTTTGTGGGAAGGTTTTTAATTACTAATTCAATTTCTTTAATAGACACTACTCAGGTTCTATATTTCATGAACTTTAGTAGTTTAAGAGTTTCTCCATTACACCCGTGTTGCTGAATTTATTGGCATAATAATAATATACCCCTTATTCTTTTAATGTCTTGGATTTGTTAATGGTGTCCCATCTTTCATTCCTGATATTGATAATTTGTGTTCTTGTGTTTCTTTTTTCCTTGAATGGTTTAGCTAGAGGATTATTAATTTTTTTTAGTCTTTTCAAATGATCAACTTTCATATTATTGATTTTCTATATAGTTTGTTCATTTTCTATTCCACTAATTTTCAGTTTACTTTATAAATTTCTTCTGCTAACTTGGAGTTTCATGTTTTCTTTTCTGGTTTCTTAGTACGAAAGCTTAGATCATTGATTTTTGGCCCTCTTTTCAATAGCAACACTTAATCTTATCAATTTCCCTTTCTAATCCCTACTTTAGCTGTATCTTCAAATTTTCAATCAGTTCATAATACTTCTCATTTCCCTTGTGATTTCTTATTTGAAACATGGATTATTCAGAAGTATGTTGTTTAATTTATTTTACCTGTACATGCACAGGTTTGTTACGTGGGTATATTGCGTGATGCTAGTGATCTTGTCACCCAAGTAGTGGACATAGTACGCAACAGGCAGTTTTTCAGCTCCTAACCCCCTCCGTCCCCGATTTTGGAATCCTCAGTGTTTCTTGTTCCCATCTTTGTGTCTGTGTGTACCCAGTGTGTAGCTCCCACTTAAAAGTGAGAACATGTGGTATTTGGTTTTCTGTTTTTGTGTTAATCCGTTTAGGATAATGGACTCCAGCTGCATCCGTGTTGCTACAAAGGACATGATTTCATTCTTTTTTATGGCTGCAGTTGTTTAATTTCTAAATGAGAATTTTCTGGGTATCATTCTATGTCTGATTTGTGACATAATTCAACTTTGTTCAGTTAATATAGTTTGTATGATATTAGTCCTTTTTATAGAGACTCGTTTCATGGTCCACCATAAGCTTTATCTTCGCTAATGGTCCATATGCACTTGAAAAAAATGAGTACTCTGCCATGTGTAGGCTGAGGTTCTATACATGTCAAATAGTAAAGTTGGTTGATGTGTTATTTAAGTTCAGTATACTCCCATTCATTTTCTGTATACTTGTACTGTCAGTTACATATTCTTCAATCATCTCCAGTGCTAACTAGATTTGGCTATGTCTCCTTTTAGTTTTCTCAGCTTTTGCTTCGTGTATTTTGAAGCTTACACAGATTTAGCGTTGGTGAATTGATCTCCTTATCATTTTGAAATGTCACTCTTTATTCCTGATAATATTCCTTGTTCTGAAATCTACTTTGATGTTAATATAGCCTCTTCAGCTTCCTTCCTCCCTTCCCTCCCTCCCTCCCTTCCTCTTTCCCTCTCTTCTCCCTCTCCCTCTTTCTCTCCTCTCCCTCTTTCTCTCCTCTCCTTTTTCTCTTCTCTTCTTTGAGACAGGGTCTCACTCTGTCACCCAGGCTGGAGTGCAGTGGCGTGATCACAGCTCACTGCAGCCTCTACCTCCCAAGCTCAAGTGGTCCTCCCACCTCAGCCTCCTGAGAAGCTGAGACCACAGGCATGGGCCACCACATCTGGTTGATTTTTTTTTTTTTTAATTTTATTTTGTAGAGACAGGGTCTCGCCATGGTGCTCAGGCTGATCTCAAACTCCTGGGCTCAAGCGATTCTCCTGCCTTGGGCTCCCATAGTGCTGGAATTACAGGCATGAGCCACTGACCTGGCCTAGCTTTCTTTTCATAAGTGTTTACATGGTATGTTTTTATTCTTCATGTCTATTATGTACGTGTTTTAATATTTAAAGTGGGTTTCTTGTACCCAGAGTATAGTTCAGTCTTCCTTTTTATTTAGTATGACAATCTGCCTTTGTTGTTTTTGTTGTTTGAGACAGAGTCTTGCTCTGTCGCCAGGCTGGAGTGCAGTGGTGTTATCTTGGCTCACTGCAACTTCCTCCTCTTGGGTTCGAGTGATTCTCCTGCCTCAGCCTCCCTAGTAGCTGGGATTATAGGCTCATGCCACCATGCCCAGCTAATTTTTGTATTTTTCGTAGAGATGGGGTTTCACCATGTTGGCCAGGATGGTCTTGATCTCCTGACTTTGTGATCCGCCTGCCTCGGCCTCCCAAAGTGCTGGGATTAGAGGTGTGAGCCACTGCGCCCAGCCAACAGTCTGCCTTTTAGTTGGATTAGCTGGACTGTTTACATTTTAACATAATTATGATGTGCTTGGTTTTGTGTGTACTGTCTTGTTTGCTCTTTGTTTTCTATTTGTCTCTTCTATTTCTTTTCTCTTTTTTTCTTCCTTTCTTGCTTTTGGGATTAATTGGATATTTTTAAGATTTCCATTTTATTTCCACTATTTGCTTATTAATGATTGTGTGTATTTGGTGGGGGGAAGTGGTTGCTCTGAGGTTTACAATACTGATTTTTAAACTTTTTGTGTTCTACCTTCAAATATTTCATATACAATATAAAAATTTTGCAATAGTGTATTTCCATTTGTAGGATCCATTCTGCTACTCCCTTGTTGTCAAAAGTGTTAGTTCTCTGTTCCTTTTGTTTAAAAAAATGAGGTGAAATTCTCACAACCCTGAAATACGCCGTTTTAAAGTTGTGTTTTTAGTACAGTTGGCAGTGTTTCACAACCATCACCACTGTCTATTTTCAGAACATTTTTATCAGCCCCTAAAGAAACTCTGTACCCGTTAAGCACTCTCCTTTTCCTCTTCCCTTACAATCACTAATTTACTTTCTGTCTCTGTGAATTTACCTATTCCAGACACTTCATATAAATGCAATCATATAATATATGGTCTTTTGTATCCCATGTCTTTCACTTAACATGTTTCTAAGGCTCATCCATGTTGTGACATGTATCAGCACTTCATTCTTTTTTATGGTTGAGTAATATTCCATTATGTGGGAATATTATTAAATAACATAATATTTAAAGTTATTTTAAAATAACATTTTAATATAATTTATATTTCAGTTGATGGACAATTTGGGCTGTTTCCACTTTCTGTCTATTATGAATAATGTTCCCGTGAACATTTGTGTATGAGTTTTTGTTTTAACACATGTTTCTAGTCTCTGGGGCATTTACTCACAGTGTAATTGCTAGGTGATATGGTAATTGTGTTTTGCTTTCTGAGTAACTGCCAAACAGTTTTCCATAGTAGCTGCATTACTTTATTTTCCTACTAGCAATGTATAAGGGTTCTAATTTCTCCACATCTTGTCAACACGTTGTTTTCCTTTTTGATAATAGCCAACCTAATGGGTGTGAAGTGGTTATTCATTGTGGTTTTGATTTGCATTCCCCTTTTCACTAGTGAGGTTAACCATCTTTTCAAGAGCTTGTTGGCCATTCATTTATTACTCTTTAAAGGTTGTGTTTTCATTTTTAATAATTAACTTGTTTCAGACAGAAGTATGTTTCTTGGTAGCCAAAGGGAAGTTAAGGGAAAGTTGTCATCCATATTTTCACTGTTTGAATGCATTTTGTGTAGTGGTATATGCAATATACAGTGTTTAGGTTTTTGTTTCAAGAATAGAAGACTAGTTTAATTGGTACTATATTTTAAATTCAGCACTGTAGTTGTGAAATAAAACTTAACTACTGAAACAACTTTTTAAAAAAATTAATCTTAAAAATCAAAGTAGGGATACAAGGAACACATCTCCCATGCATTTTGGAGATTTCTTTCACCCCTGAATAATGGGATGGGGATACTATCTAATGAAATGTATCACACATGGTACCCTGTTCATATTTTCTTATACTGTAATAGAAATTCCTGTTTTTATAGCTCCTCCTGTGTAGGCATTTGTTTTTCTTCTGTGTGAACTTGGTATCTTCCCCAGTTGATTGGCCTGTGATTGGGTACTCTTCTGAAATGTGAGCAAAGCATAGCAATTACATCTTACTGGAATTGGCTTGAAAGATATTTTGGCCAATTATATTTTGTGTTTTAGGAATTGGAAATAAAATGAGAAACACTTGAGTTGGCCTAAAGTTCTTGGTGTAGTGTTGGTGCTGAAGGGGCTGTATATTGTAAGCGGGTAGTCTTGAGAAGCAGAAAAGTATTAGTCACATTAATGGTGGAGCACTAGTGAAGATCTGTGTCTGTGTTTGAGGCCTGGTACTGTTGTTACTTGTGGTTTACTATGAGAGGATTCTCCTAATTGTTTCACCTGTACCTAACTTATAACTACACAAGACGAATTAAATCTTCTGTTAACTGTAAACCCTTGGTGGTAATTAGAACTGATTCTGTGTTTGGGCAGGAGCCTTGGGAGTGTGTGAATGGAATAAAATCCAGGAAGAGATCAAGAATGTATTGGGGTAAGAGGAATCAGCAGAGATACTTCTTGGCCATATGTAGTTCCCTGATTCAATCTTGCTTTTCTGTTATGGATACCAGAAATTGGTTCACTTGCATTATCTTTTCATGGCTATTACTTGTATTAATCATGGTGTCCTTTCCTTCCTACTCCATTGTGGTCTCATCCTTTTCGAACTTCTGACCCTGAAGCTAGCACATAGTTATTTAGAATCCTTATTTAAAAAATATTTTATTGTTAAATTACAGTCTAAAATGATTGCCGCTATGCTATTCTTTTCTTCCTTACCTCTCGTCTCCTTATTCATAGAGCCTGTGACTTAAGGCAATGTTAAACACAGGTCTTGATGGAGACAGATTAGGGAGGAATCACTTCACAAAATACCAAATAAGTTTAATCTCTGCTTTTGAAAAAATGGAGATTTAAGTTTTTTAAGGCTTTTTATTAGAGCAAATGGAACTGGGAAAGAGTGAGATGATGGGACATAGACTGGAACTTAACTGCTGCCTGTGAAGATTGGTTCAGAGGATCTAGTGTTATCGGTATAGGTGTAAAGAAGAGTTTGAGGTTTATTATTTTTTTTTCCTTTTTACTCATTTTTTTTCTTTCAGTCCTGAATATACTTGGGGCCAGTTGAATTTGGATGCTGCTTTTGAAGGAAGCAAAGGAAGAATTAAGAAATTAAGGGAAAAGAGGAAGCTAGAGAAATTTCAAGTTTTGAAAATTTTGTGAAGAAGGAAGAAACATTTCCATGGCCCTTTTGCTGGGCGTCTTTCATTCTTGAAGTTGTATATAAATTTGAGTATATTTAAAATAATTTTTCCAAGGTCTTCTATGTGCTGATAGCTGTGATTTTGATTTTCATAATCACAATGATGCATATTTTTATTATTTTTTACTCTTCTGAGATTATAGCAAGATAGAAAGAACATTGGGCTTGGAATTTAAGACCTTGAAATTTAACTTTGGACAAATAATTTATTGTTTTCGAGTCTGTTTTTTCATGTATAAATTGGGATGTAGTAATATTCTATAAGATTATGAGGTTTAGAGTATATAATGCATGTAAAAAGGCATTATAAATTATAAAATCACAAAGAATCAGGTGGTTATTTGCTAGTGTTTGGCATTTGGTATCAAAACACGAAAGTGTTTCTGCAGTCCTGTTTATGTGAGGTGTAACTACTGCTTGTTTTTCTAAATGACTCTAGATTGTGCCTGGCTCTGATTATCTCAGTAATATTATTATTTTTAAGTATTTAACCTTTGAAAGATTGATTTTTTTTTTAGTTGGAACCAGTACTACTATAAGACAGTTGACACATTTTATGAAAGCATAATGGAGTTAGCATTTGTACTAAAATATGCATGTATTGAACTATGTACATATTAGTTTGTTGGACAGTTCTAAGATAGTACTTTGTAAGTACTTATTAAATTCACTTAATAAGTTTGGATGCTGCTTTTGAAGGAAATAATGCATATAAAAGGGAATGACAAATAGAGCACTGATTAACGATGTTACTTGGGCCGGATTGCAATATGACCCTTGATTAACTGAGATGATATGTCTTATAAATGCATATTAGATATGTGAAATAATTTTCTGTATCTGGATCTGTTCTGTACTGTTTTTTTTTTTTTTAAATGTCCCAAGTGACATACATTATCTTTTGGCAAGCTTAAGGTTGTGCAGTATGATATCTGTCCTTCTGGCAATTGGTATAAAAATGTCTTCTTCACAGCATTTTATTGCTTGAAGAACACGATTTTAATAAACAGTGACAAGAGGTAAAAGTTCAAAATAATCTCTACTAATACAGGTTGAGTGTCCCTAATCCAAAAATCTGAAATTTGAAATGCTCCAAAATCTGAACCTTTTTGAGTGCCACCATGACACGCAAAGAAAATACTTATTGGGGCATTTTGGATTTTAAATTTTTAGATGAGGGATGCTGAACCAGTAAGAATATAAATGCAAATATTTCAAAATGCAGACAGATCCGAATCTGAAACACTTCTGGTCTCAACCATTTTGGATGATGGATATTCACCCTGCAGTAGTTTGAATGATACTCAGTTTTTTGTTATATTTAAAGTTCTGTGGTTGGAGTTGTAAAGTCAGATGCCTATAATAACCATCTTTTTTTTTCCATCTGAAATCATTATTCATTATGCTTATTTACTCTTGTGTTCCTTTCTTTTTCATTCTAATTCTTTCTTGATTTTTTTAACCTCCCTTTTAAAATAATTCTTTCTTCAGAACAAGTTTGCTAAAGTTTTCTAATTGAGAATTTTTTCTTTCAGTTTTTTAATTATTGTTATTGTATTTCTTTCAGTCCATTTTGAAATATTAGATTATGATTGTTGTTTGTTTTGGTCATATTTTTCTGGCTTGCTTTCATTGTTTCTAGGGACAGTATTATGTTTCTTTTTCCTTTGGGAACCTTTGTTTCTCATTTTTTAGTGATGAAAGATAAATGTATTTTGTATTTATGTTCATCATTACTATTTTTAGAGCTCTTTATTTGTGTACATCCTAGTTTCTGTCTGTCTTCATATTCCTTCTGCTTGCAGGATTTACATTAATATATCTTGTAGTACAGGTCTGTGGGCAGCAAATTCTCTTAAATTTGTGTTTGTTTGAAAATGAGTTTATTTGCTTTCATTTTGAAAGATATTTTTGTTGAGTATAAAATTCTGAGTTGAAAGTTTTTTCTCTTAGTATTTTAAAGAAGTATTTTTGTTTCTCACTAAAAAATGAGAAACAAAGAATTCCCAACGGAAAAAGAAACATAATACTGTCCCTAGAAACAATGAAAGCAAGCCAGAAAAATATGACCAAAACAAATGACAATTATAATCTAATGTTTCAAAATGGACTGAAAGAAATAAATGCAGTAACAATAATAAAAGAACTGAAAGAAAAAATTCTCAATTAGACAGTGCCTGCTCCATTGTCTTTTGGCTAGTATAGTTTCTGATGAGAAGTCTGTTTCCGTTTTTATCTTTATTCCTCTGCATGTAATGTGTCTTTCTAGGGCTGCCTTTAAGGTTTTCTTTTTATTTTTGGTTTTAGCAGTTTAAAGTGCATTGTACGTGTTAGGGATATTTTCTTGTTTTTGAAATCCCTATTTAGGGGTTTCTGAGTTTCTTAGATCTGTGGTTTGATGTATTTTGTTATTTTAAAAATGATTTCAGTTACTGTCTCTACATATTTTTTCCTAACTCTTTCTCTGTCATCTGTGACTTCAATTACATGTATGTTAGAACATTTCACATATGTCACAACTCTGGGATGCTTTGTTCTCTGTCTGTGTGTGTGTGTGTGTGTGTGTGTATCTATGTGTTTTGTCACTTAGGCTGGAATGCAGTGGCCTGAGGAGAGGAAGAGAGGGGGGAAATAGCAGGTTGGTGGAGGAGTAAGAACACAGTGAGGTTTGCCATCTAATATGGGTGCAATTTGTGGCTCCCCAAAACAGTTACGGTAGTAACATCAAAGATCACTGATCGCAGATAATTATACAGGTATAATAATAATGAAAAAGTTTGAAATATTGTGAAAATTACCAAAATGTGACACAGAGATATGAAGTGAGCACATGGTGTTGAAAAAATGAGCTGCCAACAGACTCGCTCAGCACAGGGTTGCCCATTCTCCTTGAATGCTTTTGATTGACAGTGTTACAGAGGTCCTGAATGGATTGTTTTTCTAAATGGATGGTTCTAAATGGATACGTTTTTCCCTTAACCTACTGTTGGTATATTCTTGTTCTTCAAAATTGGAAAGAATTAATGGTATTTCATTAGGATCTCCTCTTCATTTCTGTAGTTTCTGAGATTTTTCATCCCTTTCTTGGGAAGGGGAGTAATTGGCCAGCCCTTCTTTCTTTATTCTATTCTACCTATTTCTGACAGGAATTCTTTAAAGTTTTTGGCTTGGGTGGATAGTACTCTTCCTAAGTATTGTAGTCTGTGCAGGCTGCTATAACAAAATGCCATAAAATAGGTAGCTTAAAAACGACAAAACTTTATTTCTCATGTTTGTGGAGGCTGGGAAATTCAGCCTCCACAAACATGGGGAGGTTTTTATGTCTGGTGAGGGCTAGATTCCTGATACACAGGCAGTGCCTGCTCTCTGGATCTGCCTGATCTCATGGAGGGAAGAGGGGATAAAATTCCTTTAGACCTCTTTTGTAAGGGCACTAATCCCTTTCATGAGAGTTCTGCCCTCATGACCTAAAAATCTCCCAAAGGCCCATGTTTTAACACCACCTTGGGGGTTAAGATTTCAACATATGAAATTTGGGAGAACACAAATATCAGACCATAGCACCAGTCCTATTACTAATGTATATTTTCCCGTATTTTCTCTTTTTGGTGTATTCTGCCACTCAGTGAATATTGTGTGCCAGGCATTGTATTGAGCGCCTCATAGATATCTTGTTAATCTGTGTAATGATTCTATGATATAAATGTCATCCCTGTTATACAAATAAGGAATTACAATTAGAAAGATTAAACTACTTGCTCAAAGTCACAAAGCTGTAGATGGCATAGCTAGGATTAATTTCACTTTTCTTGAAAGCTGTGGGGTAGAACTGTGATTAAAAAGCCAGTATTTCAGCCAGGAATAAGTGGCTCATGCCTATAATCCCAACACTTTGGGAGGCCAGAGTGGGAGAATCGCTCCAGCCCAGGAGTTTGAGAACAGCCTGAGCAACATAAGGAGATCCTGTCTTATACACACACACACACACACACACACACACGTATATTTATATGTGTATATATATGTGTATATAGTGTGTATATATGTGTATATATATGTGTGTATATATGTGTATATGTGTGTGTATATATGTGTGTATGTATATATATATGAGCTACATGTGGTGATATGCACCTGTAGTCCCAGCTACTTGAGAGGCTGAGGCAGGAGAGATGTCCCGAGCCCAAGAGGTCGAAGTTGCAGTGAGTCATGATCATGCCAGTGCACTCCAGCCTGGGTGACAGAGTGAGACACTGTCTCAAAAAAAGAATGGAGACCTTCTTTGATTCTCTTGTTATTCAGAATACATTTCTTAAAAGCTATTGGCTTTAACTGATTTGATAGTAATTTTTAGGTACTGTAACTTTTAGTATAAGTAGAACACATTATGTGACATGACACGTACTGTACCCCTGCTTTTTCTTTTTTCTTTTTAAATAAACTAACGGATGATGGAGCTGTGTGCGAGGTAAACCTGTAGTCATTTCTTCCAGTTTTCAGGCCAGAAACCTTCACTGATTTTTGTCTCATACCCAACATCTATCAGCAAACCATAGTCCTACCTTCAGAATATATCTAGAATCTCACCACTTCTCATCAACCCAACTACTACCACCCTAGTCCGTTTCAACACTGTTTCTCACTGGATTATGATAGCTTCCGTAACCATTTCTACACTTGGCTTCCCTTTAGTCTTCTTTTCAGCATAGCAGGTAGAATGATCTGGTTCATTACTGTGTCAAATCCCATCACTCCTCTTTTCCAAATCCACCAGTGAATTACCGTTTTACTCAACTTAAAAGCCGAAGTCTTTAACACATTCCTTAGTTCTTTGAGGTGCCCTTTTTTTTCTCTTTTCTTTTTGAGATAGGGTCTTGCTCTGTCACCTGGGCTGGAGTGCAGTGGCACAGTCTCTGTTCACTGCAGCTTCGCCTGCTGTGCTCAAGTGATCATTCTTCCTCAGCTTCTTGAGGAGCTGGGACTAGCTAGAGTAGCTGGGGCTGCAGGTGTGTGCCCCTATGCTTGCTAGTTTTTGTGTTTTTTTTTTTAATTTTTTTTTTGTAGAGATGAGGTCTCAGTATATTGCTCAAGCTGTGAGAGTGCCTTTTTAAAAAATTTGCATAGAGGTGTTCTGTGTCTTAGCAGTGACATACTTGAAGGATCCTCAAACACTAAAATACCCCTTTCTCAAAATGCTAACGATTAGGTATGTATTGTTTTCTATTAAATAGCTCCTGACATATTCAGTGAATTGATTGGTTGGTTCTTTTGCCGTTCCTCCTGCTCTGACCCCCAAATCTCAGTTTTCTTTACTATGGGTCCCTTTGTAGCTGGTGTGTCCTCTTATTATTATGTATTTATCATTATTGTATATATTGTATATATTTTCACATTGTGTTGTAATATCATCTATACATATTTGAGTCTGCCATTAGACTTTACATTCCTGTATTCTAAGGGATAGTGTTTATGCCCAAGAAATTTTTCTTGAAGGAGTGAGTGTATTTTCAGTTACAGTTTTAAGTGTCATTGTATCATCCGTAAGGATTTGGATTTGTATGCAAATAAGAGAAAACTTGATAAACATTGACTTAAGCAAGTCAAGATTTACCTTCTCATGTAATGTGAAGTCCAGCGGAGACAATCCAAAGCTGATGCAGCTGCTCAAGGATTTCATCCAGGAACCAGTATCCTCCTTTCTTCCTAGCTTAAGGTTTTTGTCTTCATGGTCAGAAGATGGCTGTTGTATCTCTGAACACTGCATCAGAATTTTAGTAAGGAAGAAAAGGGAAGGATAAAAGGAAATGTCTTTTTACAAGGTTTTGCATTTTTGTTCTCATAGATGGTGGCCCCTTAGAAACTGATGTCTATATTTCACTGGCCAGAATAATATCATATAGCCAATCCTAAGTACAAAAAAGGCTGGGATTTTGAGTATTCTGTTTTTTATTCTTTATAGGGAAAGAGGGCAGAAGAGGATTACAATTGGTATTTAAAGTACCAGAAAGTAGTGTAGGACAAGTGGTTAAGAACGTAGACCTGAATTTGAATTTTGACTTTGTTACTTCTTAGCTGTGTGACTTTAACAGCTCTCTGCTTCTGTTCCCTCATCTATAAACTGTGCCTAGTAGTTGGTACCTATTTCACTTTGTTGTTGAAACTATTAAATGAGTCAATATATATTGTGGGTTTAATGTGTATAGTTTGTTTTATTTAAATAGCTAATAAGTTGTTATGATTGTTGTCATTACCTACAAGCATTGTCGAAACTAGAATAATAAATTTATCACTCAAGGAATTAGCTTTATTTGGGATAGGAAGAAAAGAGTATTTAGCAGGTCTCGGTACACGCTTTTGAGTACATGTGATGGAAAACGATGGTAGAGCTTTCTTAAAAGGGCTCTGGTGACTGCATTGTACTACTAAAAATTATGTGCCGAGTTAAAATATTGGAACCATTTTGATTTACTCATTGACTTCATTTTGAAGCTCAGTGACCCTTAGGGTCATCCTGAACAAATCATCATTTTACCAACAATCCCCTAAAGTTTAGTTCAATAGAAATTTCATCTCTTATTGATAGAATGTTTATAGACTTAGCTCTAAACTGTATATTGAAATATGATTTCATTGGTATTGTTACTAGTCTTTTCCAATTTGTAATCACTCTACTTTTAAAAAAAAATCAATTATTTTTCTTTTCTTTTTAGCCCCATCTGCTTTGATATGATTGAAGAAGCATACATGACAAAATGTGGCCACAGCTTTTGGTAAGACAATTCTATTGAGTAAAATAATCTTTTAACATTTTAAAACTTATCTGTAAATGTAGCCAATGAGAAGTTACGTGTTTTAAACCAACTTTGATTATGTTACAGTCATATTTTTTTTCTTGACATGTCTTTGTAGATGTGGCAGTTTAAGGCTGTTAACATAATGGCTGGCGCATAATTTCTGTCAAATGTTTAGATTTAGAATAGGCCTTACTGATGGATTTGAAAACTTCTGCGTTTATTAATTGTTAATAGGAACTTTTCACTCCTGTTCTTAGTGATGCTGGACAATCAGGACCAACCATGAAGCACTAATTACTCACTTGTGGGGATAGGTTGGAGAACGCAGTGAAGCAGGCTAAGAAGGTCATGGAAAAAGAATACAGGATTAAAAAGTTCTGTGTTCTTTTCTTTAACACTTTGCTCAATATTAACTTTACATTATATCATGCCAGGTTAACTCATACATCAAAAAAATTTTTTAATTTTAAAATTTACATAATACCGAATTTATATATTTTATATATTTTTTTCTGGTTCTTTAGTCTTGGAGGAATTTATAATTTTAACCACAGTTATGTAAACAGTGCAGTAGTGTTAAGTATGTTCATATTATTGTACAATTGATCTCTAGAACTTTTTGTGCAAAACTGAAACTCGTCACTCATTAAACAACAATTCCCCATTTCCCCTTCCCTGTATCCCCTGGCAGCCACCATTCTACTTTCTGTTTCTATTAATTTAACTATTCTAGATACCTCGAATAAGTAGAAGTATTTGTCTTTTTGTGACTCGCTTATTTCACTTAGCATAATGTCTTCAGTGTTGTAGCATGTGTCAGAATTTCTTTGCTTTGTAAGGCTGAATAATACTCCATTGTATATATATACTACATTTTGTTTATTCATCTATCAGTATACACTGGGGTTGCTTCTTCTACCTTTTGGCTGCTATGAATAATGCTGCTGTGAACATGGGTGTACAAACATCTCTTTAGGACTCTGCTTTCAAGTCTTTTGGGTGTATACTCAGAAGTGGAATTGCTGGATCATGTGGTAATTTTGTTTGTAATTTTTTGAGAAACTGCCATACTGTTTTCTATAGGGGCTGCACTATTTTATGTTCTCACCAACAGTGCATAAGAGTTCCAATTTTTCCACATCCTTGCCAACTCTTATTTTCTGTTGTTGGTTTTTGATAGTAGCCATCCTGATGGATGTGTAATCTGTGTATTTTTAATTATTTTTGCTTATTTTTAAACCTATTCTGTTGGCATATTATTTTAGCCTTAGTATACCTTGTGTTCTAATACTCCTTATATTCTAATTCATATTGAAATCAGGCCCGTAATTTTATGCTGAAGTTGGATATGATATCGGGCAGATTTATATCCCTTCATCATGAAGAGTATGGGGTATTAACACTAGTCTGTAAGATCTTTCGTTTCATCTGGAGCATGATGCTTTAGTGATAGGTGTATTCCCTCTGCTAGTCACTTAAAAAGCTTTAAATAAAAATCACTTTCTTAGCTTGTATTATCTATATTCTTTCTTATAAAATAAAGTATTAAAATGATAACAGCAATGTATATTATTGCTTTTAAAAACCAGTCATTGTACAGGAAGATGTAATATAAAATACAAATGTCCACCTTTATCTAGTTTTTCTTACCTACCTCCTCAGAGGTTATCAGAGGAAAAGGAATGATTAGGTATTCTTTCAGAATCCTTTTACTATTTTTTTAAGTCATTTTACTTTCTTGAATACTTTTTATTTTCTGGTATATCATTGACATTATTATGATTCACGAATCACTTTCTGCTCTGTATTGCCAATGACATTCTGGACATGTGGGTCTTGCTTCAGGGCTGATACAGGTATGGTCTTGGCCTTTTCAGGCCATTGTTCGGCAGTAGTGTTCTCTTTGGTCCATAAATTGACCTAGCATCTTAGCATTCCATAGGAAACCATATGTTTTTTTCAGAGATTTTGGATTATGATTATTCTGGAAAATTAGGTGATCTAGAGTAGGCTTTCTCAACCTTGTCACTATTGACATATTAGACCAGATAATTCTTTGTCGTAGGTGACTGCACTGTGCTTTATAGATTGTTTAGCAGTATACTTGACCCCTACCCAGTACCACCCCTGCCCATCTCTGGGGTTGTGACAACCAAAAATGTCTCTAGACATTGCAGATACCCCTTGGGGGACAAAATTTTCCTCCCTTGAGAAGTACTCATCTAGCGCTAAAAGAACAAGTTCTTGATATTGTTAGACCAGGATTCTACTTCTGGTTCTGAAACTTACCTAACCTTTGTCAAGTTACTCACTCTCTGCTGCTGCTGTCCTGTTCCTCTTCTTCCTCATTCTCTTTTTACTCCTTCAATTCCTCCTCTTTTTATGGATTTAAAAGTGTTGAAATACGAAATAGATTGTGAAGTGAGGTTTTTAATTTTCTTGAGTGTCCTGTAACTTACATATCCATTGTGGCATTTTTTAAAAAAGGCCCTGCATCAGTTCAGTGACCTTTTTTCACTATGTTGTGAAGTGGAATAAATTACTGATTGAACTTATAAATGGACAGGCTAGGGCTTTTCAATAAATTTATAATCTTCATGTTGTCTTTAGGTCATTGTTGGAAAGCCCCATTGCTTTCTTAAATAGCTTTACCTCCTGCTCTCAAAACAATTTAGGCTTAGATCCTTATTATAATACAATTTCATTTTTATGTTATACCCTGATGAGAACGTGTGTTTTTTTGTTTATTTGTTTGGTTTTTTTTTTTGAGATGGAGTCTCGCTCTGTCACCAGGCTGGAGTGCAGTGGCTCGATCTCCGCTCACTGCAACCTCCACCTCCCGGATATTCCAGCGATTCTCCTGCCTCAGCCTCCCGAGTAGCTGGGATTACAGGCGTGTGCCACCACGCCCGGCTAATTTTTTGTACTTTTAGTAGAGACGGGGTTCACCATGTTAGCCAGGATGGTCTCGATCTCGTGACCTTGTGATCCGCCCGCCTCGGCCTCCCAAAGTGCTGGGATTACAAGCGTGAGCCACTGCGCCCAGCCAAGAATGTGTTTTAAGATACCCACTGGAGAGCAGGTTTTAGTAGAATAGAGGCCATAATGTTGGCAGGAACTATTAAAACTGGAGGCTGTCAATTCCAACATCAGGCTTGCTATACTGATTTTTTTTTTTTTTGCAGTTTTGTTTAAAGCAAAAGTTTATAATTATTTACTCTTTCCTAACATGTGAGGGCTATGGAACTTCAGTCATTAACCGTAGCCTCTTGTGTCAACTTTCTAGTAACGTAAATTCTGGCTGGTAAGCTGGATTCAAGCAGTATACCACTTCAAAGCTCATCCAAATTATTACCACTAAATCAAATTGGACCACATCAGCTGTTTTTCCCTCATCCCAAGTGAAAATGTCTTTCCTAGTAACAATTTGGAGACAATATAGCAGGAACTTCTTTCACTTTATTTATTCCCACTTGAGAACCCACTGTTACCTGTATCTGTAGCCTAACTGAAATACAATGATATAATAAGAAATCTGACTTTTACATAACGTAGAGATAAAATTGGCTCTTTGTCTTTGCCCATTTGCTGCCTCCAGCTTGTGCCCTGTACCGTATGTCTACCAAGCCCTGATTTACTATTTCGCTTCATTACAAGTTAGTTACAATTAATGGGGTCCTTCAGCATCGTCATCTCCCAGCATGTGGGTGATCAAGCCTGAGTGTCAAATTGCCTTTTGAGACTCTTGGCTAATCCATCATCTTGCACCATACTTTTGGTCTTTCTTTACACCTGGTTATTAGATGTAATGACTGGTTCTGATTTGTCCTGGCTGTTCTTGTTATAGTTTATTCTTTTTTCTAGAATTTTCTGATTACTTACAGTTGTTTATATCTACTCATCCTTGTTTACATAGATATAAAAAGATATTTATATTTGTTAGCAAGTATATACATAGTAGAAGAAACAACCATATACATCTATAGAGAAATACACATTTTTTATTAGCAGATACATATTTAATAGAGGAAATAGGTACACATTTATATCAGCAGAATTAAAATAATTATTTTTAAGAGTTGCAGTGTGAGTAGCTTGAAAATTTCTCAGGTGGACCCGAGATATGTGTCCCTTTTACCTCTTTGTTATGCCCACCTGTTGTTGAGCACTAATCTAGATACTTATCCTTCTCTTAGTATCCAAAGCTTTGTATGCAGGCTGGTAATGGTCAAGTAGATTAGATGAATGAGAATGAATTAGAGTTACTGGGGTAAGAAATACTGAAAATTTGTAGTTTGTTTTATATGATCCAGAAGGCAGCAGACAGGCGTATGTTGCTTTCCTGGCTGTATCTACTCATTCATGCATTCAACATTTACTGAGTTTGAATTCTTTTAACAGGATATTGTGCTAAACATTAAGGGTACAGAGGGTAAAACAAATCCTTGCATTTAATGACCAAATAGAAGAAGGGCTGATTGGCACATACAGAAATAAGTACAAGATAAGATAGTAACTATTTCTCAAACTAAGGCAGGTCTCTTTTGGGGTGGTAGTGAAGTAGTAGATGCTCTAAGATACGCTCGATGCATCCTGTTGTCACTTAAGTTGTATACAGTGGTATGTAATTTGATATACTTTGATTTTACAATATAATGGATTTTATCAAGTGCAATGCAGAAAAATCACTTGAACTAGTGTTAGTGAGGACAGTTACTTCCAGCTATGTCCCATTTTTTTTTTTTTTGTCTGAGAGATAGTGTAGTAAGCCTATTGATGTGGAATAAGATTAGGATACTAAAGAAAAGAGGATTTTCTACTAGATTTTGGAATAATTTCTTGTATATTGACAAAAAATTTTTTTTCTGTTTTTGAGACTGGGTGTCACTCTCTCACCAGGCTGGAGTGCAGTGGTGCAAACATGGCTCACTGCACCCTCGATCTCCTGGGCTCAAGCAATCCTCCTGCTTCAGCCTCCTGAGTAGCTAGGATCACAGGGACAGACTGCCACCATGCATGGCTAATTTTTAAAATTTTTTTAGAGTTGGGGTTTCACCACATTGCCTGAGCTGGTTGAAACTCCTGGGCTCAGGCAATCCTCCTGCCTCGCCCTCGCAAATTGCTGAGATTACAGGCACGAGCCACTGCACCCAGCCTAACAAACTCCTCTCTGACTTAACAGCCTAGCTTGTTCTTGTCATATGCACATTTTCTATCATTTATTTTAAAGAAAAGTTATTTGCTAAAACCCATAATGTTCTCCTTCTACTTATCTGTCAACCCATCTCTTATCTTTATTATGTAATTTTTTTTTTTTTTGAGACGGAGTCTCACTTTGTCGCCCAGGCTGGAGTGCAATGGCGTGATCTTGGCTCACTGCAACCTCTGCCCCCCAGGGTCAAGCAATTTTCCTGCCTCGGCCTACTGAGTAGCTAGGACTATAGGTGTGCACCAATATGCCCGCTAATTCTTGTATTTTTAGTAGAGATGGGGGTTTCACCATGTTGCCCAGGCTGGTCTCAAACTCATGACCTCAAGTGATCCACCCACCGTGGCCTCCCAAAGTGCTGGGATTACGGCGTGAGCCGCTGCACCCGGCCTTGTCTTTTTTTAAAAAAAAAAACTAAAAAAAAAAAATTCTCCTGACCTCAAGTGATCTGCCCACCTTGGCCTGCCAAAGTGCTAGGATGACTGGCATTAGCAGATATACCCAGCCCGGCATGTCTCTTACCTTTTTTTGGGATGGAGTGGGGTGGGGACGGAGTTTTGCTCTTGTTGCCCAGGCTGGAGTGCAGTGGTGTGATCTTGGTTCACTGCAAGCTCCACCTCCCGGGTTCAAGCGATTCTCCTGCCTCAGCCTCCCGAGTAGCCGGAATTACAGGTGCCTGCCACCATGCCCAGCTAATTTTTTGTATGTTTAGTAGAGACGGGGTTTTGCCATGTTGGGCAGGCTGGTCTCGAACTCCTGACCTCAGGTGATCTGCCGGCCTTGGCCTCCCATAGTGCTGGAATTACAGGTGTGAGCCACTGCTCCCGGCCATCTCTTATCTTTAATAACCTTTCAGAGTCTCTCCTTTATGACTTGCTTTGTTTGAACTTGCTGATTTTTTGTTTTTTTGAGACAGAGTCTCGCTGTGTCCCTCAGGCTGGAGTGTAGTGATGCAATCTCTGCCCACTGCAACCTCAGCCTCCTGATTAGCTACAACCATAAGCCATGCAGAACCAGGCCCAGCTAATTTTTGCATTTATTATTATTATTTTTTTTTTTTTGTAGAGACAGAGTTTTGCCATGTTGCCCAGGCTGCTGATTTAAAAAAAGAGTTAAATTTTGTATGTATATTTCCTGGTAATGTTAACTCATTTCCTTTTTCCCTAAGCAGACTGTAAATTTCTTCATGTTGTGATTCTTAGTCTATTGTATTTGCTTGCCTACGTTATGCTTCTTCCTTGTAATAAAAATGAAAATAAAGATTTAGTATGTTATTTCCTTCAGTGAAATTTCCATGTAGGAAATTTTCAGTCATACATGAAGCATATTTTGTGATTATGGTAATCCTAGCCTTGTCAGAGTTGCAAGAGGTGATGATACTGTTTTTGGAACATTGTGCAGGTCATTTTTCAGTAGATATTTGCATATCCGTTATGTGCCTGGCATTTACTTCAGTCTTTAGGTCCCTGTGATTTGCCAAAGACCACTGTTACTTTGATTCTTCACACCTTCCTCCTTTTTACTTATCTTGAAAGTAACAAATGTGAGATGTGAAAGTAGTTGATAACCAGAAGGGCGAAACCTGGGGAATGTAGGTTTTTATTTTTTTGTTTGTTTTATTTTGTATTTTGTTAAGGTGGAGGGGGAAGGTAAGTGGATATAAAAATCAACTCAGTTTACAAAGCTCAAGTAAATTTATAGTAATTTGGATACGTAATAAAAGAGGTACTTTCTCTGTGGGAATGATTTTTACAGATCACCTTTGTAATTTCTTAGAAATCATTTTTTTCCTGAGTGTTACCAGTAATACTTACTATTATAGAAACCTGAATTAAAGACATCTACAAAGAAAACATTTCCCATAATTATATGACCCAGAAACAAATACTGTTAACATTGTGGGGATTGTCTTTTGTGGTTTATTTTAAATGTACACATATATGATTTTTTAAGAGAAGTGGGATTATATTATATCCACTGTGTTATAGATTGTCATTTTTATTCAGCAGTATGTATAATAACATTTTTTTCTTTTTTCTTTTTTTTTTTTAATATTTTTTTCTCATACCAGTTTGACACTTTTCCATGATTTGGTGAAAAATACTTAAGGAGTGTTTTTTTTAATAGGGAGGCACACAAATGTAAAAGGTTTAACATTATAGAAATATATAATGTAAGAAAGGGAAAATTTTCTGTAATCACAGTTCTCTAGCAATAACTATGAGTAGTTTATTTTTATGGCATACAAATTACAATAATTTGTATTGGATGGCTGTATAGCATTGCATTGGATTGATGTTTACAAATTTATTTAGTCAATTTCTTAGTGTTTAGGTTGCTTCTGTTTTATTTTGCTATTTACAGATAACCTTGTATTAAACACCCTTCTAAATATATATTTCCTTAGGATAAATTCCTAGAAGTAAAATATTCAAAAGGGTATGTAAAAACCTTAAGGTTTTTCCTGCAACTTGCCTTCTAGGAAAGTTGTGCTGGTTAACATTTTCTGTAACAGTAGTTGAGATTGTTCATATCCACATATACTCTTTAACTATGACATTATTTTCTTTTGTCTTTTTTTTCTCTTTTTTTCAGACAGGGTCTCATTCCGTCACTCAGGCTGGAGTGCACTGGCATAATCATGGCTCACTGTAGCCCTGAACTCCTGGGCTCAGGTGATCCTCCTGCCTCACCCTCCCAGTAGCTGCATATGCTATCATGCCTGGCTAATTTTTTCATTTTCTGTAGTAATGGAGTCTTGCTATGTTCCCCAGGCTGGTCTTGAACTCTTGGCCTCAAGTGATCTTCCTGCCTCTGCCTCCTAAAGTGTTGGGATTACAGGCATGAGCCGTTGTGCCTTACTGGCAGTATTTTATTTTTCCATCCTAATTGGTAAAATCTAGTATATAATTTTAAATCAGCTTTTTGTGACTCGTGAAGATGATGGTTTTCTCATGTTTATTGACTAATTTTTGTCTTTCGTTGAGTTTTCTGTTTCTCTTTTTTATTTCAATGAACTGAGTATTAAGGGTATTCGCAGGCCAATAATATGAATAGTCTGTTTGCTTAACTGAGCTGTAGGCATTAGCTTTTCTGGTGTTGTTATGAACTATCTAAATTGCATAAACTTAAAATTTAGGGAGTACAGCTTGTTAAATTTGTATACAGTGTCCTTGATGTTTGAGTTTGGTTTGAAATAACTTTTGTGTAGTGTTTACCCAGTAAGTGCCCTGTATATCCTGTTGATAATGTAAAAATATAAGCAAAAATAAATTTATTAGATTAGTTATGTTGAAAATGAGGAATAGAAGACTAATAGTCATTATTTTGTGACCAGTTTATTAATTTTTCATTGATTTAATTAAGCCTTTTTTTTCCCCCCCTACTAATAGCTACAAGTGTATTCATCAGAGTTTGGAGGACAATAATAGATGTCCCAAGTGTAACTATGTTGTGGACAATATTGACCATCTGTATCCTAATTTCTTGGGTGAGTCTTTGGAATGATTTTTATTTTAAAAATATTTCGATCCCCAAAATTGTGTGCTAGCGCTAATTTATTCAGAAAACCTACCTTAGTGGTAAGCAAGTCTCTCTCTACTGTATACCACAGTGCTTTCCTCTTCTTGGGTTGTGACATAGATTCTATACATTGTTAGTATTTTATTATTTTTAAGTTTTATTAAAAAATTCATAAAACTTTTAGATTATTGTGTATATCAGGGACCCCTGGGCCATGGACTGGTACCAGTCTGTGGCCTATTAGGAACTGGGCTGCACAGCAGGAGGTGAGGGGCTGGCAGGTGAGCGAGCACTACTGCCTGTGCTCTGTCTCCTGTCAGATCAGTGGGTGGCATTAGATTCTCAGAGGAGTATGAACCTGATTGTGAACTGCACATGCAAGGGATCTAAGTTGCACGCTCCTTATGAGAATCTGATGCCTGATAATCTGAGGTGGAACAGTTTCATCCTGAAACCATCCCTTCCACCTCCCTTCAGTCTGGAAGAATTGTTCTCTATGAAACCAGTCCCTGGTCCCAAAAAGGTTGGGGACTGCTGATGTAGATGACAGACTGGATGTGAGGTTTAACAAAAATGGCAGCAGTTCTGAACACCTTTAGGTATCCCTGTGAAGTGTTATACATCCCTACTGTTTCTGCTTTTGCGGCAGAAGTGAGAAAGAGTCCATGGGTCTCGGGAACTCAGGTTTGTTGAATATTGAGGGCAAGGGGACAAAAAAACTTGGGTGTGATGCTTGCTGAGTTGGGAGTGAATGGGTGAAGAGAATCTGAACTAGGGAGGCAATTAAAAATTAAGAACTTGGGAAGGAATACATGGAGGAGAACTTTTGAGAGAGGAGTGGTAAGAACTAGAGAAGAGAGACATGAATAGGGAATCCTTAAGTATAAATGATAAATGATCGGAAATAATAACTAGTCAGAACCAACTGTGAATATCAGAAAAATTCTGCATGTTAACTACCCTAAGATATTTTAGGAAACCTTTAATCTGAATGTTTTGGGAATGAATAATAAGCTAAAGAATAATTTTCAGGTATGAGTAGGCATGAAGTAGGGCACTCTTGGGATTATATATCAAAAAGGTCAATTCTGCATTTTAAAGACTAATATGCTCAGAGTTAGGGTGTGGTGACTACTTTTGTATTAGATTCTGACCTGCTAGTACTTTGGTGGCAGTTTGATTTTTAGCTCAAATTGTTGTTTAAAATAAATTATGAATTTGAACGTATTCAGCTATGGTTTTCCTTTTTATCTGCTCTAAAAGTGCCTTAGCTACAATAGTTTTTTCTCTGTTACTCTTCACTGTAATTTTTTTTTTATGAAGGAAAATCGCTGGAGGATTACATAGCAGAAAGGGGTGCTTAAAGGAATTGAAGATTTTCTGCTAGAATGACAAATTCTTCTAAGTGGCTAAAGTTTTATGGCAAACTTGGAGAAGGAACTTAGGAAAAGAACAAAGAGAAATATTGAGTGGCATGGTACCTTGCAGGATGATACTTGATGGCCTAGTTTAGATAATAGGGAAACCACATCCTGTAGGGCAAAATCCTTTGTCCCTGTGCTTGTAAATTTGGATTGATGCTGCCCTGTGGAATCTAGGATCACTAAAGATGACTATGCTTTTTCTGTAGTCATAACTTTGGAAAACTACTTACTCTTTTGGAGTGGTTAAATATATAAAGGAATGTGATGTTCTGAAGATTTTGGTGTTTACTAGATTTTTCAGGCAACATTCCTTAGTTCACAAGTTTGAAATTCTGTTTTGTGAGTTTCTAAATAGTGAGAGAGAGTTATATATGAGTATGGAAGGAATATAAAAATATACTGCCACTTAAGCTGGAAAGTGATCCCCTACATTATATATATTCTCTTTTTTTTTTTTTTTTTTTTTTGAGACAGCATCTCACTCTGTTGCCCAGGCTAGAGTGCAGTGGCACGATCTCGGCTCACTGCAGCCTCCGCC
Source organism: Homo sapiens (assembly GCF_000001405.40). Taxonomy (NCBI): domain Eukaryota; kingdom Metazoa; phylum Chordata; class Mammalia; order Primates; family Hominidae; genus Homo; species Homo sapiens. The sequence continues at coordinate 176,173,915 of NC_000001.11, read as the reverse complement.
TCCCAGGTTCAAGGATTCTCCTGCCGCAGTCTCTCTGGTTGCTGGAATCACAGACGTGCGCCACTGTACCCGGCTAATTTTTGTGTTTTTAGTAGAGACGGGGTTTCACCATGTTGGATAGGCTGGTCTCGAACTCCTGGACTCAAGCGATCCTCCCGCCTCAGCCTCCCAAAGTGCTGGGACTACAGGTGTGAGTCATTGCGCCTGGCCTTAGATATTCTCAAATATATGTATCTAATGAACAGTGAAGTCACATTTACTGATTTTTTTTTTTTTTTGAGACAGCGCCCCACTCTGTTACCCGCTGGAGTGCAGTAGTGCGATCATGGCTCACTGCAGCCTTGATCTCCCTGGTTCAGGTGATCTTCCCACCTCAGCCTCCCAAGTAGCTGGGGCTACAGACATGCGCCACCATACCTGGCTATTTTTGTTTGTTTGTTTTTGTAGAGACAAGGTCTCACTATGTTTTCCAGGCCGGTCTCAAACTCCTGGGCTCCAGTGATCCTCCTGCCTCAGCTTCTTAAAGTGTCGGGATTACAGATGTGAGCCATTGTGCCTGGCCAATTACTGGTTTTTTTTTTTTTTTTTTTTCATTTTGTTTTTTTGAGACAAAGTCTCGCACTGTCACCCAGGCTGGAGTGCAATGGCATGATCTTGACTCACTGCAACCTCCACCTCCTGGGCTCACATGATTCTCCTGCCTCAGCCTCCCTAGTAGCTGGGATTATAGGTGCACACTACCACACCCTGCTAATTTTTTGTATTTTTAGTAGAGACAGGGTTTCACTATGTTGGCCAGACTGGTCTCAAACTCCTGACCTCGTGATCACCCACCTCGGCCTCCCGAAGTACTGGGATTACAGGTGTGAGCCACCGCCCCTGGCCCAATTACTGATTTTTTAAGCTAGAAGTTATCTTGACGGTGATCTCTAGTGCAGCTTTCAGTGGGATTATATTGTTGTCAACTGTGGAAATAACATTTCATCCTGATACATCTATTTGTGTTTTTCTGCTGATTACCTCTTCTAGCCATGTCCTTTGTTCAGTGATAGCCAAATCCTAAGGTCTTACACTAGGTGTGTAGAGACTGTCTCCTGTTGGCTCAGAGTAATGTCATTGAGATATGTCGATCCATGTGTTCCTGAAAGTGGAATATCACTTGTTTTTTTCTATACTAAAAAATGTTTTCTAAGTTATTTTCATTGCTTCAGCTTAAGACGGCATGATTTGCATAATGCCTGCAGTTCTTAGTTGGGTTAAGAAGACCTAGAGCCTTTTAAAATGATTTCAGATTTCCTCTTAGCCTGGTAAAGTAATGGAGCATATGTTATATGATTCTGAGATGTTCTTGGCATCCTTGCACCTACTTAATTGATAGGTTAAGACCTTACACTTCCAATGCCTAGTCATAGGTAGAGGACTGGTCCACACAATTTCTACAGCAGTACTCTTTAAAGCTTTTTGCTTGTATAACTCATATGAAAATTTTGAAAAGTGATGATCCGTGCATATTTTTAAGTTTGCATTAAAATTTTTTCGTCATAACTTTAAGTGATTGTAAAGAATACAATTTTGGCCAGGTGCAGTGGCTCAAACCTATAATCCTAACACTTTGGAAGGCTGAGGCAGGAGGCTTATTCGAGGCCATGAGTTTGCGACCAGTCTGCGCAATATAGCGAGACCTTGTCTCTATAAAAAATTAGCCAGGCGTGTTGGTATGCAGCTGTTGTCCTAGCTTCTTGGGAGGCTGAGGTGAGAGGATCATGTGAGCCTGAGGATTTTGAAGCTGCAGTGAGCTATGATTGTACCATTCCACTCCAGCCTGGGCAACAAAGCAGAGACTCTGTCTCAAAAATAATTAAATAAAGTTTTAAAAAAGAGAGTAAATTCTAGAGTATTATAAAAATGATTACTTCAGAACTGTTTTATCACTTTTTAAAATGTAACCGGTGGAATCTAAATGTCATAGTGATTTGTTACTTAAATATTGATTTAAAAATATATAAGTAAGCTTTTTATTCAATACCAGAAATTTCATTCATTACCTTTTTTTGTGAACTTCTACTTAAACTTCATATCACACACATAGTTTTATCCTTATAATCTATTTCCGTGCTTGAAATTCTGACTAATCTGCCTGTAGTACTTTTCTGTAACAAAATTGTATATACAGGCATACTTTTATTGTACTTTGCTTTATTGCACTTTATAGAAGTTGCATTTTTTTTAACAAATTGAAAGTTTGTGGCAACCCTGCATTAAGTCTCTTGATGCCACTTTTCCACTACCATGTGCTCACTTCATATCTCTGTGTGCTCAGAAGAATGTCACTGAGATCTTTTAGCCAAGGTGTGAATGCAAAGGAAAAGTTCTTGAACGAAATTAAAAGTGCTACTCCAGTGAAGACACGAATGATAAGAAGGCAAAATCGCTTATTGCTGATATGGAGAAAGTTTAGTAGTCTGGATATATACCAGCCACAACATTCCCTTAAGCCAAAGTCTTATCCAGAACAAGACCCTAACTCTCCTAAATTCTGTGAAGGCTCAGAGAGGTGAGGAAGCTGCAGAAGAAAAGTTTGAAGCTAACAGACGTTGGTTCAAGAGATTTAAGGAAAACAGCCATCTCCATAACATAGAAGTACAAGGTGAAGCAGCAAGTGCTGATGTAGAAGCTGTAGCAAATTATCCAGAAGATCTAGGTAAAAATCATTGTTGAAGGTGGCTATAGTAAATGACAGATTTTCAGTGTAGATATAACAGCCTACTTTTTTTTTTTTTTTTTTTTTTTTGAGATGGAGTCTCGCTCTGTTGCCCAGGCTGGAGTGCAGTGGTGTGATCTCGGCTCCCTGCAAGCTCCACCTGCTGGGATCATGCCATTCTCCTGCCTCAGCCTCCTGAGTAGCTGGGATTACAGGCGCCCACCACCAAGCCCGGCTAATTTTTTGTATTTTTAGTAGAGATGGGGTTTCACTGTGTTAGCCAGGATGGTCTTGATCTCCTGACCTCGTGATCCACCAGTCTCGGCCTCCCAAAGTGCTGGGATTACAGGCGTGAGCTATCACGCCTTGCCTAACAGACTTCTTTTGGAAGAAGATGCCATCTAGGACTTTAATTGCTGGAGAGGGAAGTCAGTGCCTGCCTTCAAAGCTTCCAAGGACAGGCTGACTCTCTTGATAGGGGTTGATGCAGCTGGTGACTTTAAGTGCCACTGCTCATTTACCATTTTGAAAATCCTAGAGCCCTTAAGAATTATGCTAAATCTACCGTGTCTGTGCTCTGCAAATAGAACAACAAAGCCTGAAGACAGCATATCTCTTTTCAGCGTGATTTACTGAATATCGTAAGACCACTGTTGAGACCTACTGCTTAGAAAAAAAGATTCCTTTCAAAATACTACTGCTCATTGACAATGCACCTGGTCACCCAAGAGCTCTGATACAGATGTACAAAGGAGAGTAAGGTTGTTTTCATACTGCTAACACAATATCCATTCTGTAGCCCATAAATCAAGGAGTAATTTTGACTTTCAGGTCTTATTATTGAAGAAACACATTTCATAATAACTGCCATAGTGATAATGAGTCCTCTGAGATCTGGGCAAAGTAAATGGAAAACCTTTTGGAAAGGATTCACCATTCTAGATGCCATTAAGAACACTCATGTTTCATGGGAGGAGGTCAAAATATCAACATTAAAAGGAGTTTGGTGGAAGTTGATTCCAGCCGTCATGGATGACTTTGAAGGGTTCAAGACTTCAGTAGAGGGAGTAACTGCATATGTGGAGGAAGTAGCCAGAGAGCTAGAATTAGAAATGGAGCCTGAAGATGTGACTGAATTTTCCTGTACTATCCTGATAAAACTTAAACAGATGAGGAATTGTTTCTTATGGATGAACAAAGAAAGTGGTTTCTTGAGATGAAATCTACTCCTAGTGAAGATGCTGTGAACATTGTTGAAATGACATCAAAGAATTTAGAATATTACATAAACTTAGTTGATAAAGCAGCAAGAGGGCTTCAGAGGTTGACTAACTTTGAAAGAAATTCTACTGTGAGAAAGATGCTATCATGTAACATTGCAGGCTATAGAGAAATTTTTTGTGAAAGGAAGAATCAGTTGATGCAGCAGTCTTCGTCATTGTGTTCTTTTAAGAAATTGCCACAGCCAGCCTAGACTTCAGTGACTACCACCCTGATCAGTCAGCAGCCGTCAACATGGAGGCAAGACTCTCTACCAGCAAAAAGATTATGACTTGCCAAAGGCTCAGATGGTCATTAGCATTTTTTAGCAATAAAGTATTTTTTAATAAACGTATATATTAATACTTTTTTTAAAGACATAATACTTAAACTACGGTATAGCGTAAACAGAACTTTTATGTATATTGGGAAACCAAAATTCATGTGACTTGCTTTATTGTGGGGCCTAGAACCGAACCTGCGATTTCTCCAAGGTACGCTTTGTATATAGAAATTACACACTTAAAAGTTTTTTTTGAACTTAATTTCCTCTTAAGCATTAAGAAGTCTTAAATATGTTTCCTATGTTGTTATTTAATTAGTAGTAGTATACAATTGATCAAACAAATAAATATTACACATAATTTTATGAAGTCTTAGACATAAAATTCTATAGTGAATGTACCGTTTACCAAGGTGTGTGGTATCCTTCTCCCCAAGTAGTTTAAGTGGCATTGATGAATATTACTATGACGAGGATTCCATTTCCTTTGTGTAATTTTTATTTTTAAATGTGTGAGTCTTGAGAAACCTTGTTTATATTAATTAAGTTGATGGGACTTGAAGGCGTTTTTACAGCAACATGACTCATTTCTTTGCCTTCCTTTTGAATTTTGTGCTAAAGAAGCACTTACTGATTTATTGTCACACAAAAAATTTTAGATGCCCTATTAACAAGTCAGGCATTTTTTTCAATTTTGATGAAAAGAAAGAGTTGGAAACCAAATAACTCAAGATGGATTTGGTTTCTTGGTCATTAGAGTCATATACATTTTCATTGAGATAGATAATATGATTTTCTTTCTTTCCTGCTGTAAGCACTACACTATAGCCCCTCTTCCTCCTGACTTCCCTTCCCTGCATCTTTCTCTACCTTCCACAGCATTTTCTCTCATTCTCTTCTGTTTCTCCCTTACTTCCCTCCAGTGTGCATACTCTGTCTGCTCCTCTCTGCCTCCCTTGGTTTTGAATGCTCTCTTTCCCTCTCCTGATCCTGAAAGGCTGATTCAGGTAAGGGCTGGAAGTCCGACCCTCCATTACCACCCCTCCCCATTACCACTCCCTATATACTCTGCAGGTGTACTCCACTCCTGCCAAAGCTTGCTTTCTAAGCTCCCTTGCTTGCCTGCTTGCTTGCTTGCTTTTTTCCCCTCCCTCCCTCCCTCCCTCCCTTCCTTCTTCCCTCCCTTCCTGCCTTCCTCCCTTCCTCCCTCCCTCGCTTCCTTCTTCCCTTTCTTCCTTCCTTCCTTTCCCCCGTACTCCCCCCACCCACCCAGCTGTCTTTTTCTCTACCTTTCTCTCTATATATAAAATTTGTAGGTCAGGGGTGGTGGCTCACGCCTGTAATCCCAGCACTTTGAGAGTCTGACACGGGCGGATCACGAGGTCAGGAGTTCTAGACCAGCCTGGCCAACATGGTGAAATCCTGTCACTACTAAAGATACAAAAAATTAGCCAAGTGTGGTGGTGCGCACCGGTAATCCCAGCTACTCGGGAGGCTGAGGCAGGAGAATTGCTTGAACCCAGGAGGCGGAGGTTGCGGTGAGCCGAGATCGCACCATTGCACTCCAGCCTGGGCGACAGGGCGAGACTCTGTTTCAAAAAAAAAAAAATCGTAAATTGAATTTTCTTACCTCTCTAATGAATAATCCTCTTAACCACTAATAAAAAATACAGTATGCTTGCAACGTGTAAAATCCCTGTTTAAAAAAAAAATGGCTGATGCATATAAAAGTCCTTACTACTGTCAGTCACTGTTTTCAATCCTGTATGTACATGAAGTCAATCCTTATGGCAGGCTTGTGAGATGGGTACTGATTTTATCATCCTCATTCCTTAGGTGAGGAAACTAAGGCATAGACAGGTTGAGTAACTTGTGTCAAGTTATACAGCCAAAGTGGTGAAATTAGAATTTGGTCTTAGGCAATTTGGCTCAAGCATCTGTGCTTTTACTGTACTGTTCTGCCTCTAAAAAGACCGTTGCTTGAATGGAGTCTTTAGCATTAAAATGCATTTTTTTTTGTACTAAGAAATGTTTGTTCTTAGTACTGTGGATGTTGTAAGGCTCTGTAGAATTATAATTAACAAATGTATAACATCCTTAGGTTTAGGTATCAATTCTAAGAATTGGTGATGGTTTCAAATTAAGGCTTATCTTAATTGGAAATGTGAAAGTGTTAGCTAAACGTGGCATGTCACACTTAAAATCCAGGAGCATGTCATCAAGATTTCATTCATTCATTCATTCATTCATTCATTCATTCATTCAGCAAATACCAGGCGCCTACTATGCGTCAGGGACCACGATGGTGGACAAGACAGACACTGATCATTAAATGCTTTAATCTATAGTATAAATAAGATGCTAGCTGATGTCTTCTGCTAATAGGTAAGCATTGCTTTTAAAATAAGTTTTCAAAGTTATGGAATGGAATTCACCATTTTGCTATTCTTGTTTGTAAGCTGTGACATAGTTTTGAAAGGGTTTTCCCACTAAGTGTGTGACTCTAATGACTTTCATATATACATATATAGACATTTGAATGTTGAGTCCAGTGTATATACCTTGCATTTTAAGAGATTTTCTTCTGTTAAATTTTTGAAGTACAAAAATAATAAAATACCCCTTGATGAGGAAACACTTAAGCTGAGTGTACTAAATAAAATAACTTCTTTTATTTTCCATAGGTAACCATTGTTTGTTGTAGGATATAGTTTTTTAAAAATTTTTATTTTTTTGAGACAGCGTCTCTCTCTGTCATGCAGGCTGGAGTACAGTGGCGTGACCATGGTTCACTGCAGCCTCGAACTCCTGAGCTCAGGCAGTCCTACCACCTAGGCCTCCTGAGTAGCGGGGAATTCAGGCATGTACCACCACACCTGGGAAAGTTTTGTATTTTTTTGTGGAGACGGGGTTTTGCTATGTTACCCAAGCTGGTCTCCAGCTCCTGGCTCAAGCTGTTTGCCTGCCTCAGCCTCCCTAAATAATGGGATTATAGGCATGAGCCACTGTGCCCAGCCTAGGATATCGTTTTTCAAGAAGAAAAAAATAACCATTTTTTCAAGTAACTCCATGAAAAATCTGATACAGTAGTAAAAAACTTCGTTTGGTAAATGTAGAATTTAAATGTCTTTATATGACATGGCAAGACAGTTAATACATTGTTTGTTTACACTTTATTTTTGCCATCATTTGCTGTAACTTTATTTTGTAATTTAATTTTGTGGCCTTTACAGGCTTGATCTACCTTGGCTGGGCATGGTGTCTCATGCCTGTAATCCAGCACTTGGGAGGCCAAGGTAGACGGATCACTCGAGGCCAAGAGTTCAAGATCAGCCTGGGCAACATGGTGAAACCCTGTCTCTATAAAAGATTCAAAAATTTGCTGGGTGGAGTGGTGTGCACCTGTAGTCCTAGCTACTGGGAAGGCTGAGATGGGAGGATGGCTTGAGCCTGGGAGGCGGAGGTTGCAGGGAGCCAAGATCACGCCACTGCACTCCATCCTGCGTGACAGAGTCACACCCTGTCTCAATAAATAAATAAATAAAATAAATAAATACAGGCTTGATCTTTAGTTAATAGAGTTGCTCTTGAAAAAAATGTTTGATCTTACAGTATTGTTATTGAGAATCAAATATAATGGTATATAAGATTTTGTGGTAAAATTCAATGCGGCATATTCATGTAAAGTATTTAACAGTCACTATTTTTCTTCAAATGGTTAAATTCATAACTGTGACACTGACCTCTTACTGACTTACTCCTCTTTATTCCCACTGAATTATTTCATGCTCTCTCCTTTATCTGGATTATAATCACTTTTCTTGTGTAAGGTATCTGCAGTTCAGGCCCTTCACAATCTGGCTCTGATCTGCCTACATTTCCAGGCTTAGTTCTTAATCCCTGTGAATCATTCACAAGATCACTCTGACCCTTGTTTTAGCTATATTGATTTTACTTACTTACTTGTTTATTTATTTATTTATTTTGAGATGGAGTCTAGCTCTATCTCCTAGGCTGCAGTGCAGTGACACGATCTTGGCTCACTACCTCCTGGGTTCAAGTGATTCTCCTTCCTAAGCCTCCCGAGTAGCTGAGACTACAGGCACGTGCCACCATGTCAGGCTAATTTTTCTATTTTTAGTAGAGGCAGGGTTTTGCCATGTTGGCCAGGCTGGTCTCGAACTCCTGACCTCAGGTGATCCACCCACCTTGGCCTCCCAAAGTGCTGGGATGACTATATTGATTTTAAATCGTTGTATCTCCTACACACACACACACACACACACACACACACACACACACACACACACGACACACATCTCTCTCTCTCTCTCACCTGAATTTTTCTTCACTTTTATTTTTGCTTAGTGAGCCCCTGTGTGCCTATTATGGCCCATTTCTAATGTTGCCTTCTATATGAAGTGTGCTTGTTAACATTTTGATTGATCTCTGCGTGTATACTTTGTAAATCTATTTTAATGATAGTACTGATTATCACATTATATTACAAGTACTGTATCATATGCATCTGTCTTGCTAGTCTGAGTTGCTTGAGACCTTGGATTGTGTCTTTGAAGCTTGGATCCTTATGAGCTTGGTATCTGTTTGTTGTTTTCAAAAATATTTATACTTGCATTGTGATATACTGGGAAGTATCAGACAGTTGGGTCTATATTCTCAGCATTGTCTCATTGTATATGTCACCATGCATAAGTTACTTATGCTCTCTGTGCTAATACTTCTTCATCTCTAATTGGGGAAAATAATCTGTAAGATATTGTCTATAAAGTGCCTTCCTAGCCTAGTGGTAGTTTCCCTTTTTAAAAAAAAAATCAGTTTTTTGTGTCAGTTTATATTTGTTGGTTGTAGAAAAATAGAAAGATCCAATTTAAAGTGGTTAAACATTATGGAAAATGTATCGATTCACGGGAAAAGAATTTCTAGAACTAGTTATCAGTGGTTCAGTGGTATTGTCAGGTTCTTTCTCTTGTTCTTTTCTTCCATTGCCAGCATATACCTTGGTCTTTTGGCTGGCTATTCTTGAGGTTGCAAGATGGCTCTAAGCAGTTCCAGATATCATCCCCTTATGAAGGCATGGTTTTTTTCTCCTATCCTTTCCTTTCTGAAAGATAGCACATCTCTCTTTGGTCAAAATTGGGTTACGTACTTAACCCCACATCAACCACTGGCAAGGGCATGAATGACTAGATTGCCTTAGGTTAGTCAAAGTAATACATGGGGTTGGGGTGGAATCTAACCTCTCTGAAAGTTATATGGCAGTCTGACACTTGGAAAAAAGTCATGTTATTATCAAGAAAAAGAGTAGGATGGTTTTTGGATAGTTAGCTAAAAGTGTCTTCCATGGTATTTTTAGAAGAATTACAAAGAAAAAGAACAAATGCAAGTCTTTAGTACTTAACTCATAGTAGATACTCAGTTACTCATGCCTTGTTACCATATGGGGCATGTGATGGTCTCACATGGTGAATGAGGATTTCTCTCTCAGCAAGTGCCAATAGCGTCATCATTGAGAAACATGTAAGGGAAAATACATATTCTGAAGAATTCTCCTATAGTAATAGTAGTTGTAGTAGTAGCAGCTGCAGCAAAACTGTTTTCTAACTTGAAATAAAATAAAAAGCTAACACTTTCTGTTTAGCATGTTTTGAATTTGGAGGCTATGTATAGGTAAAATAGAATCTATCTAAACCGAAGAATTACATGATACATTTAACAAAAATACAAATTATGTGTGCTTTTTATTTTGTTTCTGTTTTCAGTGAATGAACTCATTCTTAAACAGAAGCAAAGATTTGAGGAAAAGAGGTTCAAATTGGACCACTCAGTGAGTAGCACCGTATGTTTCAACTCTTATTACTATTTTTAATAAATTTCATTTTGTTGTTTTTATTGGTTTAATATTAGTTAGATGTTAAAGTTTAGTATATTATTGATTTTTCTTAAAAGGCGATTGTTTAGGATTGTTCTAGTCAAATAACTAACTTTCTTAACTGCATTGTCTGTAGTACTTTACTAGAGTGATCCTATTTTGAAAGGTCTGGTAGGATTATATTGAAACATTTGTCTTTGAATACTTGACATTTGAAGGATTATTTTGGGTGGTGAAACAATGGTTAGATATTTTCAAAAAACTGTTGAGGTTGGGCTCACACCTATAATCCCAACACTTTGGGAGGCCAAGGTGGGAGGATCACTCAAGCCCAAGAATTTGAGACTAGCTTGGGCAACATAGCGAGACTTTGTCTATATTCAAACAAAAACAAAAACAAAACAAACCTTTGAAAGATTCTCAATTTTAAAGGCTTAGTCCCAAATTATGGAGGCAAATGAGCTTAATACCTTACTACATGCAAAATTGAAAATATGGCTAGACAAATAATTAAATTCAGTCATTTTGAAGGTAAATTACAGCTTTAGAATAGTCTCAAAGGCACCTTTTATATTTGTTATCTAAATTCATTTAAGGGAGAAGAAATAGTGTTTAAGTTATAACTGTAAGACAGTAGGGAGCCACTAGCTAGGAAGGGGTAGTTTGGAACATTATAATATATTTTCGATATCTATGTAATGAGCATATTAGGAAGTAGCAAGTAAACATTTGTTTTAGTCTCTAAAACAGTCTTCATAGGAAGTTGTTGTGTTTCTTCTTTCTTCATTTTTAGAATGGCCACAGGTGGCAGATATTTCAAGATTGGTTGGGAACTGACCAAGATAACCTTGATTTGGCCAATGTCAATCTTATGTTGGAGTTACTAGTGCAGAAGAAGAAACAACTGGAAGCAGTAAGTGGTAGCTAAACTTAAAAAAAATTTTAAATGATGAACTTTATTGCAATAAAAAAGACGTAGAAAGTTTAAAAATAATAGGATAGCTTCACTAATCCATTCATTTTTACTCAGCTAGAAACAGCTACAAAGTGTCACTTCTGCTAGATTCCCCCTTTTTGTAACTTAAAGAACAATTTCAATACATTATAACTTATTTGCAATGACCAGTTTTTATTAACAAAAGCTGAGTGTTCAAAATCTTGAGAAAGTAAAGTTTCGTTTTCATAGGAAATAGTTTTGTTGGTTATCTGTCTTCTAATGAGTATCTTTCTTACCATATTGTCCCCTCTTCATATGTGAGATTTGGAGGAGAAATAGAGATTATTTTTATCTACATACAGTTCTTTCAGCAGGTGTCCATTGGTAGCAGTAGTAGTCTATGGCATAACTAAGAGCATTTAAAGAGATCTGTACTAAATATATCTTATTTAATGTAATGTAAAATTCCATTTATTTTACGTAACTGTTAAAGACGTAAAATGTGAAATTGCAAGTATTGGGAATTGAGTGTGATATATTATAAGCAACACACACCTTAGCATAAGCAAATACTACCCTGAGGTTAAACATAAAGGGAGTATTTATTGAGACAGTAAGTGAGTGAGTAACACATACACACAAAAAAGAATAGTTGAACCACCAAACTTTGAGAAGATTAGAACCATGGCTTCTCTGGAAGACTACAAGTACATGAGATAGGGATTTGAATGTTGTTGAGAGTCTTTCTTTTGTGCCCCTTATGCCTGTTTGATTGGGACAGCTCTGATTTTCTTTTCTTGTAGACTTTTTTATCACATGGTGGATAATAATGTCATTTGCACTCTTGGTTTATATGTATGTTTTTTGATAAAAGAAAAAAAGGAGCTTTTGTTTCCAACTGCAGTTTAAAGATTTCTGTGGCTAGATTATGATTAACTTAGCTTGGATCTGGATCCCACTGACTGTGGTGGGGATCTTCTAGTAGGAGAAAGGTGTGTCAGGTTGAGCCAGCCAAAATAAGTTGTCTCCCATGTTATATCTGTTTGGGAGGTCGGGTAAATGGGAATTTCTCTTACGGTTTTAACCATAGTTTACTATTAGCATCTACTGTTTGCCAGGGGTTGTGTTAAGGTCTGTGGACAAGCTAGAGTTCTGCTGTATGTGTGTGTTTGTGAACTAAATCAGTAAAGCAGGTATTTTCACATGGTGATAAGTAATATAAAAGACTTTCTTTTTTTTTTAAGGGACAAAGTCTCCCTCTGTCACCCACCCAGTCTGGAGTGCAGTGGTACAGTCATAGCTCACTGCATCCTCTACCCCCTGGGCTCAAGTGATTCTCCTGCCTCAGCCTCTCACTCACACCACTAATTTTTTTAGTTTTTAAATCACCCAACTAGTTTATTTTTATTTTTATTTTTTGTAGATACAGGTCTCACTATATTGGCCTACAGTAGTCTCAAACTCTTGGCTTCAAGCAATCCTCCCACCTCAGCCTCCCAGGGTGCTGGGATTATAGGGTGAGCCACTGCTTCCGGCCCTAAAATGACTTTTTATGAGAGATTGAACATACGCAGTTACCTTGCTCCCTTTTGAAATGATGAAAATGACAGTAAATTAGGGATTTTAAAGAGGCAAAAATAAATAAAATGAGATAAGATATATTTTCAGGAATTTTTTCTAAGCTATGAAACAGATGGACAAAAGGTAACAGATAAGTAGATCTGAGGAAACTGAATGCTACACCAGCAATAGGGAGAAAGCTAAGAACTGACCCTATTTATATTGTGGAGCAGAGGCCCTGGGATTGGGACCATCAGGTATCTGACAGAGTAAAGGCTGAAAACAATGAGTGGTTGAGAATCTGTTTAAGAAGCAGTTGGAATCCCTGATTCCTTCTTATATAACTAAGCTAATGATTCTTCCTTTTCTACTTTAGGAGAAAACTATAATTTTTAACCCCTCCACCCCCAACGGAGGTGGTAAGAAAGAAGCTCTCTGGACTGCTTCATAACAGGCACACTTAAAGATGTATGTGGGTGTTCCTGTTTCTCCACAGCCTCGTCAGCATCTGTTGTTTCTTGGCTTTTTAATAATTGCCATTCAGACTGATGTGAGATGGTATCTCATTGTGGTTTTGATTTGCATTTATCTAATGATCAGTGATGTTGAGTTTTTTTTCATACGTTTTTTGGCCACATAAATGTCTTCTTTTGAGAAGTGTCTGTTCATATCCTTTGCCCACTTTTCGATGGGGTTGTTTATTTTTTTTCCTGTAAATTTGTTCAAAGTTCCTTGTAGATTCTGGATATTAGATCTTTGTCAGATGGGTACATTGCAAAAATTTTTCCCCATTCTGTAGGTTGCCTGTTCACTGTGATGATAGTTTCTTTTGCTGTGTAGAAGCTCTTTAGTTTAATTAGATCCCATATGCCAATTTTGGCTTTTGTTGCCATTGCTTTTGATGTTTTAGTCATGAAGTCTTTGCCCATTCCTATGTCCTGAATGATATTGCCTAGGTAACAAACCTACACATTCTGCACTCGTGTCCCAGAACTTAAAGTAAAAAAAAAAAAAAAAAAAAAAAAAAAAGATGTGTGTGGGCTACCATACCAAAAGCAGATAATTACATAGTGAAAGTGAGAACTGGTAACCTTCTTCCTACCTTCTCATATGCCAGCATTAGTCTTTGTTTCCTTTTTGGCTTCGAATTGAAGAAACACAGTTGTCTTATTAGATTACAGATTCTTTCCTATTATTTTCTGAAGAGGGAGCCACCTCAGAAGCAAAGTTCCTGTCATAGATTTTTTTACATTATTGCTTTCTGTTTTACTTTTCATTATTATTTAACCTGAATCTTTCCAGCATACAGAAAAGTACAGAAAATAATATGGGGCTCTGAAATACTCCTTCCTAGTTTTAATAAATGTGAAGATTTTGGCGTATGTCTTAGATCTGACTTAAGAAGTAATTATTTTCATACTTAAACCCCTCTCATCTCATTCCCTTCTCCCAGTGTGACCACCATATGAAGTTGGCAAGAATCCTTCTCAAGCATGTGTATGCGTTTCTTATGTATGTTAGTATCTACAACCATATAAAGTAGTTTGCATAAATTAGAGGTTTATATAAAGGGTTTCATGCTGTAGTTATCCTTTTGAAATATACCTATTTGTTTACTTTTTGAGGTTCATATTGATAAGTGTAGATTTGGTTTATTTATTTTAAATTCTTATAGTAATCTGTTTCAGAAATATATCTATTATTCTATTGATGGGCATTTAGGTTCTTCTCAATTCTTAGTTGTGTCAGCACTACATTTAGTATACCTTTCTCCTTGTGCTCGCATTAGGGTATGTGTGCACATTTTAATCTTATTAAATATTTGATATTGACAGATTGCTCTTCTGTGGATTTGTGCCATATAAGCACTTGGTATTTTCTGTTTTTTAGTTACTGCCAGTCTGATAAGTATCAAATGCTGTTTGTGTGTGTGTATGTGTGTTTTAAAAATACATTTCTGTAATAACCAGTACAGCTGAGAATTTCTTCATTTGGCCACCCTTGTTTTCTATTTGATGAATTACCTATTCATATTTTGTGTCCATTTTCCTGATGGATCATTTGTCTTTTCTCTTACTGATTTGTGTATGTGTGTGTGCTTGTATTTTGTATATTACTACTTTGCCAAGTATATATTTTGGTAATTGAATTCTAGTTGAATTCCATTATAGTTGGAGAACATAATTTACATGATTTTAGGTGATTCCATTTTAGATGCTTTGTTGGTTCATCACTTATAATTTTTTGTCTTTTTAGTGGTTGCTTTAGAGTTTTTAATACAATTACTACCACATTCTACATTAAAGTAATATTATACTACTTCATCTGTATTACAAGAACCTTAGGCCAGGCACAGTGGCTTACGCCTGTAACCCTAGCACTTTGGGAGGCCGAGGTGGGTGGATTGCCTGAGCTCAGGAGTTCGAGACCAGCCTGGGCAACATGGTAAAACCCTGTCTCTACTAAAAATACAAAAAATTAGCTGGGTATGGCGGTGTGCGCCTATAGTCCCAGCTACTTGGGAGGCAGAGGTAGGAGGATTGCCTGAACCCAGGAGGCAGAGGTTGCAGTGAGCCGAGATTGTGCCACTGCACTCCAGCCTGGGAGACAGAGCAAGACTCCATCTCCACAAAAAAAAAAAAAAAAAAAAAAAAGAACCTTAAAAACAGTATACTTTCATTTTCTCTCTCCTGGCCATTGTAGTATTTTATGTCATATATTTTACTTCTAAATGTGTTATATATTCCACAATACGTTGTTATTAATTGTGGTTAAATTATGGAGATTTCTAGCAAGTCTTATATTACCCATTTATTTACCATTTCTGGTGTCCTTTATTCTTTTGTCTAGATTGGTTTCTATCTGTTATTTTCCTTTAGCCTCAAGGACATCATTTACCATTTCTTTAGTGCAGGACGGCGAGAGGCGAATTATTTCTTTTATATGTCTGACAAAATCTTTATTTTACTTTTGTGTTTGAAAGGTACTCCATATAAGTATAAAATTCCAGATTGGCTTTTAAAGAAATGTTGCTCCACTGTCTCCTAGCATTGTTTCAGATGAAAAGTCTGCTGTCATTCTTATCTTTTGTCTTCTTAATGAAATATGTTTCTCCCAGTTTAAGATACTCTTTTTATGGGTGTAAGTGTTTTGATTATGATGTGCCTTGCAGTAGAGGTTTTTTTTTTCCCCCTTTGTGTTTTTTGTTATTGGGTTCTTTGAATTTTTTAGATCTGTAGATTTATAGTTTGCTTCAGATTTAGAAAATTTTCAGCCATTATTTCTTCAAATATTTTTATGTCCCCTCTTCCACTTTGGGAATTCCAGTTACATATCTCTTAGGCTAGTTGAAGTTGTTCTTTAGGTCATTGATGAATAGTTTTGTTCATTTTATTTGATCTTATTCATCTTTCTAGTGCATTTTGGATAGTTTCTATTGCTGTCTTCAATTTTGCTCCATATAGATTGACTTTTTCCCTTATTGTAGGATATATTTTTCTGCTTCTTTGCATGCTTGTTTCTTAATTAGATGCCAGAAATTATAAATTTCACCTTGTTCAGTGCTGAATATTTTTGTAATCCTTTATATATTCCTGAACTTTGTCCTGACATGTAGTTAAGTTACTTGGAAACAGTTTGAATCTCTTGAAGCTTGTTTTTAAGGTATGATAGGGAGGAGCAGAGCAGTTTTTTGTCTCTGCTAGTTTTGCCTCACTACTGAGACAACCTTTTTGAGTGCCTGATGCATGTATATTTCTTGGTTTTTCTACTCTGGCTGCTGGGAACATGTAATATTTCTGGCCCTTTGTCTGGAAAGCATTGTTTCATATAGTTGGACAGGTGTTTTGTTGTTTAAGGCAGGAATGTAAATCTAGTCCCTTTTACTCCATTTTGGCCAGAAGGGGAAGCTCAATTTGCATGTGTTTAGTCCTTTGAAATTGATTGTGATTTCATTGTAGCTCAGCATAATCTGTTTTGTAAATATTCCACTTGCATTTGAAAACAGTGTTTTTATTCATTGTAGTTCTTTATAAATATGATTATGTAGTGTGGGTTAATATTAATATTATTGTTGTTGTTATTATTTTTTTGAGATGGAGTCTCTCTTTGTCACTCAGGCTGGAGTGCAGTGGCGTGATCTCTGCTGCAACCTCTGCCTCCCAGGTTCAAGAGATTCTCCTGCCTCAGCCTCCCAAGTAGCTGGGATTACTGGCACACACCACCCCCCTCGGCTAATTTTTATATTTTTGGTAGAGATGGCGTCTCACCATGTTGACCAGGCTGGTCTCGAACTCCTGGCCTTGGGTGATCTGCCTGCCTTGGCCTCCAAAAGTGCTGAAATTACTGGTGTGAGCCACCAGACCCAGCCAGTTAATATTATTAAATTTGTTTTTCCTCCTTGCTGTCAGTTGCTGACGAGTGTGTTACTGTTATTATTATAATTGTCTACTTTTGTTTTCTTTTTTGGTAATTTTTGCTTCATGTATTTTGAAACCCTGTTATTAGGTGCAGCTCATACATGTTTAGAATTTTTATATCTTCTGGATGAATCATCTCCTTTATTATTATTATGAAATGGATATGTTTATTGTTGGAAATATTTATTGTTCTGAAGTCTGCTTTGTCTGATACTGATAGAGCCACAGCATCTTACTTATAGTTAATGTTTCCATGGTATAGTCTTCTTCATGCTTGTACTTTAGTTCTGTCATTGTCCTTATAAAGTGTGTGTCCTTAACAGTAGGTAGTATTTTTTTCTGTTCTTTTTAAAAACACAGTCTAATAAGTGCAGTGAATTGAAGTGCTTAAGTCCATTTAAATTTTATTTAATATAATTATTGATATAGTTCGGTTTGAGTCTACACCATGGTATTTGTTTTCCATTTCTCCCTCCTGTTCTTTATCACTTCTTCCTCCTTTCTTGCCTCCTTTAGACATCATTGGGTTTTCAGTATCTCATTTTATCTTCTCTATTTTTCATGTACTTCTTTTTATTGTAATTTTAGTGTTTTCTCTAAATACCACAAAAGGCCTTTTCTCCCACACAGTTTATAGTATGCTACTTCAAGGACAATATGTTTGCAGGCAATCTTGAATATATGGTATACCACATAACTCAGTTTACTAAACTTCCCCTTTTTTTGGTTCAAACCATGTTATAAGTCTCACCAAACTTTTTTTTTCTTTTTTAAAACATTGTTATTTTGGCTTTTGAAGATAGGATACCAAAATAAATAAATAAAAAAGAACAAAAACCCACCAGACCCTTTTTTTATTTACCCAAATATTTACCTTTTCAGATGCTCTTCATTTTTTCTCGCATCCATCTGGCTGATTTCCCTTTTACTTGTATAACTTTTTTACTATTTCTTGTAAAGCAGATTGTTTTGCTCTATATAGAAGCTTTGGGTTTTCTTTTTAAAACACTTTAAAGATATTTTCACTATTCTTTTGTTTCTGATGAAATCAGTAGTCATTTTTACCATCCTTCTCCTAAAGCTAGTATATCGTTTTTCTCTCTAACTGCTTTTAAGATTTTCTTTCTGACATTGGTTTTCAGCAATTTGACTATGTTATTCCTACATTTTATTATTTTTATATTTATTCTTCTTGGGTTTCATGCAACAAGAGGATCTGTTCTTTATTTTATTTTGTTTTTTGGCAGCGAACAAATTCAATGCCTAGGATTTAATTTTTGAACATAGTCAGCCATTACTTGTTCAGCCCTTTGCTCTCCTTCCTTTCCCTGTAGGTTTCTAGTCATATGTTGTTATAATGTTTCATATTATCTTACAGACTTCTGATGCTCTGTTCTTATTTTCCTTTTTTTCCTGTGAATTTAAATAATTTGTATTGAACTGTGTTTGAGTTTGTTATTCCTTTCCTCTGCTATGTCTGCTTTGCTCTTAATTTCATCGATTTTTAAATTTATATTTATTTACTTATAAAATTATTTATTTATTTTAGTTTTTAGGAGCAAGGATGAGAGACTGACCCCTTTGGTTTTATTCAGGAATTCAGCTTAACTGGGGCTTCATCGCTGCTTGAGTTAGTTTCAGTCATTGGCTTTAAAGAATAGTACGCATTTTTTGATTTATCCCTTTTTTTGTTACTGTGGAAGTAACCTTTTACATTTTAATCTGAAGAGGATTAAACACTAATTTTTTTTAACTGAAATGATTTGTACTGTGAAAGTGTTGTCTGTGATGCCAGTGCTTCCAAATTTAAGTCACTCATTTTATGAACTGTTGTCACTTTTTGTAAATATTCGTCTTATGCTTTTAAGCATGTGTGTTCTGAAATTGTTTCAAGGATTTGTTCTTTATGTCTAATAATCTTTCTATTTAAAATTTTCTATTAAAATTATTTAAAAATAAAAACCCAGCTAATGCAGAAGAAAGTATATTAATTTACTAATGTGATTATGGATTTTTCAATTTTCTTTCCAATACCGTCATCGTCTAGTTTCATATCCTTTCAGTCTTTTTGTATTTAACTTTTAAGTTCAGGAGTACATGTGCAGGTTTGTTATATATAGGTAAACTTGTGTCATGGGGGTTCATTGTACAGATTATTTTGTCACCCAGCTATTAAGCCTAGTATCCATTAGTTATTTTTCGTGATCCTTTTCCTCTTCCCACCCTCTACCCTCCGATAGGCCCCAGTGTGTATTGTTCCCCTCTATGTGTCCATGTGTCCTCATCGTTTAGTTCTCACTTGTAAGTGAGAACATGTGGTATTTGGTTTTCGTCCTGTGTTAGTTTGCTAAGGATAATGGTTTCTGGCTTCATTTATGTTCCTGCAGAGGACGTGATCTCCTTTTTTATGGCTGCATAGCATTCTATCGTGTATGTACACCACATTTTCTTTATCTAATCTACCATTAATGGGCATTTAGGTTGATTCCATGTCTTTGCTATTGTAAATAGTGCTGCAGTGAACATACATGTGCATATGTCTTTATAATGCAAGGATTTGTATTCCTTTGGGTATCCTGGTCACATACACCCTTTCAAGACTGAGCCAGGAAGAAATTGAATCCCTGAACAGACCAATAAAGAGCTCCAAAATTAAATCAGTAATAAGTAGCCCTGCCAGATATACAAAGAAAAGCTGGTACCATTCCTACTGAAACTATTCCAAAAAATTGAGGAAGAGGCACTCCTCCCTAAGTATTCTGTGAGGCCAGCATCATCTTGATACCAAAACCTGGCAGAGACACAGCAAAAAAAGGAAACTTAAGACCAGTGTTACTGATTCACATCCATGCAAAAATCCTCAACAAAATACTGGCAAATTGAATCCAGCAGTACACCAAAAAGCTTATCCAGCATGATAAAGTAGGCTTTATCTTTGGGATGCAAGACTGGTTCAACATATGCAAATCAATAAATGTGATTTATCACACGAATGGAACTACAAAAGATAGAAACAACATGATTATCTCAGTAGATGCAGAAAAGACTTTCAACAAAATTCAGCCCTCCTTCATATTAAAAACTCTCAATAAACTAGGTATTGAAGGAACATACCGCAAAATAATAAGGGCCATCTGTGACAAACCCACAGCCAACATCATTAAATGGGCAAAGGCTGGAAGCATTGCCCTTGAAAACCAACACAAGACAAGGATGCCCTCTTTCACTACTCCTGTTTATTCAACATGGTGATGGAAGTCTTGGCTGGAGCAGTCAAGCATAGAAAGAAAGAAAGGGGATCCAAATAGGAAGAGAGTAAGTCAAACTATCTGTTTGCAGATGACATGGTTCTATACCTAGAAAATCCCATAGTCTCAGCCGACAAGCTTCTTAAGCTGACAAACAAGTTCAGCAAAGTCTCAGAATACAAAATCAATGTACAGAAATCACTAGTATTCATTTCTGTCAGTACAAAGACTTGGGAACTACCTGACTTATAAAAGGATTTGTTATCTAGTCTTTAGAGTCATCCACTTTTCCAAACTGTAGTATTTTTTATTGCCTTATTTTGTTATTCCAGAGAATTTTATACCCCAGGGACATGTATAAGGTAAACTTCTGGGTGGGTAAAAGATAAGTGACAAGCCTACCTGCTTTGCTGCCATCCCTTCCTTACAACCTTCTGTACAAAGTGAGAATAGAAAATTTGATGAAAGAGGCTAGAATTGAGAACTGGAGTGATGTCCTGTGAGCAGACATGTTTTAGAAGAAGAAAAGGTAGATGGTGGAGAATTAGGGAATCAACTTCCTAAAACCCTCTGTGTCCACATACGCTTTGGAAGATCTTCATGCATTCTCAGGTATATCTGTACCCTTATTTGAAGTCTGTTGTCTATACAAGCAGAAGTGAATATCCTTTAGAAGTTTTCTGTTGACAGTAGATTTAAGGAAAATACTGTAGTGTTCTAGAGAAAAATTATTACCTAAATAGTAATATCCTATCTAAAGTATGGGATGATGACTCCTGTTTGTGAAATGTTACCTGCACATTTTATAGGTAGGGAATCTGAACCCAAGTAGGGGAAACACACATAAAGTTATCTAGGGTTTTTTTGGTTAGAATTTTAAGCTGGGCACAGTGGCTCACGCCGTAATTACGGCACTTTGGGAGGCCAGGAAGGCAGATCACTTAGGAGTTCGAGACCAGCCTGGCCAACATGGTGAAACCCAGTTTCTACTAAAAATACAAAAATTAGCTGGACATGGTGGTGCGAATGTGTAATCCCAGCTACTTGGGAGGCCGAGGCAGAAGAATTGCTTCACCTTGGGGAGCGGAGGCTGCAGTGAGCTGAGATCGTGCTACTGTACTCCAGCCTGGGAAACAGAGTGAGGCTCTGTCTCAAGAAAAAAAAAAAATCTAAGTAATAATTACTTCTAATTTACAATGTCATAACATTATTAACAAGATTTATAGCAAATAGCAACAGTTCCTAGTTCCATTACTCCCAGTCCCTGATATCAATTTTCCAGAAGGAATCTTTTCAATTTTTAATTGTTTTTATTTACTGCACACACTCTCTATTATGTATAATTTTTTTTTTTTAGGAGAGAGAAGGTCTCGCTTTTTCACCCAGACTGGACTGCAATGGTGCGATCACTGCTCACTGCAGCCTTGAGCTTCCCAAGTAGCTGGGACCGTAGGCACATGCCACTATGCCCAGCTAGTTTTTGAATTTTTTGTAGAGATGGGGTGTCGCCATGTTGCCCAGGCTGGTCTTGAACTCCAGAGCTCACGCAATCTGCCTGCCTTGGCTTCCCGCAGTGCTAGGATTTTGCAGCCAACAATTCTATATTTCTAAATAACTTGCGTATGCCATTCTGCTTAGAAAGTCTGATGCAAAAAAAAAAAAAAAATGCCCTCAAAATGGCAGTTGTTCTACTCTTGAGACAACTGTTGTAGAGTGAACTGTACTTGGGAAGATGAACTTATGCTAACTAAACCTGTAAGGACCAAATTACTCATTTATAGTGAAATATTTAAAAATCAGTTACATTAGTTATTTACATAGTTATGACCAATGTGTTTTCTCCCAGTTGGAAAGACATCTAACTTGCCATATAACCGAAGGATACTAAAGCATGGAATTGGAATAAGAAGAGTTTAATAGGCAGTTCACATATTTAATTATATTAGGCTCTGATCAGGCAGTTGCTTCCATTCCCATAATAAGGATAATTTTTTCTTTTAGAATACAACAAAATTTAGTTGCAGAGAAGGGTAGGAAAATAAAGAAGACCAATGTTCTATAAAAACTCGAAGCATATTTCATGTCACATAGCAGATACGCTCCCTCTTGAGACGCTTAACTGAACCAGATGGGACAAGTGTAACAAAAACTTGCTGTATTGTAGAGTACTGAGAGTAGAGAGTAAAATTCTAAATATGTTTCTTTCTTTCTTTCTTTCTTTCTTTCTTTCTTTCTTTCTTTCTTTCTTTCTTTCTTTCTTTCTTTTTCTTTCTTTCCTTCCTTCTTTCTTTCTTTCCTTCTTTCTTTCTCTCCTTTCTTTCTTTCTCTCCTTCCTTCCTTCCTTCCTTTTTCTTTCTTTCTCTCTTTCTTTCTTTCTAAATACATTTCTCTTTATTCTTTTTCTTACACGCTTCCTTATCCGAAAATGGGAGAATTGGGCTAAATGATCATTACATGTTTTTTGGAAGTTTTGACGATTGTAAGAGATGTTTAGAGAATTGACTTCTTGGACTTTCATTTTTAGTGGTGGGATTACTTTCATGTTAAAAATTTGCACCTGTTCTAATAGAACATTATATGGCTAGACATTTTGGTATAATTGGTTATACTCTTTCCATTTTTTAAAGCATTCTCTTTTCTTCCACTATCTCTTTTTTATAATTTTCCTTCATATTTATATGTGAAATTGTAGTTTCATATTTGCCATTCATCTCTTTTCTTGAAATTCTTCCTTTAAAAAGATTAAACTGCAGAAGAAGGTGTCATGTGGTGAATTCCTGGTGTATGTAGTTGGACCCACTTTCCTTTTACATTGACATTTTGGGGACTTTCTCCTTCTTTCTACAAGTTAATTGCATTCTTGTCATATTTACATATTCTAGTTAATAGATTGAAATGAAGTGTTCAGATTTATAATTTTGAAGATAGTTTGTATAATTCCTTTGTAAATGAACTGTCACTTTATTAACTTGGAGTTACTTTTTGTATAAAGTTGTTACTTTTTAAATAAACATGTGGTCTTTGTCCTCTAGACAAATAATCGTAGATAGTTAGAGATAACCAGTGTAGAGAAGTCCCACAAACAATGTGGAAGGCTTGGATGCTTTGTCGTCATTGTTGAGACAGAGCCCATGTGAGTTTGTTCTGTGTGACAGATTAACTCACTTGGGAAGAATGGGTCTAAGGTCCAGTCAAAGTCAGTTTGTCATGCAAGAAAAAATTTCAATCTTCATGATTCTATGTTTTGGAAATTTATTCAGTTGTAAAACATATTAATTCAGTTATATTATTTTAATTGGACTATCCTGTTGTGATTATCAGTTCATATTTTCTCTCTCCTTATTTGCCTTGACTTGTAAATTACGTTGATCTGTTTTGCCTCTTATTTTTTAAAATCCAAAGATCTGCAAGAGGCATAGACTCTGGAAGTGGGTGTGAGGTGGTCATGCTTATTTGTAGTACGTGTTATATCTTAGTGATTCTTCAGATTTTAATTGGCTTATTCTTATCATCTGGGCACTTGTTTAACAAAAATTCCTGGAACCTTTTCTAGAGCAACAGGATCAGAATTTTAAAAATCTGACCCAGTGTCTGTTTTAACAAATGCCCCAGGTAATTCTGTTGCATAGCCAGGCAAATGAAAGTTTTATTAATCTTTTTTTCCATGTATTTTTGTTTGTTTTGGAATTGCTCCACTGGGCTTTTTTATTCTCCCTTTCAAGTATATAAGAAAAAATTAGAATGATGTTTGTTCATAAACTGTCTCTTATTGTTATTTTATTTTTAGCTTTTGATATTATTTTATATATTTTTATCAGATTAACCTGGAATTCCTGGTTCTTGTGAATTTTAACAGTAAATGATACATACTTGTGTTTTTATGTTTTGCTACTCAGAAAATGTCAAGGCTTATTATACTTTCATTTATCTGTTCTATCCTTGTCTCAATTACCAATTTGAGTTACTCCCTACCCGCAAGCTGTCCACTTGATTATATTAAATTTTTTTGTTTTCAGTTGTTTGATTTTGCCTGAAATCTTCCATAGAAATATATTCTCACATCTGTGAATAAGTAGGTAATAACTAGAAATAGTAAATTTGACTTGTGAAAGGTATAGGTTTATCTCTATTTATTACACTTACCTCTGCAAATGAACTTCTCATGGAGAAAGTGATTTTAGTGTCTATAAGCTATGTTACTTTCACTGTAAATTTTGTTTTGATGTTTTCTTAGTTGAGTTGGGGAAGAGAAGGCTAGGAGTCAGGTAATAGAATTGCCATTATCCGTGAAAAGATTTTTCAGCATGTTAGATAAGGGATGTAATTTAGAACACCTGTTTCTTAGTTTTAGTTAGTTTTATAGAAAATTGATTCTTTTAAAAATGCCAATTAGCAAATGGAATGGGAAAACTGATTAAATAGAAATAATAGACGAACTTAAATGGGTGCATAAATTTGCTTCATACTGTTTATGCTATGGTGTTAAAGAAAACTTTCAACTCAGTTATATTTTTTAAAAGAAAAATTATAATTTTCTATTGTAGGAATCACATGCAGCCCAACTACAGATTCTTATGGAATTCCTCAAGGTTGCAAGAAGAAATAAGAGAGAGGTATATTATTTTGTGTGTTTTACATAATGTTTTATTTACTATTGTTAACTGTTCCCATTTTGTAAAAGCATTTCAGGCTAAAAAATTTCTTTAAATATTTTTAAAAGCATTTGAATTTTTAGGAGGTTTCCTTAAGATTTGTTATTTTAACTTCTTTTCTCTTTACAACTTGACACTTAAAAAATCATTTTGTGGAGATGTGCTGAAAAGTTATCAGTAAGATTGACTGCAATAACTTACCTAAAAACTATAAAGAATTGAAAATAGATGTATTAAATAACAGCTTACCCTTCACCATGAGGAGAAAACTTAGGAAAATTTAGATAATAAAGCCTTAGGTAGGATATAGTTTTTTTCTTATGGTAAAAACATATGTAGGCAAAAACAAGTAAAAACATAGCTACCTATTTAGAACTTGGGAGGTCTAACTCATGGAGGATAGTTAAAAGGCAATTTTGTATCAACAGTTTTATAGCGAGCATGTTCTAATTTAACATTTATAAAATTTCTCAGTCATTTCACACTATACAAAATATGGGAAAATTAAATAGTCAAAATCCTGTGCTCTGGATAGCATGCTAAAATAACTTTGAAAACTTTTTTTTTTTTTTTAAATTTCTAACTGGCTGGAACCTGGTATGTTTATGTTAAGAATTGTCTAATTAGGATACTTTTTACTCATTTAAAAATGTGTAAATTGTCTGTTATGTGCTATGTTCTGGGCTATCTTTATTCTTTTTGACAATAAATAGATAAGAGATGTTTTACTGGATGATGAAGTGTTGAATAGCTAAATATTTTTTATGTGGTTTGTGACTAGATTTTTCTTATTCTCAACTGTTGCTAATTTAGTTGTGATTTTAATATTCCTACTAACAAACATCTGTTATAAATTTAAGATTTACTTGTGTCTCAGGTTTTTTTTTTGTGGTAGGAAAGAAGAAGATGTCCAGTCATTCATTTGTTTAAATGTCTGGTGGTGCAATATAAATGGCAATGTGCATGAAAGTTGCCTGTTACGGAGCTTGTGGTGAGCCGAGATCGCGCCACTGCACTCCAGCCTGGGCAACAGGGCGAGAATCTGTCCCAAAAAAAGAAAGTTGCCTGATGATCTTGCTAAAATGCATGTTCAGATTAAGGGAGGCTCTGTTGGAGCCTGGCAATCTGCATTTCTGGAGAGATAATGGAGAATTCCTTTCCAACATTAATTCTTCCGTGTGATCTTCATTTGGCCTTTGATGTGGTGGCCCATGGCCTCCCACAACACCATCTGTGATATTGACTTTGATTTTATAGCTTTGGCATAGTGTTTTTATATTTCCGTTATTAAACTTCTGGATGAATCATGCCGTAGAACTTTTTCGCTTGATTTTGGTTTGAATCTAAGCTAATGTTTGTGATTAATTTTTTTTTCTTTTCTCTTGGACCATATTTTCTTGTAGTAGGTGGGTTAACCAAGAAACATACTAGTTCCAAATACTTCTGGATATTTGTGCCTCTAGTGTACAGTGATTGTACTGTCATTAATACATTTTGGTTTTCTTGATTTTGATATATCTGTGATTGACTTTGAGTATTTTAGTTTTAATTACACAAGAAATTCTGAGGAGCTAGGTAACAAATTGTAAACGTTTATCTACTACTTTGATTAAATTTCTTGAATTTCACAATAATTGGAATTGGGTACTATAGTGATTTGTAATTATAATAAGCTTTAGTCTAGAAAATATGTTTTAGTGCAGACAGATTGAAGTGAGTGGTTATATTTTCTTCTTCCATGTAAGTCTATTTGCGTGTTTAATCTTCAAAATGAATATAATTGTTACAGGTCTTAGGACCTGTAATATGGTTTATATACTTGAACTTATTCAAGTAAAATACAGATTTACCAGGAGGCAAATTGCTTCTTTTGACATTCAAACTTTGAAAATTAACTTCGTGATTTCATTTGTAACTTTTAATTGGAGTTCTGTTGAGTGTAGTTTTAGACATTGATATATACCAATCAGAGAAGTTAAATATGCTTTTTGGATTTAATGTTAAGATTCATTTAACTCATTTGGATAATGAGTATTCCACTGTCACAACTGGCTAGTAATTTAGGGCCATTTAATTTTCAGTTTTATTTTTTCCTACTGATTCTCCTTAGAATATTAAGAGAATGGAAAGTGCAAGGCACATAATAGGCATTTGCATTAGTTATCTATTGCTGTGTGACAAATTACTCTCAAATTTGATGTCCTAAAACATGAAAAATTTAATATATTGAGTCTAGAATTTTGATTCAGAGTAGCTGGGTGCCTTGGCTCTGGGTTTCTTACCAAGCTGCAATTAAGTTGTTGGCCAAGGGAGCAGTTATCTCAAGGTTTGACTGGGATAGGAACTTTCCAAGCTCACTCATCAGCTTTTGGAAAGAGATAACAATTTTTTTGTCACAGGGGCTTCTCCATAGGATAGCTCACTACATGGCAGCTGGCTGCCTCTCAAAAGGAACAAGTAAGAAAGCAAGAGAGGATATTGAAGACAGAAGTCACATGTTCTTTGTAACTTCATCTTGGAAATTATATCCTAAAACTTTTGCTGTTTTCTGTTTGTTAGAAGCACATCATTGGTTCATTCCACACTCAGAATTGCACAAGGGTTTGAATACTAAGAGGCGGGGATCTTTGGAGGCCATCTTAGAACTTGCCTATTAACAGCGTTTGTTAGTTATATATATTTAAATGAACATGTTAGTCTTCCTTCATGGTCAGATTAAACAAAAGGGTGTTGGGTTCCATGTAAAAGCCAGTCTTCTCTGTGCAAATTTGTACCAGCATTTGAATGATTCCCTTCTGTTTCATTTGATTTAATTTTAAAATGTACTTTTGGAAATTTTTGATACCTATTAAATTTACTGTAATATAATCGTTCTGATGAGTCTTGGTTTCCTTTTGGTTTTACTTGGAATTTTAGTGAATTGAATTTTAAACGATTTTTATATGAAAAACACAAAAAAGTATATAAACCAAATTTATAGTTTAAAGAATTACAGTAGAGTGACCATTTGTATAACCACCATTGTAAGCACAATGCAATACTGCTAGAACGGCTGAAGCACCCTGACCACCCTTTTTGGATTGCAGTCATCTTCCTTGCCCATTAGGTAACCAATATTCTGATAATTATGGCAGTCACTTTCTTGCCTTTCTTTAATGTTTTGCTGCCTGAGTATCCATAGGTCTCTCTGTTTTTGAGCGTTATTTAAGTGTGCTTGTGCAGTATGTAATCTTTTATTCCTATCTTCTTCGGCTGAATGTTAAGATTCATCCACATGGTTGTATATGACTGTAGTTGGTTGATTTTTGTTGTTGTATAGTATTCCATTAAGTGAATATGCCCCATTTTTGTTGTTGGTCGTCATTTGAGTTGTTTTCAGTTTGGGGCTGTTGGCAAAAAAATACTACTATGTTATATGTGTATCCAGGTTTATGTTAGTATACATATTTATATGGAATGTATTTAGAAGTGGAATTGATGAGTCATAGGATATGTGTATCTTCAAATTTAATAGATAATGCCAAAATATTTTTTCAAAACAAGTTGTATTAGTTATTCTTCCTACAGGCATAGGCATTGTATGAGCATTTCTGTTGCACTGTGTTCTTGCCAGTATGTGATACCAGTAGATTTTTTTTCCAGTTTAGCTAATCTTGGGGTATATACACTGTTATATGGTTGTAATTTGCATTTTCCAGATGACTTATGAGGTTGAGCACCTAGTACTACATTGATTGGCCATTTGGGTTTTTTTATGTTTGTGTGTGAAGTAATTGTTTAAAACTTTTTACATTTTTTGTTTGATTTTTCTTAATGGTTTGATATTTATATATTCTAGATATACATCTTGTCAGATCTATCTATCACAAATATCTTTCCCTCTAATTGGGTTGCATTCTTTTCATTATCTTAATGGTGTCATTTGATGACCAGAAGTTTCTGATATTAATAGAGTGAAATTTATCTTATCTGTTATACTTAGTGTGTTTTGTGTCACTTAAAGAAGTCTTTTCCACCTGTGGTCATGAAGACATTTTTCTATGCTGTTCTTTATTTGAAGCTTTATTCTTTTATCTTTCATATTTAGATCTATACTTGAAGATTTATTTTTGTGTATAATGTGAGGTATAGAGATATTTTCATATGGATATCTAGCTGCCCAAGCATCCTTTATTAAAAAGTCCATTCTTTCTTCATCACTCTGAAGTTTCACCTTTGTCATATATCATGTGTCCATGTATGTGTGGGTCTGTTTCTAGGTCCTCTTTTCTGCTTCACTGGTCTTTTTCGCAATACCACCTTGTATTAAATACTAGAGCTTTGAATTAAGTTGCTGTTCTTCTTTAAAGTCTGGGATATTCCTGGCTGTCTGCATTTCAGTATAAATTTTAGAATCAGCTAGTACGTTTCCATGGTAAACTTACTGTGCTTTTTATTGGGATTAATTTGACTAGATAAATCTGGGAGACTGTGTATTTACAGTATTCAGTCTTCTAATCTGTGAATGTGGTACTTCCCTCTATATTTAGATCTTTAAAATAGCCTTAAAATTTTTATATTTTTCAGGGTAGTCTTACACATCTTTATTTTAGATTTAGTCATTTTTGATACTATTGTAAATGATGTCTGTGTCTCTAACTTTAGTTTCTTATTATTGCTAGTGTGTAGAAATACAGGTGGGTTTTACATGGAGATTTTTAAAAATATCCAGCAACCTGGTTAAACTCTCATTAATCCTAATTTATTTGTAGATTCTTGTATGTTTTCTATGTACACATCATAATCTGCAAATAATAACAGTTTAGTTTCATTCTTTATGATCCTTATATCTTTTATTTATTTTTCTTGTCTTACTCTGCTGGCTAGGACATCCGGTACAATGATGAATAGAAGTGGTGATAGCGGGGCATCCTAGTCTTGATGCTGATCTCAAAGTGAAAGCATTCAACGTGTCACCATTAGGTATGATGTTTTCTGTAGGTTTTTTGTAGGTACTTTTTATCACTCAAGGTAGTAAATTTTTACCCAGTTTGCTAAGAGAATTTTTAAAAAATTTCTGAGTGGGGTTGAGTAGTCTCCAGAATTTTTGTGCATCTGATGCAACCATATGATTTTTCCTTTTCATTCTGTTAATGTGAATAATTACTTTGGTTTAGCATTGGGGAGTCAATCAACTTTGCATCTAGAGTGACCAACCATCCTGATTGGCCCAGGGGTGTCTTAGTTATATCTTAGTTATATCACTGAAGGTTCTGCATTCTAGGAAACCCCACCAGGACAATTGGTCCCCCTACTTGCACCCCTTATATAAACCAAACTTGGCCGTTATGTATATTCTCTTCTATATGGTTTGGTTTGCTTATATTTTGTTTAGGATTTTTGCATCTATGTTCATGAGTGAGATTGTTTTTTTTCTTACACATATCTTGTCCAGTTTTGCTATAAAGATTATGCTAGCTTTATCAAATGTGTTGGGAAATGTATCCTCTTTTTAAATTTTCTGGAATAATTTTGTGTAGTCTAAGAACATCTTTTTTGAATGTTTAAAGATCTTACTGGAGAAGCAGTCTAGACCTGTGATTGTTTGCGGGAAGTTTTAAGTTATTGAATCTGTTACTTGAACAGTTACATTCTTATTAAGGTTTTTGTTTTAGATGTCACTTTTCATTTGTTAAATTTTTTCTAGTCATTGTTTATGTCATCTCAATTTTCAAATTTATTGGCGTAAGATTGGTCTTAATAGAGTCTTAAGTTTTTAATGTCACCAGGGTTCATTCCTGGCAGTGTTTATTTTGCTTGTTCCTCTCTCTCTCTCTCTCTTTCTCTCGCTCTCTCTCTCTCTCGCTTGTTCTGTTGGATCAATTCTTGCCAGGAATATATCAATTATATGGGTTTTTTTCTAATAACTAACTTTTGACTTTGTTTTTCCTCTCTGTTTTGTTTGTTTTCTGTTTTATTTATGTTCTTTATTATTTCCATCCTGCTTTCTTTGGTTTTACTTTTTTGTTCCTTCCTAATCTGTTGGCTTGGGTGGATATGCATATTATTATGCAGATTATTTTTTCTAATGTAGGCATTTAGGGCCATAGTTTCTTATTTTTTAATCTGTACCTAATTCTTTTGGCATCATATTTTGTTTATTATTGTTCAAAATAATTTCTAATTTTCATTATATTTTTTTCTTAGGCCTGTGGCTTATTTAGAAACAAATGTCTTATTACTTGAACATTGAGATTTTGTTTTTTTTTTGTTCTGGATTTCTGTTATAATTGCATTGTAGTCAGAAAGTTGTGTTTTCTTTCTTTGAATATAATATTTGCTGTACCAACTGGTAATTGGTTAAATTTTGAAATACTTGTGCTTGAAAAGAATGCATTTTCTGCAGTTGCATGATTCATTGTAAAGTTGTTAAATGTGTGGTGAGAATTTCCTGCATTCATACCAGGTCTTCCTTTCCTTGTTATACCTATTACTGTCTCATTATCTTTTAGGTGAATTTCTTATAGATAGCATATGGTTGGACTATGCTTTGTAAATCTACTCTGCCAGACTCAGTTTTTTAATTGTGTATTTAGGCCATTTATTTAATATAAATATTATAGCATAAGCCTGTCATTTTATTTTTTGTTTTATATTTCTTTTTTTATTATTGTTGCTTTTCTGTTTTTCTTTCCATGGGTTTTTGAACAGTTTCTTTTCGGAATTCCATTTTGATTTATCTATAATGTTTTAAAGTAAATTTTTTGTATCATTTTTTAGTGGTTGCTCTCTCTGTTACATCATGTATTTGTAACTTATCAGCCTACTGGTATTGACATCTGTTTACATTTGCTCTTAAATAAGCCATCTTATTTTGTCCCCTCACTACTCTATCA
Source organism: Homo sapiens (assembly GCF_000001405.40). NCBI lineage: Eukaryota > Metazoa > Chordata > Mammalia > Primates > Hominidae > Homo > Homo sapiens. The sequence continues at coordinate 176,142,091 of NC_000001.11, read as the reverse complement.
TTTATTTATTTGGTTTTGTTCTTGCTTTTTCTGTTTTCTTCTCAGCTTAAAACAAAATGTTGGCTGGGCACAGTGGCTCATGCCTGTAATTCTAACACGTTGGCGAAGGTAGGAGGATCATTTGAGGGCCAGGAGTTCAAGACCAGCCTGGACAATATAGTGAGACTTTGTCTCTACAAACAATTAAAAAAAAATTCGTGGAGCATAGGGGCGTGTGCCTGTAGTCCCCGCTACTTGGGAGGCTGAGGTGAGAGAATTGCTTGAGCCTAGGAGGCAGAGGCTGCAGTGAACTGAGATTGTGCCACTGCACTCCAGCCTGGGTGACAAAATGAGTCCCTGTCTTAAAAAAAAAAAAAGAAAAGAAAAAGTGCTATGAAAGGGTTAAATGAAGTCTTTTAATCAGGTCTGCCATTTCAGGAACTAGATATGAAGTATGTGAGTGTTTGTGGAGTGATAGTATGGGATGACAAGGGTTTTGGCTTGCTGTAGTGTGCACTTCATATGGCTAAATGCTTTGTTTTTGATAGTAACTCTCTTAGAATTAGCATATATTAAGTTTTGCTGCTGTATGTATGTATGTATGTATTTTTTGAGATGGAGTCTTGCTCTGTTGCCCAGGCTGGAGTGCAGTGGCACTATCTCGCCTCACTGCAACCTGCACCTCCCGGGTTCAAGAGATTCTCCTGCCTCACCCTCCCAAGTAGCTGGTATTACAGGTGCCTACCACCACGCCTGGCTAATTTTTATATTTTTAGTAGAGACAGGGTGTCACCTTATTGGCCAAACTGGTCTTGAACTCTGACCTTAGGTGATCTGCCCGCCTCAGCCTCCCAAAGTGTTGGGCTTACAGGCGTGAGCCACCGCACCTAGCCTTGCTCGATTTTTAAAATCAGCTTTTCCCCATTGAAAGTGTAATGGTGTATTCTTTTGTTCAGTTTGGAACAATTATATGTAATGTATTCAAAATTATATTAAAAATTCAAATAATGAGTTTAATGCTTAAGCATATCTTTATCAAGGCACTAATGAAAGTCAGTTGAGTACCAATGATACCTACCTGCACCAAATCCATTATCAGTAATGGGAGAGTCTATCTATTATCTTCGTAAGGGATTCTGAGACTTACTTACTCTTTACCTTTACGTTAAATGTTTCTAAAAGTTTTCTTTGGGCTTTGGCACAGTGTTAAGAGAGTGCTTGCTATTGATTCTTTAGTCCCATGCCCTCAAATAGCATTGTCTTAGTTCTCCATCTTATATATTTATTTATTTTTCTAAGTGGCACCAAACTCTGTAATGGTGTTAAGATAAATGTGATCTAGGAGTTTATTATCATTCCTAATTTGTGATTGATTTTCCTTTAGATAATAGCAGTTCAGCTTCTTGAACTTTTCTTCATATATCTTTAAAACATTCTTGGACTTATATTCAGACTTTTCTTCTAAGTTCTCCTTCCCGGGGTTATGTTTACAGAGTGAATTTAGCCCATTTCTTCTTTCCACATCCTTGAAGTGGTTGTCCTTCATCATTTTTCTATTTACTAGTACTAAAATGTCTTGCACTGATGCCCTTATAATTTACAGCTCCAAATCCCTTCAGAATTCTCATCTTAAAATGGAAACACCTCAAATTTAATATGTGCTCTCTCAACAGTTTTCAGTCTTCCAAACTTTTTTCTTTTTAATATTTCTTGCCTGATACCTTGTCAGACTTTCTTACGGATAGGTTATATCATTTTGTTTTGCATTCTGTCTGTATATCTGTCAGGACAACACCATGCCTTCATTATTTGATTTTTAAGTTGAACCATATGAAATTGCTGTTTTTGAAGTAAAAATTGTTTTATTATTGGCAGTTTTATGAGGTTCACCTTATGTATAGAAGCCTTCATATGTAACAATAGGTATATGATCCAGTAAAAGCTTTGAGGTATTAGGAGATGGAACATTATTTTCAGAGAAGACATTAGAGTTTAATATTTTGAGATTTCAGGTGACATTGGAAATTTTTCTGGAATTTCAAGTTCAAAAGCAGAATAAAAATTAATTTGATTTCAATTATTATGTATCATACAAGTAATATTGGCTGTCTTTGGCTATTGATATTACAGATATTTACTTTCTTTTTAAATATAATTTCAACTTTTCGATTCAGGGAGTACATGTACGGGTTTCTTACGTAGATATATGGTGTGATGCTAAAATTTGGGGTATGATTGACCCCATCACTCAGAAGTGTGAGCATAGTACTCAGCAGTTAGTTCTTCAACCCTTTCTTCCTTCCCCCACCCCAGTAGTTCCCTGTGTCTGTTGTAACCATCTTTATGAGTACCCAGTGTTTAACTCCCACTTATAAGTGAGAACATGTGGTATTTGGTTTTCTCTTACTTCATTAATTCACTTAGGATGATGGCTTCCAGCTCCATCCATGTTGCTGCAAAGGACATGATTTGTTCTTTTTATGGCTGTACAGTATTCCACGGTGTCTCTGTATCACATCTTTATTGAGTCCACCGTTGATGGGCAATGATGGGCATTGATGAATCTTTGCTGTGATGAATAGAGCTATGATGAACATACAAATACACTTGTCTTTGGGGGAGAATGATTTATTTTCTTTTGGATATATACTCAATAATGGAATTACTCGGTCAAATAGTAGTTCTCTTTTAATAAGCTCTTTGAGAAATCTCCCAACTCCGGTCTCCACAGTGGCTGAACTAATTTACATTCCCACCAGCAGTGTACAAACATTCCTTTTTCTCTGCAGCCTCACCAGCATCTCTTTTTTTGTTTTTTTTTTTTGTTTTTTTTGTTTTTGTTTTTTCACTTTTCAATAATTGCCATTCTGACTGGTGTGAGATGGTATCTCATTTTGGTTTTTGTTAACATTTATCTGATGATTAGTGATGTTGAGCATTTTTTTATGTGTGATGGCCACTTGTATGTTGCCTTTTGGGAATTGTCTGTTTATGTCTGTGCCCATTTTTTAATGGGGTTATTTGTTTTTTGTTTTTCATTTATTTACGTTCCTTGTAGATTCTGGATATTAGACTTTTGTCAGATACTCATTCTTCTTTTTAAATGTATTTTTTAAAGCAATTATTCTAAAGACCTCTTATATATAGTAAAGCATTTGTTTAAATAAAAATTTCAAGAGTGGAACATTTTAAGGTAGTTAAATGAAAATGTTTAAGAGATTACCATGGGAGTGTTTTGCTGAATTAGAGGTCAGCATCACTGGATGCTGGAGTTGAAAATGTCCATGAACCCAAAGGCCTCAGTGATGGTGGAGAATAACTGGGATGTTTATTGATGGCTCAAGTGGGTGGACAGGGATTTGGCTGCTTGGTATGAGCTAGACAGAGTGGTTTTTATGTTATGGTGGAAAACTAATTTTAGGGTGGAAGACTAATTGTTGGAAATGGCCATGGAATGGAGTAGAAATAGTGAGTTCCTATCTATTAATAAGTCCTGTAAACTCTGGGGCTTTAGAGACTTTATCAATTGAGCAGTATCAATTGAGCAGCTGTTATTTGAAAGAGTTTCAGGACAGACAGTGTCTTTAAGAGTGAGCAGGGTTTCAGTTAAGGTGGCATTGTGTGACATATTTTAAGGCGGCAGGAAGTTTATTAAAGTAGATAGATGAGTTGAAAGCTTTTGAAAATGCTAATCACTCTTTTAACCCTTGATTTCTCCAATGGTACTGTCATTTCCCCTGGTTTTCTGGCTGCGACTTTGCCCTTCTTGATTGTTAATGCTGCTTCTTCCTTTGCCCATCTCTTTAACATTGGTGTTTTCTACCATTTCAGTTTTGCTTTTATCTCTTCTGACTATACTTATTGATGTTAAGCAGTTTTATTTATTGCCTTACTTTCAGATTTATTATTTACCTTTCTCATGGCTTTTGTACCTTCGCATATGTTATTATTTACTCTGCTTATTCTGTCATGCCTCACTGTTTTCCACTTGGCAGAATTCTGTTAGTCTTTTAAGGCTCAGCCTCTGATTTAATTTTCAATCAAATTTTAGTTATCTAGTCCTCTTCTTACCCCACCAGCTCTACATTAGATGTGGTCTATATTCCCTTAATACGTTGTATACCATCATCATAATGCTTGCTATGATATTTCAACTATTGGCTTTCTTATTTGCCATCTCCCCTAGACTGAACTCAGGGTAAGGGCTACAGTTGTTTTTCGATCCTGTTCTTCTCAGTACTTAGGAAGGTGCCTAGAATTGGTAAATACTTGAATGAGTAAGTTATTAATTATATTACCAACTTTGCCTGTATTGCCACAGAAGATACTAATACTAATAAGTCTATAAAAAACCCTGTTTGCCCTTATCAGTTATTAAAGAAATGAGTTAATAATAAGGTACTGTTTTCAATAGGTAGTAAAGAATAGTAGTTAAAAGCATGAATTCTGGAACAATAAGCCTACCTTAATTTGAATTCCAGTTCTGCCACTTACAGAATGATTTTGGACAAATCATTTAACCTTTCTGTGCTTCATTTTCACATCTGGCAATCAGTAATATATAAGTATTAGTTGTTAATATTTTACATTTATAAATGTGTTCAATATTTCCAGGTTAGAGTAAGACAACCGCATCCTGGCGTTAGGAATTTAAATTGGTATAGTGTTTCTGGAAAGCAGTTTTCTTTTGATTGAATAATTTTATTTTTAATACTCTCAATAAAATCTGAAGTAATCTTTTAATAAAATCTGAAAATGAAATGAAATCTGAAAGAACAATATGTTCCAGAATTATATATGATAGTTTGCAGGCAACTTAAATCTCTAATGAGAAAGGGAATGGTTCAATATATTAAGTGTTATTCAACAGTTACAATGTTTGCATTTTAGTGGCATGGAAAATTATTAGTGGTTTAATAGGCGAGATATAAAAGATAAAATACTAACTCAAATATGTTTTTAAAACCCTTAAGAAGGAAGTGTTAAGATACTGACTTGTGGTTGCTTTTGGGTGAGGGGATTTAACCTCTGTCAGACTAATCTTTGTTTATAAAGTATGATTAAAGTTCTGGTGCAGTGGCTCACGCCTGTAATACCAGCACTTTGGGAGGCTGAGGCGGGCAGATTGCTTGAGCTCAAAAGTTGGAGACCAGCCTGGGCAACATAGTGAAACCTATCTCTATTTAAAAAAAAAAAGTGTGATTAACAACTGACATGCTGAATTTTTCTGTTTAACAACTAAATGAGGTAATGTGAAAGTTCTTTGGCTATCTTGTATTTTTTTAAGCCACTGTCATTCATCTCATACTTTTATTGTAAAATCAAACTGTTGTATTAAAGAAGTACAACATTGTGTTTTCACATAATTCTCTACCTTTGCATTAAAAAATGGGAACTTCTAGCTATATTTTGTTGATGGTTATCCCTCCTGTTAATTTGCCATTAGTGCCAAGTTTGATAGAAATTATTTTCCTAATGTAAATTTATTTTATGATCATGGTGATGCCATTTTGGTTTGGCTTAGGCTTTTTTTTTTTTGTCTTTCTCTCTCTATTTAATCTGCAGCAACTGGAACAGATCCAGAAGGAGCTAAGTGTTTTGGAAGAGGATATTAAGAGAGTGGAAGTAAGGAATCAAGAATTTCTCACATCCTTAGCAATTTTTCAATTTCATGAAATTGTCACCTTTCCATTAAGTTGCTGTGTTAAGTTTATGGGATTGGTCTTAGGAAGAAAGTAACAGCTGTTACTTTCATTTCAATTGAGGATGAATTTTTGTAGAAAAAAACATTCTGAACACTTGATAAAATATAGTCTAAATTTGTTTTACAATGTTTTATTGCCATAATTTTTCTCGATTAGACTGACAAAAAAAATCGCTCAGTTTTCTTGGAGTGCCATCATAACTTAAAACTGTCAATTATTACCACTACAATGCTTTTTTTATTAATAACTTTTACATACCTACTCTGTGCATTTCTAGGAGTTAAGGTTAATTAAAAGAGAAATATAAGAATACATTACCAATATTCTGGGAATTTACAGTTTAATATAGTTTACCTAAGGAAATTTATGGGAGGATCCTTGGGAGTCTTATAGGGTATTATGATTTGAAGTTTTTGCCTTTGGCTGTATTTATTAATTTAGTTTGTGTTTTTAGTTATTTATATGTATTGTAATTTTTTTTTGCTGATACATAGAACATGTTTAAGATTAATGGATTTAATATTTAGTGGATGTTCAGTATCCTCTGTAGCATTCTTAAGTTGTTACACATTTATGTCACTTACCTGACTGTATGATTGAGCTGAGGTTGCATTAGCTAGAAATAATTTTACCTGATTATGCATCTTTAGTGGCATTTTAAAATTTGCTATTTTTTCATTAATCAAAGTTAGTACATAAAAAAGGAAGCTAGGTTGTCAGTGTGAGAGAGAAAATTTATATAATGGTTGATTAGGCCTATTCCTCTGGATTACTGATCAAAAATTAGAGTCTAAGTCATTATTAAACAAAGCTGATATTTCAATCTTAATATTTGTGAAGAATATATATAAAGCAGAGACTGACATATTCTGGGTGTTTTTTGTGTTTTTATGTTCAAGAGTTGAACCTGATGATCCAGTTATCTTACTGTCATATTTATCTTAACATTTATCAATAGATTATCACCTGAATTAATGATATGCTAGTTCACTATTCACATAGTATAATGTACATGTCATTTAAAATATTTACATTTACATTTATCTTTTTTTGCATGTGGTGGCTTCATTAATGATGAACAATATTTAGTAAACAATTTATAGTTCTTTAAGATTGTGTACCATGGAAAAGGCTTGTCTCTTAACTTTTCACATGTCCTTGCTTTTGTATTCTGTGGAGAGGAAGCCTTCAGAAATTTGATATTGAGACAAACAGGGACTGATGAAAACCTGGGAATAGAAAGGAATATATCATGCCTCTTTTTGATTTATATATCTTCTATTTGAAATATCTACTATAATTCAAATAATTTTATTTTCAGGAAATGAGTGGCTTATACTCTCCTGTCAGTGAGGATAGCACAGTGCCTCAATTTGAAGCTCCTTCTCCATCACACAGGTACAAGCTTCACACTTGCAATTGATTAGAATTCATATTACAAAGTATGCATATGGTCTAGTCCTTTAGGAGCCTTTTCCATGCAGTGTATGAAACCCCTGAGAAATTACTTTGGTCATGATCTAGAAATGATATTCATATGGCCCATCTGTTTCCTTAATGCGTTGGATTTCATGCCAGGAAGAGTTAGCGAGTAGAATACTATAATGTTATGAATTCACAGTTGGATTAAAAGTTTGATGAATTTCTTAAAGTAATGATAGCTTTAAATATCTTGTGAATTAAAGTCAGATGACATTCAAAAATCTAAATTTGAGAACATGAAGTGGTAATATTAGGGAAAAATGTGATAAAATAAAACCTTGGACTTCTCCCCCTAACTTGTTAAATTTTATTGGACAGATCACTTTTCCCACATTTAAAATGAGGGCAGTAGACAGATCTGTTAGTTTAGATTTCCTTGGTATTTTCTTATAACTACTTATTATTAATTCTTCTATATGCGATATTAGTATAGGGTTATATTTGTCATGACCATTTCCCAAGATTTTAGAATAAAGCCTGGTTTCATTTAGTAGTAGGTATTTGTAAAGCATGGTGAATGTGTGTGTTTCCCTTTTAGCTGTAAAACCTACTTCATGAAATATATGCTATCTGAATCTTGAGTTTTGAATTTTTATGCTTGAAATGTTCAAACTAAGAACAGTTTTACATGAAATCATTTGTTTTTGATTTGTTAAATCCACTCTCTGTTTAGGATAACGATTTAATGGAATCTTATCAGACAAATAGTTTTAGGTAATGTGTACTATCAGGAAGTCCAGTTCTACTATGGTAGATTATAATAACCTTCGGAAACCTTATCACTTTAGGAAAGCTATTATGGATCTAGTTCAGTACATCATGTACAGAAAGGGTGCAGGGATGTTCTAGTTAAGGAGAATTCAGAGGTTTGACATTTTTCCCATTAATTATAGTATGGAGAATCCTTGTGAGTTCGTTAATTCTGGTGTTATTTTAGCTGTGTAATTCAGCCGATTTTCTTCTATATTTTACTTTCTTTGAAACATTTGAGAATGACTTGGTCTGTGTATATTGTTATCTTTAAGCCTTGAATTCAGTTCTGATATGCACAGGATCTTTGTCAATGGAATACTTATTATGTAAGTACATACAGGGAAGAAAAAGTTGTCACATCACAAAAAGTTCACTAATAATGATTCATTCCCATTGTCTTTTTCCTCTCTGTTTAACAGTAGCAAATTTTTTTTGTATATATTGTTTCCAGATCTTTGTTACTCAGTCTCTCACTGATTGTTGGATTTTATGAAATTGTGACAGTACGGTGCATTTACTTAATTGCTCTATTTATTGAATGCCTCTGATGTGCTAGGGACTATTCTAGGTGTTGGATCTAGCTGACAAAGTCCTCGTCCCTTTGGAGCTTACATTTTGGGATGTGTGTATGGAGGTTGGGGGAGACACTAAAAGGGCCAATGTATAGCATAGTAGTAGTATATAACATACAATACAGTCATGCACTGCATAATGACGTTTCAGTCAGTGATGGACTGCATATATGATGGTGATCTCATAAGAAAATAATAGAGCACATAAAGAGACCTAATATATGACACTTGATATTGGCATTGCAGATCAAGTAGGGGAAATGACTGATATTCAGTAATGGTGCTGGGACATTGGTTTTTCACATATATATGTGTACATACGTATATATATACGTACGTATATACGTATGTGTGTACCTACGTACATATACGTACGTATATACGTATGTGTGTACATACGTACATATACGTACGTATATACGTATGTGTGTACATACGTATATATATGTACGTATATACGTATGTGTATGGGTATATATAGTATATATACGTACATATGTGTATATGTGTGTATATATAGTATATATACGTACATATGTGTATATGTGTGTATATATAGTATATATACGTACATATGTGTATATGTGTGTATATATAGTATATATACGTACATATGTGTATATGTGTGTATATATAGTATATATACGTACATATGTGTATATGTGTGTATATATAGTATATATACGTACATATGTGTATATGTGTGTATATATAGTATATATACGTACATATGTGTATATGTGTGTATATATAGTATATATACGTACATATGTGTATATGTGTGTATATATAATATATACGTACATATGTGTATATGTGTGTATATATAGTATATATACGTACATATGTGTATATGTGTGTATATATAGTATATATACGTACATATGTGTATATGTGTGTATATATAGTATATATACGTACATATGTGTATATGTGTGTATATATAGTATATATACGTACATATGTGTATATGTGTGTATATATAGTATATATACGTACATATGTGTATATGTGTGTATATATAGTATATATACGTACATATGTGTATATGTGTGTATATATTCATATATGTGTGTGTGTATATACACACACACATACATACCCCCATCTTGGTTTGTGTAAGTATACTCTATGATCACATAATGACAAAATTGCCTAATGACACATTTCTCAGACTGTATCCCTGTCATTGAGTGATGCATGACTGCACTACCTTAGGAAGAATAGTTAGGCATGGTAGGGCTTTGCAAGAGGATTCTGTTTTAGTTTTCATAGCCAGGCTTCTCCAAGGAGGTGACATTTAAGTTGACACATTAATCAAGTAAAGACTAATTATGATGGAAAGTTATGGGATAGTGTTGAGCAGGATCTGATTTAGATTTTAAAATGTTTACTTGGATCCCTGTGTGGAGGACAGAGAAGATGTGTCCCTCTCAACCCCTTGACATTGGAAGCTGGGGAGAAAAGTTAGGAAGCATTGTAGCAGTTCAGAAGAGAGGAGATGTTGGTTTGCATTAGGATTTTATTGATAGAAGAGGTAAGAGTGGTTGTATTGTAAAATAAAGTAGCAGATCTCGTAAAACATACTAGATTTCATGAAGTTTATGAAAATATTGTTGGAGAATTGCTAAAATTGCTTGCAAAGCTGTCATTAAATTAGATTCTAGCAGAGTTAAATGGGTTAGCAGTTCAAGAAGGGAAAATAGGCAAACAGTATTTTCTTCAAGAGTGTTTTGATATTTTCTCTGAACAAGTGATGTGAATATCACTCAAGGATTGAGAGAGGCACTTGGGAAAAATGATGTAGCCCTTAAATACTCTTGAGTGAAAATGATCCTTAAGATTACGATTTGAAATCAGACATTCTGAGACAAATATTATCTTTTATAATACTATTCATATTTGATTTTTCTTTAAGCAATAGTATGTAGTTGCAATTTTACTAATCTTTTTTCTTTCAGAATTATTAGCTTTATTATTTAAATGCCAGACAGTTTTTGTTCTTATTCCTCACTAAAAAGTTTTGATCTCTCTTTTAAGCAGGCTTACTTTACAAAAGCTCTTTTCTAGATTTGTTAGTTTTCTATAATGAATATCTTTATTATATGTCAGGTCACTGAATCCTTTACATAGATTCTGGGTTTATGTTTAGATTATGTATTTAAATGAAAAAGAAAAGCAGAAGCCAGATAATGGTATTCTCTCCCTTTCCCAGCCCCCCACAGAACTTTATATTCTACCTACTTTGATTAGCTGTAATTGTCATATCCTATTTTACTGCTTCTGCCTTGTTTAGATCCTTAGCATCACCTCATCTAGCAATAATCTTTTAACCTATCCTTTTATGTGTTATTGCCAGAAATATGATGTTTCTTTCCTGCTTAAAATTTTTCAGTAGCTGCCTATCATGTACATTGGTTTAGATCCATCTCTTTGCATAACCCTCCGTAATTGCCTAGCCCCAGCCTATTGTTTTTGTGCTTTAAAATTGTATGTAACTCTCAAAGCAGAATGTTAGGGTATCTTTGCTTACACTGTTCCTTTTGCCTAGAAACTTCTCCTGGATTCAGCTGTTAAGTAACTATCCCCAAAGACCCCAAACCTATAGGGTCCTAGGGTGAAGTCTTTCTATTCTTTTTTCAGATGCCATTTCCCTAAAAAATTAGGGGCAGGGAAAAGGAAGCAGGAGATAGAATTAACCACTTGTTTTGTTTTGTAAAGATTTCTACTTATTTTGATTCTGTTTCTATAATATGTATTACTTTGGAAAAAATACATGTTTTCCATGCTGTACTGTAATCCTGTGAGTATTGTTTTTTTCTTATACTTCCACATTTTTATGTATTTATATATAATAAGGACTTAAATACAAGGTTTTGAGTAAATATTTACCTAACCTAGAATGTCATTTAATTTTCACAGTTTGTGAATTTGTTAAAGCATCACATGTAGTATACTTAATAGGTTAATTATTTTAATCTTGCTATAAAAGCTATCAGCCATGCTTCATTGAGGTGAGGTATGTTTTTTAAAAAAATATATCAGTTGAATTTTTTAACCTTTTAAGCTTTCATCCATTTCAGACTTTCCGTAGAATTAATCAAACCAATGACTGCTATACTTAGAACCTTTTTAATCTGTTTTAAATTCTAAGGAAGAAAGTCTTCACAATTCTCAGTATAAACCATAGTTTACATTTTATTGTTGCATAGTTGTGTGTGTGAAATAATGAGAAAATTAGAGATTGGTAGGCAAGCATAGTCTCTTTTACTTATTATCAAGAGGAATTGGTTCTTTTGTATGGGAGGGTGATTATGAGGATATACATCCTATCTGCCCTTCTAGAGTATTATTAATATTTTAGACATTTTTTAACTTTTTAGCTCAGACTTTATTTAAATAATAAAGCAAAACATTTTTGTTAGGTTCTCTTCCTGGCAAATAGGACAATGCTGATTTTTTTTTATATTGAAACATACTTAGACCAGGTTTGATTATCTCTGAATTTTTGAGAGCGGTAAACTGGGTGGACGTTATATGGATTAACAAATGTGGATTTTAGGCTCTTTAAATATTATTTAGTTTATTATTATGTGTAATTGAATAGGAAGCAGAGCTAAATAACTTATTATTAAGCCTATGAAGCCATTAGCTTAGTATGAGCCTAGTCTTATCTTTTTGTGGTTAGCTGTAAATCTGGTGTGATGAGGAACGTTAGCATACTATTCGTTAGATTTTAAATTCTCGTCAAAGCCATTGCAGTAACTTTGCTTTTAAATTTCTGAATGTATCTTATTGATGTGATTTCTGTCTTAGAAATAGTTATCTCATAATTGCTTTATTCTTTGTCTTTAAGGAATTTTGGAATGGTGAGTTATTAGTCTCTTCTGTGTGTTCAGAACATCGGATAACTTAGTTTGAAAAATGATGTATTAGTTGAAGCTTCTCTATCTCCTTCAGCTGGGTATGCTTTATAAGATCCAGATAGTTGCTGGAGTTAAATTTGCCTAATAAGTCTTGTTTTTCTAAGGTAGTAAATAAATGTAGTACAAAATACAAGTACTAAATAAAATTTTTTGATCTACAATCTCTCATCTTTAAAATGCTTTTACTGATAAGAGATTGCTGTTGATTGAAAGTTTAATTCATTTTTTTTAAAAAATTGTCATGCAGACATGCATTAGTTTGAATCCTGAATTGCCTATTTTCTGTGCTAGAGGAAGGAGGAGATTTATGAATAAAATATATAGGTAAGACTTTTATATGACACTTTTGATTTTATTTACTCTATCAGACATTTTTGAGACATACCTTTTATTTGTATTTCTGTAATTTTGACAAAGTTCCAGACGAATCAAAGTGTAGGGACAATAGGAAAAAACAAGGAATCATTTTATGGAGGCTAAGAGTATTTAACATTAAAAATATATATGTAGGATAGTGATCTAATACCTTGTGAATTTGTATATTTTATAATTTGAATAAATTAATGATATTTAAGAAACAATACTGCATAATAGCTTCTGGACTATATTAAGAAATTCCTCTAGTTTACCCATGTCATTCTATGCAACTATACTAATCTCTGGTCATTGAAAGAATATATGCTTGGGAGGGATATGGAGGACAGGGATGACTCTTTATATAGTAGATGAAAAGTGAGCCATCTTGCCTATTTTTGCATAGTGAGTCTTTGGCTGGATTATTACCTATGACCAATGCATTGTCAATGTCTGCTGCTTCATGTTAATGCTTAAGTTCTTAGTACTTTTTGGCAGTTATTATTGGTTCAACAACTTTATTTTATTTGGAAATTTTTTTTAATGCAGGAAATGAAATGTTTTTATAATCAAATTGAACTAATGCTTATTTAAGGGGAAGATTATGACAATACAGGAAATTATCTGTATACAATTTAATACTTTTTCTCAAACCTTGAAGGTTAGGTGATTACAGACAGATTTTAAGAAGTCTCAAGTACACTTAAATTGGAGAGTTTTGAACATACATGGTGTTTTGCTGTATTTTAATGAAGCTTACCTTTATGTGGGAGTAGTAAAACCATTTGATTGTTTTATTCTTGTGAGTACTAAAGGTTACTTTCCTTAATTCTGACCCTAAACCATGCCAAGGAGTTGAACTTGATGCCAAAGTCAGTAAAATAATTGAAGAATCTTAAGGAATCTTGATTGTGAACTAAAACAAAAACAAACACAAAACACAGGAAGCAAACTTCCATGGCAATAATATAGGGGATACTCTTCATACACCTGTAATTTCTCATTAAAATTGATAGGTAATAGAAATTCAGTAAGTTCTGAAAACCTTTCTTGAAACTCTGATTTTCTTTAGAATATTTGAAGAATTTATTTTCAGTCATTCAGCCAGTATTTGAGCCAGCGTGTATAAAACACTGTGTTAGAACCCAATTATTGAGAGAAAATATTTGTAAATCATATATTGGATTAGGTGCTAATGTGCAAAATATACAAGGAACAAAATATACAAATACTCAATGAAACACCCCTATTTTTAAAATGAGTAAAGGACTTGAACAGGTATTTCTCAAAAGAAGACATAGAAAAGAAGACATAGATATAGAAAAAGAGGCTCAACATCTCTAATCATCAGAGAAATGCAAATTAATGCACATCACCTCACATTTCTTAGATTGGCCATTATCAGAAAGATGAAACAAGTGTTGATGAGGATGTGGAGAAAAGGGAGCTCTTATAAACTGTTGGTGGTATTGTAAATAGTACAGCTACATTGGAAGACATTATGGAGGTTCCTCAAAAAACTAAAAATAGAACTACCATACGATCCTGCAATCCCATTACTGGGAATATTCTCAAAGGAAATAAAATCACTATGAAAAAAGTCCCATCTTCTTTGTCCCATTATTCACAGTAGCCATGCAAACAACCTAAGTATTTATCTAAATGGATGAATGAATTTAAAACATATATTGTATGTATATATATATACACACACACACATATATACACATACACACACACACACACACACACACACACAGTAGAATACTATTCCACCTTAAAAAGACCCAGGAAGTTCTGTCATTTGCACCAACACAGATGAACCTAGATGACATTATGTTAAGTGAAATAAGACAGGCACAGAAAGACAGATATTGTATGATCTTGCTTACATGCGGAATCTAAAAAAGTTGAACTCATACAAGTAGAGCATAGTATGGTGGTTAACAGAGATTAGAGGTGGATGGGGAGAGGGGAGAAGTTGGTCAGTGAGTACAAAGTTATAGTTAGACAGGAAGAATCAATTCTGGTGTTCTGTTGTGCAACAAGGTGGTTATAATTAATAATAATAAATTGTATGTTTTAGAATAGCAAAAGAGAGGATTTTAAATGTTCTCAGAAGAAATATTTGAGGTGGTGGATATGCTATACTCTGATCATTTCACAATGTATGCAAGGATCAAAATATTTTATACCTCGTAAATATTCACAATTATTATGTCAATTAAAGATAAAAATTTAAAAAACACTGTTAGGCGCTGGGATATATTTGTGAATATGACAGACCCTAGAACCCTGTTCTCATGGTTATATATTCTTAGGAGGAAAAATAAGATATGTGAGTGAATTGATTATTCTCTTTAAATTTTGGTGTAAATAGACTTTTTGATTCCAATAATTTAAAATTATAAAACTGTTCCAAAAACTGTAGTAATTATGATTAATTAGTAGGCATTTCAGGATTTCTATAAAATATCCTTGGGTTCTTGATAAGAACTAAAATCATCAACAGAATGAAAGATAAAAATCATATCATCATTTCAGTTGATACTTAAAAAGTGATGTTGATGGCCAGGTGCAGTGGCTCATGCCTGTAACCCCAGCACTTTGGGAGGCCGAGGCTGGCGGATCACAAGGTCAAGAGATTGAGATCATCCTGGCCAACATGGTGAAACCTCGTCTGTACTAAAAATACAGAAGGCTGGGCATGGTGGCGCGTACCTGCATTCCCAGCTACTCGGGAGGCTGAGACAGGAGAATCACTTGAACCCGGGAGGCAGAGGTTGCAGTGAGCTGAGATTGCGCCACCGCACTCCAGCCTGGTGACAGAGCGAGACTCCATCTCAAAAAAAAAGAAAAGAAAAAAGAAGTGAGGTTGATGAAGTTCAATGTTCCTTCATGATAAAAACCTTCAATGAACTGGTTATAGAAGGAACACACTTCAACATAATAAAAGCCATATATGACAAACCTACAGTTAGTCATACTAAATGGTGAAAAAGTGAAACCTTTCCTCTTAGATCTGGAACTCAACAAGGATGCCCACTTTCACCAATGTTACTCAACGTAGTACTAAAAGTCCTAGCTAGAGCAGTCAGACAAGAGAAAGAAATAAAGAGCATCCAGATTGGAAAGGAAGAAGTCAAATTATCCCTGTTTACAGATGATGTGATCTTATATTTGGAAAAACCTATAGACTCCACCAAAAAACTATTAGAACGAAATGATACAGATTCAGTGAAGTTGCAGGATACAAAGTCAACATACAAAAAATCAGTAGCATGTTTATATGCCAGCAGTGAACGATGTGAAAAAGAATAAAAATATATTCTTATTTATAAAGCCACAAATAAAATTAAATACTTAGGAATTAACCAAAGAAGTGAAAGATATCTATAATGAAAACTATAAAGCACTGATGAAAGAAATTGAAGAAGACACAAAAAACTGGAAAGGTATGCCATGTTAATGATTGGAAGAATCAATATTGTTAAAATGTCCATACTACCCAAGCAATCTACAGATACATTGCAATCACTATCAAAACACCAATGACATTCTTCACAGAAATAGAAAAAAAAATCCTAAAATTTATATGGAATCACGAAAGACCCAGAAGAGCCAAAGCTGTCCTGAGCAAAAAGAACAAAAGTAGAGGAATCGTTATTACCTGATTTTACATTATACTATATAGCTATAGTAACCAAAACAGCATGGTACTGGCATAAAAACAGACACATGCCAATGGAACCGAATAGAGGACCCCGAAACAAATCCACACACCTACAGTGAACTCGTTTTTGACAAAGTTGCTAAGAACATAAATTGGGGAAAAGATATTCTCTTAAATAAATGGTGCTTGGAAAACTGGATATTTATGTTCTGAAGAATGAAACTTGATTCCTGCTGCAAAGATCACATCAAAGTGGATTAAAGACTTAAAGGCCTCAAACTGTGAAACTACTACAAGAAAACATTGGGGAAACTTGGGGCAAAAAATTTTTGAGTAATACCCCACAATCACAGGCAACCAAAGCAAAAATGAACAAAAGGTACCATATCAAGTTAAAAAGCTTCTGCACACCAAAGGAAACAATCAGCAAAGTGAAGAGACAACCCACAGAATTGGAGAAAATATTTGCAGACTACTCATCTGACAAGGGATTAATAACCAGAATATACGAGGAGCTTAGAAAATTCTATAGGAAAAAAAAAATCGAATAATCATTTAAAAATGGGTAAAAGATTAGACATTTCTCAAGACAAACATGGCAAACCAGTGTATATGGAAGTGTTCAACATCATTGATCATCAGAAATGCAAATCACAACTACAATGAAATATCATCTCACCTCAGTTAAAATGACTTTTATCCAAAAGTTTGGCAGTAACAAATGCTAGTGAAGATGTGGAGAAAAGGGAACCCTTGTATGGTGCTGGTGGGAATGTAATTTAGTACAACCACTATGGAGAATGGTTTGGAGGTTCCTCAAGAAATTAAAAATAATAGCATATTACGCAGCAATCCCACTGCTGGGTATATATCCAAAAGAAAGGAAACGTATACATGAAAGAGTTATCTGCATTCCCATGTTTGTTGCAGCACTGTTCACAATAGCCAAGATTTGGAAGTAACCTGTGTGTCCATCAACAGATGAATGAATTGAGAAAATGTGGTACACATACTCAATGGAGTACTATCAGCCATAAAATGAATAAGATTCTGTTATTTGCAACAACATGGATAGAACTGGAGGTTATTATGTTAAGTGAAATAAGCTAGGAACAGAAAGATAAACAACACATGTTTTCACTTATTTGTGGGATCTAAAAATCAATTGAACTCGTGAAGATAGAGAATAGAAAGATGGTTACCAGAAGCTGGGAAAGGGGTAGTACGGGGCTGGGGGGCAGGGGAGGTGGGAACGTTTAATGGATAAAAAAAAAAAATTAATTAAAATGAATAAGATCTAGTATTTGATAGCATAACAGGGTGACTATAGTCAATAATAATTTAATTGTACATTTAAAAATAACTTAAAAAGTATAATTGGGTTGTTTGTAACACAAAGGATAAATGCTTGAGGGGATGGATACCCACATTCTCCATGTTGTGATATTACATATTGCATGCCTGTACCAAAATATCTCTTGTACCTCATAAGTATATACACCTGCTGTATACCCAGAAACACTAAAAATTTAAAAAAATTAAAAAGATCTAAAATCACTGCTTGATGATGATGATAAAAGTTCATTTAAATTCTGAAATCTGAGGTGTGAAGAAGCCAAACTGCAGTGTTCATGAGTGTCAACCAAGACTCGTATTTGAAATGCAGATTTTTAAAATCTGATTGATTAGGTTTGAGGTAGATCTTAGAGATTCAAATGCAGGCCTGGGGTTTGGGAGTGGTAGAGATGCTACTTTAGAAAATATGGGAAGATTAAGTAATTGGTGATAAGTCTGTGTTACTGACATGTTTTTGAATAAATTCTTAAATCTGACATGCTTATTTTCCTTTTTATAAGAGAAAGTTCAAATATTCAACACAAACATTTTATAACTGCATATTTCATGTTTTGTGCAGGGTGGGGGTAAAGATTTTTAATTCTTTTACTCTACTCTGTAAAGTTACACATTCTTCTGTAATGTCTTTGAAATACCTCAGATAAAGTTTCTGGGCTTGAGAGGGCCGGAAAAGTTAAAAATCAAGTCTCTGTAAAGGAAACAAATTATTGGTATATACCAGCCATTCCCTGTTAATTCCATTTATATGCTGTGATTAGAGCCTTATGTTTATGGCTTTTTGTCCTTTCAGGTTAGAGTCATTTAGAGTCACATAGGAAACTCTTTTCCCCTTTAATTATTATAGATATACTTTGATTCTAGGAGGTCAGAAATGGGGGTACCTAGGGAAACCAAAGCTGCACATGGTAAAACTTGCTTAGGTATAAGGACAACTGTATACAAATGTAAAATTTCATGTGCTGTTATCATTTACCATTTCTGCTGTTCATGACATCTCTCCTACCGAAGTCCCATCATATTTTTCCCATTCACCACATCCCTGAACCTTTGAATTTTTAATTAATTGTTTTTGGAATGCTTCTTCTAAGTATTTCTGGAGTACTTCTGAGGTTATTTCAGATAATTGTTTTTTTAAACCCTGATGGATTGTATCAACTATATCATCTGATAATTTAAAATTTCTACTGTGTGAATTACAAATAAATTGTAATCTACTCCAACTTGTTGGAAAGTAGTAGTAGAATACAAACTAGTCAAATAAACCACGTTGTGTAATGAACTGAAACTTTAACTTATTTTGTTGGAGTCAAATCAGTCTTGTTGGTCTTATTCCTTTGAGCTTATTTTTGTCTATTTTTGACATTCTACCAACCGAAGTAGTTTACTTCCAAAAGTGATAAAGCAATAGACTCAGACCTGTTCCATCTTTTAGAAATTTTCCCTCATGCTTGCTTTTTATATCTGCTAGCAGTAAGTTTCTAAGGAAACTCCTCTTACAAAAAAAACTTTCAAATGAGCTGCTCTTTTGCTTTCCTTTTTCAGTTTCAGAATTATTATGTAATAAACATTTTAAAAGGCGGTATAAGTATTAGGTTCCATAGTCCCTGTATGCATTATGTAACTGTTACTTTTTGTAACCATGTACTAATTAAAAGAAGACAAGAGGTGCTGGGGAAGTTTTTTTCTGGAGTTCTGAAACACTGTGATAGCGTCTGTTGTTTGAAGAATAAATTACCCCTATGTCTTTCCTGTAGAAATCATAGATAAGTACTCTGTGGCCTAGTACTTCTGTTATTGAACTAACCTTGCATTCCTTAAGTAAACCTAAATTTGTATGATATATAAGTTTCCAAAATTTTTTTGGAAATCTTTTGGGTCAGAGTATAGTCATATTCCTTTCCTGCCTTCACCGATTTTGGAAAGGTAACAGAGTACATATGCCATGTATCGTATAAAACTGATGGAAGAATAAGAGGGACTTTCCCATCAAGCACATTAATATTTCAGCGTTAAAACATGATGTCAGATGTGTTCAGACCAGGTTTTTTATTTTTACCTTTAAATAGGTTGCAAAACAGCATTTGATTTTCAGAGTTTTGAATTTTAGGTCTTAAATCATCTTTTTGAGCCCAGATTTTTTTTTTTTTTTTTTGAGATGCAGTCTTGCTCTGTCGCCCAAGCTGGAGTGCAGTGGCGCGATCTCGGCTTACTTCAAGCCCCACCTCCCAGGTTCACACCATTCTCCTGCCTCAGCCTCCTGAGTAGCTGGGACTACAGGCGCCCGCCACCATGCCCGGCTAATTTTTTGTATTTTTAGTAGAGACGGGGTTTCACTGTGTTAGCCAGGATGGTCTCCATCTCCTGACCTCATGATCTGCCTGCCTTGGCCTCCTAAAGTGCTGGGATTACAGGCGTGACCAAACTTTTTTTTTTAAGGCCACACTATATTGCCAAAAATCTACATATTGCTAAAAAGCCATTGTCATCACTGACATTTATTTATACAAAATTTGTGTCCTTGAAATTCAGATACCATGAGAAGAGTTTAGTATTGTCTGTTTCTAAACAGGCAATGAGAGAAGATTTCATTTTAATTTTCAGTTGGATTTTGCATCAAAATCAGGAAATCTATTTTAGAAATACTGTCCTAGAGGAGAACTGCATTTATATGTCCAAGTTGCAACTGTCAAAGTAGTATTCCAGCTGTGGAATTGTGTCACTGCACTCCAGCCTGGGTGACAGAGTGAGATCGTACCTCTAAAAACATAAAAATAAAAAACGACATTTAAAGAAATGAAAATAATGTCTGGTACTTAGTAAGAACTCAATAAATGTTAGCTGCTGCTGTTATTGTTGTTGACAGATTAGTCGCATAGATTTTGGGTGATATATTTGACTACTTGTGTCAAATGTTAAAGGGTATGTGGAATAAAACAAGAAAAAACATGAAGAATGATTTCTAATATCTCTGGAGGTCTCTGCAAAATTGGGGCCACAACAATTTTGGTTGCTCAATAAATGGGATTTACTATTAATTTAAAATTAAATATTAAAAATATTAAATTATTAAAAATTTAGTATTTTCAGGTTACTTCTTGCTTAGTGTGTTTTCTTTTGGAGAAACTGGTTCAGTAACTATATGTAGAGTACTGGAAAGGAAAAAGTTTTATTTGTAGCCCCACTTGGTTTATTTATTAAATGTAGAAGTTTATTTTTCTCTCTTTTACGTTTATAGCAAAAAAAATCAATGATAATAGTCTAATTTTATGTGAGTACATGGCATTTTGGACTCTCTTTGATTCTCTTATTCATAATTCCATATTTATTGTCTATGTTTAGCCTAAAATGATCTCAGTGTGCTTTATTTTTGCTCATCGATTAAAAATTTCTCTTTATAATTTAATTAGCTAATGTATCCACTAATAATTTAAATTTAAACCATTCTTTTTCAATATAAAAGGCTAGTCTAAAATCAATATGCCTATTATCTTTCCAAGAGTGAACCATTGTTTTCTCTTGGCTACCTCTTCATTATGGTATACCTCATATGTGAAATTGACTTAATAATCTTCTTTCTAGTTAGGAAATACGTCTTTGCTTTTGAAGGAAAATAATCTAGGTGAAAATAGTTATACGGACATCTACTTGCATAGCAGAATTTCTTTGATACCTCAAATTAACAGCTGCATTGTTGTTACTTTTTTTAGCAAAGCTTCTCACTGTTACCAGCAAGAACATTAAGAACTGTTTCATTATCTTTTGATTAAAGTGTATTACTCCTGTATCAGTTTTAGTTACTACCCTGAAATTTTTTTCCCTTGACGTTTTTTGATGTCTTTATTAAGCTTTTTTTTTTTATTTTTTGGAGATAGAGTCTTGCCCTGTCACCCAGCACCCAGGCTGGAGTGCAGTGGTGTGATCTCGGCTCACTGCAACCTCCGCCTCCTGGGTTCAAGAGATTCTCCTGCCTCAGCCTCCCTAGTATCTGGGATTACACGCACTTGCCATGATGCCCAGCTCATTTTTGTATTTTTGTAGAGTTGGGGTTTCACCATGTTGGCCAGGCTGGTCTTGAACTCCTGACCTCAGGTGATCCGCCTGCCACAATTTCTTAAGCTAGTATAACTTTTATAATTTTATTGACATTTATTTGAAAAATATATGATTCTGTCTTATATTTATAGGTTACTGTTTTTCATTTTTCTCTTTAAAATATGTCTACAAAGTGGAGGCTAATCCAGGATTTTCCAGTTCTTAAGTTAGAGAACATAAGGTGCCTAGGTAGTTTATATAGCGTGGTCGTTCTTGTGGACTCTGGGACTTGACTGCTTGGGTTTGAATAATAACTCTGCTATTTCCCAGTGTTGTTATCTTGGGCCACATATATAATCTCTCAGTGCCTGAATTTTCTCACTTGAGAAATGAGAATGATAATAGTATTATCTACATTAGAGCTGTGAAGTTTAAATTATTTAGGTTAGTGCATAGTAAACCGTCAGTAAATGGTACTATTGATATTGTTACTGCCATCTAGTGACTGTGGATGAGTCAGGAGTTAAGTAGTAGTATAGCACCAGAGTCAAGAGGGACCCAGCCCTGTCAGTGCTTTCTAATATTCTTTTCTATATGTGTGTGTGTGTGTGTGTGTGTATGAATGTATAATGTATATATTAAGCAGAATTAATGGGTTTTATTATTCAAATTTTTCTATTGTAGCCTGCATTATACCTTTTTCTTAGTGAATAAAATTAAGACCTGGTAGAAAATAAGTTTCATATTGTGTAATCATTAATAAGATACTATTTTTAATTCTTAGTTTTATCTTCAACAAACTGATGAGTATTTTTTAACATATATTTGAAATGTAGAATTATATCACTGTATACACTGAGATATCAATATCATTCATTTTTTAGGCTTACAGTCACAGAATTCTGAATCATAAATCCATAAAAATGCATAGCTGGAAATGTTCTGTTCTATAGGCCTCTAAATATGCAACTACACAATTTTATTAGTGTTATACAAACACTAAGGGATTGAGTTTCATTAGTAGGAAGAACAGAGATTTTTAATGCATTGCATTGCCTCACTTTCAGTCCTCTTAGTCTCTGGATGGAGTAAACTGAAAATAGCATGCAATCTTGTCATACCAGTGTGTAACTCTATAGGAAAGGCAAGTAATGGTTACATTTTATCAGAATAAACTCATGACAAGAACATTTGAATTCTTTATATGGTTAAGTTCTTCAAAGGCTCTTTTATAATTGAGTTTTGCTATAGGAATTGTTAAGAAACAAGGTTTTTGTTTTTTGTGTGCTGCATTTTTTGGCACTCATCTAACTTTATTTCTTTATTTTTTCATTGATACGTAATATTTTGTACATGTTTATGAGGGTACTTGTGATATTTTTTACATGCATAGAATGTGTAATGATCAAGTCAGAGTATTTGGGGGTTATCCCATCACCTTGAGCATTTATCATTTCTTCTGGCTATTTTGTTTTTGTTTTTGTTTTTTTGTTTGTTTGTTTGTTTGTTTGAGACAGGGCCTCTCTCTTGCCCAGGCTGGAATGCAGCGATGCATAGCTCATTGCAGCCTTGACCATTTGAGATTAAGTGATCTTCCTACCTCACCCTCCTGAGTAGCTGGAACCCCAGGCGTCCACCACCACACACAGCTAATTATATGTAGAAAACGGAGTCTTACTATTTTGTCCGGGCTGGTCTTAAACTCCTAGGCTCCAGTGACCCTCCCACCTTGGCCTCCCAAAGTGCTAGGATTATAAGCATGAGCCACCATGCCTGGCCTCTTCTAGCTATTTTGAAATATAAATACATTGTTGTTAACTATAGTCACTGTAATCTTCTGTCAAACCTTAGAACTTCTTTCTTTCGTGTAATTTTATGTTTGTACCCATTAACTATGCCTTAAAAAAAAAAGACTGCTGTGTAGACAGATTCATATGATTTATTTTTGAAAATGTGAAGTTTTATGTTAACTAATTTTGTTAATAAAAGAAACTAAAGTTTATTGAATGTTTACCATATTTTGGCATCATACTGTGAACTTCACATGCATTATCTTATTTAAATCTCATACTTCTCTGATGTGTCTTCATCATTTAATAGATGGAGAAGCTAGAGCTCAAATAAGATTAATCACTTGCCCAGAGTCAGGTTATTCACTTCTATGGGTAAAATTCAAACTGTGTACTACTTAGAGTACCTCCCATGCTTTAACCTTTGAGGTTCTTTCAGTACTAAGTAATTAATCATTTTGTATGTTTACATATAGAACCATTCTAATTAGTAATCTCAATTGCTTAAATTTTATAGGGTAGAAAGAATATAAACTTTTTTGTTGGTTTTTTGTTTGTTTGTTTGTTTGTTTTTCGAGACAGAGTCTTGCTCTGTTGCCCAGGCTGGAGTGCAATGGTGTGATCTCAGCTCACTGCAACCTCCGTCTCACAAGTTCAAGTGATTCTCCTGCCTCAGCCTCCCAAGTAGCTAGGATTACAGGAGCTTGCCATCACACCCAGCTAATTTTTTTACTTTTAGTAGAGACAGGGTTTCACCATGTTGGTCAGGCTGGTCTCGAACTCCTGACCTCAGGTGATCCGCCCGCCTTGGCCTCCCAAAGTGCTGGGATTACAGGCGTGAGCGACCGTGCCTAGCCTAAGCATGTTTATAGTAGAAATAGAGAAGAAGAATTTACAAAAAGTAAATAATCGTTTATACGGTTGGTATGTATGTCATGTGATTTTCAGTTGTTGATAGTTTTTTATGTAAGGCTTATTTAAAGATGAGAGGGAGATAGGAATGATGAAATGGTAAGATAGAAATGCTAAGATAGAGGAAGTAAAAGATAGTCTACACTTCTGGAGGTTTTTTTAGGGTTAGATAGAATGAATAGAGGATATAACCAAATAAAAAGAACCAATGGAGAAAGCAGATTATGTTTGACCAGAGCAGAGGAAACTAGTATATTGGTTTTGGGTTACAAAGACAAGATTATTGTTATTTTACCATTTATTTTATTCTTTTGATAGTTCAGTTTTTCACATGAGGTTTGATTATAATATTTTGAAGCTGGGAGGGACTCTAGATGATATATAAATAGCTAGCCTACATCACCTCATTTTTACAGATGAGGAAACTTGAGTAATTGATTATAAGTTAATTGTCCAAGAACACATAGCTTTTTAATGGCATAGCAGGGTGTGTTAACCATAGATTTTGATTGCATGCTTGTGCTCTTTTCCCAATAGTGTAAATTTTCTTTTCCTTAAAGTTCTCCAAACCTTAACCTGTCTGAAAATGAAATATAAACAAGTAAATCTATATAGACATCTGCCTTGTGATTATCCCCTATTGACATTATTTCTTGGTTTATATGTTTGAGGTGGTGGGTTGAAGTGGTAAATTGCTTAAATATTTGCTGATATTTTATGGGTTGTCTATTTGATGTCTAATGATTGGCAATAAATATTTTCTTGGCTTAGAAATTAGAAATACTGGGCTTATATATGATATACTTTAGATTTACTTTTTCTGTTGTTAAAATAATGTAAATACTGAAATCACATTTTTTTCTCTTCATTTTGCAGTAGTATTATTGATTCCACAGAATACAGCCAACCTCCAGGTTTCAGTGGCAGTTCTCAGGTAAACGATATCTTTGTTTGCTTTAATGATACCATGAGTATAATTATCTGAGTTATAAAATCATAGATTAGTTTACTAAAATGTCCTGTCACAAAGACAACCATTTTGAATGCAGTGGTGTTGATTAGCACTTGAATAGCTCTTATGCATAATGGTAGAATCAAATATTAATATTTGCTTTTTCAATGATAAGAACTTAAATTTATTTTCTTCACCAAGTTGTGATGGAACAAATCTAAAGTGTTTTGCTTTGTTTTTGTTTTTGTTTTTTTGAGACACTCTGTCACGCAGGCTGGAATGCTGTAGCCTTGACCTCCTAGGCTCAAGCAATTCTCCTACCTCAGCCTGTCAAGTAGCTGGCCCTATGGAAGTGCACCACCATGCCCAGCTAATTTTTGTACTTACTGTAGATCTAGATGGATTTCACCGTGTTGTCCAGGCTGGTCTCAAACTCCTGGACTCAAGCGATCTGTCTGCCTCACCCTCCCACAGTGGTAGGATTACAGGTGAAAATCACTATCCCTGGCAGTTTTTTAAAACTTACTGTTAATTTCAGAACCTGAGAGGAAGGAAATACTTTAGGAAAAAAATTATGAATAATCAGAACATAGTTTATCTTAGAGATAATGAAAATTATAAATCTGTCATTGAATTACGCTTCATTACGTTGAAACTTAACAGCTTTTCCATGGAATAAAGACCACAGTCTTGAGTAAAATAGATAATCAGCTTGACTTCTTTGAATTAGTTGTATGAGTATTTTAACCTTTACTCTCTTCATCTTTGGCTTGGAGATACTGATATCTGTCAAGCTTATTTTTGAGGCCTAATAGGCTTTTTTCGACTTTTTATTTTTATATTTTATTTTATTTTATTTTTTTGAAACAGAATCTCACTGTCTCCAGGCTGGAGTGCAGTGGTACGATCTCGGCTCACTGCAACCTCCTCCTGGGTTCAAGTGATTCTCCTGCCTCAGCCTCCCAAGTAGTCGGGACTACAGGCACGCGCCACCACGCCCAGCTAATTTTTTTGTAGTTTTAGTAGAAACGGGGTTTCACCATGTTAGCCAGGAAGGTCTCCATCTCTTGACCTCGTGATCCTCCCCCCTTGACCTCTCCAAGTGCTGGCATTACAGGCGTGAGCCAGCGTGCTCAGCCATTTTTTATTTTTCTTTTTGAGACAGAGTCCCGCTCCTGCCCAGGCTGGAGTGCAGTGGTGTGATCTTGGCTCACTGCAACCTCTGCCTTCTGGGTTCAAGCGATTCTCCAGCCTCAGCCTCCCGAGTGGCTGGGACTACAAGCGTGTGCCACCGCGTCTGGGTAATTTTTGTATTTTTAGTAGAGATGGGGGTTTCACCATGTTGGCCAGGCTGGTCTCAAACTCCTGATCTCAGGTGATCTACCCACCTTGGCCTCCCAGAGTGCTGGGATTACAGGCGTGAGCCACCACTCCCGGCCACGTTTTTTAACTCTTTGTATTGAAATAAGTTTTGACTTAGAGAAAAATTACGAAAATACTAAAAAGAATTCCTTTATAGTTTACATCCAGATTGTCTAAGCACTTAACATTTTATCACATTTGTTTTATCATTCTCATTCAGCCTTTCTTTTACCTATATATGCGTATAATTTCTTTTCTGGATTGTTTGAGTAAGGTACCCACATATGTTTCTTTACCCTTAAATACTTCAGCATGTATTTCATTAGGAACAAGGATATTGTCTTATGTAATCACAATATAACTTTAAAATTCAAGCAGTTAATATTGATAAAGTATTATTTATAAATTCTAGATTTTCAGATTTTAAGAATTACCCTAATATAGCCTGGGCAACATGGTGAGACCCCGCCTCTACAAAAAACAAAAAAATTAGTTGGGTATGGTGGCATGTGCTTGTGGTTTCAGCTACTTGGGAGGCTAAGGTGGGAGGATACCTTGAACCCAGGAGGCCGTGGTTATAGTCAGCTGAGATCATGCCAGTGTACTCCAGCCTGGGTGACAGAGTGAGACCCTTTCCCCCCCACTCCCTCCCCCCGCAAAAAAAAGAATTACCCTAATATCCTTTATAGTAAAACAAAAAACAATGAGGTGTTTTTAATGAACATTTATTTGTATATTCACTTTATTTGAAAAAATAGTACACCTATTTTTATCTAAGTGAACAATAAATCCTTTTGGATTATATCACTTCTGTTTTTCTTTTTCTTGTCTCCAAACTTGGATGACTACCTTGTTACTTTTATGATTAGTTTATGTGACTACTCTGTACATCATCCTGTATTATATTCATGTACAATGCATGCATTTGGCCTATTCTTTTTTTGTAGTAAGTTTGTAGATTGGTTTGTATCTGTTTCTGAACGGTCATGAAAATACCAGATTCAAGTCTTTTTGTAAGACATAATGGAATACATTAGGAGAAAATTTAAAGCCTTAAATTGAAATATACCGTAGGAACTTGAGAGAGAATAGCAGTCCCTGTATCTGGAAACTGGCTTGGCATTTATAGCTAGCCATTTATGTTCTCCTTCTGAATATAATTTCACAGAACATCAACATCAGACAAGGCTACTCCCTGTGACTGATGAAGCGAAACAAAAAGCAAGATCACTCCATAAAGTTGTCTAGCCACGTTTAAAAAACAAGGTCACTGTGCAAACTATAAAAAAAAAAAAAAACCCTACCCTGACCAATGTGAATGGTTGCTGCTTCTTTACTGGTTAAAACTTTAGCCTCCCTGTAGTCTTCTGTGCTCCTAGATAAGATTTATCATTACATAAGTTACTGAATTATAGAATCATTCCCACTTGACAGTATCCAATCCACAGTGAAGCCCCACTTTCTTGAACTCTCCCACAAATTATTTAACAAGTGCCTTAATCCTTTAAGTTGTTTCTAACACTGTCTTACTGAGCCATCTCTCACTTATTCATATTTATTGCTGCTAGCAATAAATAAAATTTATTTAACTACAGGTGTTTTTTTAATTGGTCTTTGGCTGGAGGACTTTGACCAAACTTTATATAGGGGAACAAGAAAAGGTTTCCACAGTTACCATTTATATTAACACTACTTTGAAATTTCTAGCAAATCCTATGAGCTAGAAACCAGTAGAAACTGAATCTGAATACAGCCTTCAGAATGTGAGAAAATGTTGGCAGATTATCTATCCGACAAGGGATTAATAACCAGAATATATAATGGACTCAAACAGTTTGATTGCAACAAATAATAATCCAATTTAAAAATTGACAAAAACTCTAAATAGACATTTTCAAAAGAAGATATACAAGTGGTCAATAGGTATATGTAAAAATACTTATCACTAACCATCAGGGAAGTGGAAGTCAAAACCACAATGAGATATCATCTCACCATAGTTAGAATGGTATTATCAAGAAGATAGAAGTAACAAATGTTAGAAAGGACGTGGAGAAAGAGTGAATGCCCCTATACTGATGAGAATGTAAAGTCGTACAGCCATTATGAAAAAGAGTATGGAGGTTCCTCAGAAAACTAAAAATAGAACTGTCATATGTTCCAACAACCCCACTGCTGGCTATATATCCAAAAGAAAGGAAGAGATACCTGCACTCCCATGTTAATTGCAGCACTATTCACAATAGCCAATATTTGGAATCAACCTAAGTGTCCATCAGCAGATGAAAGGATAAAGAAAATGTGGTGTATATACACATTGGAATATTATTCAGCCGTAAAAAAGAATGAAATCCTGTCATTTGCAGCAACATGGATGGAACTGGAGGTCATTATATTAGGTGAAATGAGCCAGGAACTGAAAGACAAACAAACATCACATATTGTCATTCTTAAATGGGAGCCAAAAAAAAGTGGATCTCATGGAGGCAGAGAGTGGAATGGAGGTAGTAGGCAGAGAAGGGAAAGGCAAGGAGGGGGAATGGAGAGAACTTGCTTAATGGGTACAAAAATACAGTTAGATTAGGTGAATGAGTTGTAGCATTTGATAATACAGTAGGGAAATTATAGTTATTACTTTATTGTATATTTCAGAATAGCTAGAAGAGAAGAGTTGCAGTGTTTCCAACACAAATGATAAATGTTTGACATGATAGAAATACCAGTTACCCTAATTGATTATTACACATTGTATACGTCTATCAAAATATTACATGTACCCCCCACAGATATGCACAACCATGATATAGCAACTTTTCTAAAAAGAAATTGAATGGGTGCAGCACACCAACATGGCACATGTATATATACGTAACAAACCTGCACGTTGTGCACATGTACCCTAAAACTTAAAGTATAATAATAATAAAATTTAAAAAAAATGTAGATCCTTGAATCAAGATTTAAAAAAAAAACTTGAATCTGGAGGAAAAAGAAAAACAATCAGAATTTTTTTTTTTTTTGGAAATATTTTAGAGTAGCACTTACTTTTATGTGGTGAAGGAGACTTTTGGTTTGAGATAGTGCACTGAGACAGTACGTAAATATCTTCTCATCCCCTCCCACAAGAAATCCTATTGCTATATTGCTCTCCTCACACCCACAACTTAGAATAATTTATAGATGATTAAAAGAGAAAATACTTATGGAAGAAGAGCTGACTAATCTCTGATTCACTGTATGCATGGTACATGTGTGCTTAAGGATTAAATAACAGGTCTGCCAGGAGAATTCTTAGCATCTGTTAGAGCACTGGCTGGTTGTTGAGGAGGAAACCCTACTAGTGTTGAGATGGAGCTGACATGATACATTGCACTGAAGGCCTTACCCTTCATTTCTAGCTGTGCTCCAGATAATAGCTAGACCTAACATAAATGGAGACAAAAACAATTGAAATAGTGGATAGTCGAGTATAAGCCTGGCAAATGCAAACTAAAGAATACTGTAAAACTGAAAAAAACCCAAAAGTATGAACAAAATAGACAGTTTTTTTCGTATAAATAAAATGTATACTTTCCAAAAGTAGTAAAACTTAGTATCATTAAGGATTGGAATTTATGTAAAGCAAAATCTGTTAGAAATTAAATACTTAGGGGCTGGGTGTGGTGGCTCACGCCTGTAATCCCAGCACTTTGGGAGGCCAAGGCAGGTGGATCGCAAGGTCAAGAGATCGAAACCATCCTGGCCAACACGGTGAAACCCCGTCTCTACTAAAAATACAAAAAATTAGCTGAGCATGGTGGTGCGCACCTGTAGTCCCAGCTGCTCAGGAGGCTGAGGCAGGAGAATTGCTTGAACCCAGGAGGTAGTGGTTGCAGTGAGCCAAGATCATGCCATTGCACTCCAGCCTGGCAACAGAGCGAGACTCCATCTCACACACACACAAAAAATAAATAAAAATAAATTAAATAATTAGGTAGCATTTATTTTGCAGTTACTTTTCATAGACAGTGTTTGAACTATTCATATTTATTAACTAACTTTCAGAGCTACTCTGTGAGATAAATACTGTTATTATTATTATTTTTATTTTTTGAGACAAGGTCTCGCTCTGTTGTCCAGGCTGGAGTGCAGTGGCGCCATCTCAGCTTACTGCAACCTCCGCCTCCCGGGTTCAGGTGATTCTCCTGCCTCAGCCTCCCAAGTAGCTGGGGCTACTGGTACACACCACCACACCCAGCTAATTTTTGTATTTTTAGTAGAGACGGGGTTTCACCATGTTGGCCAGGATGGTCTCGATCCCTTGATCTCATGATCTGCATGCCTCAGCCTCCCAAAGTGCTGGGATTACAGGCATGAGCCACTGCGCCCTGCTGATAAATTCTATTACTATTTTTTATTGAGAAGGAAACTGATACACAGAGAAGTTATGGAGGTTGACTCAGATAATATAGCTAGTAAGAGGAGGGAGCTGAGATTTTAACCCAGACATTATGGCTTCAGAGTCTTTGCTTTTAAATACTCATTTATTCAACCAGCAGGTTTTTGGGGTTTTGTGGTTGTTGTCATCTTTTTTTGTTGTTTTGTTTTTTTGTTTTTTGTTTTAAACATACCTCATATTTACTAGGCTCTGAGGACACCTCACTGGACAAAAGCAAAACAGATAGTAATCCTTGCTATAATGAAGTTTCCAATCTAGTTGGTAAGATATTTATAGCAAAAGTATAGATGACTTTTGAATGACCAGGATATGAGGAAGCAGAGATATGTCTACGAATGTCCCTGGGAAAACTTCCTAGGCAGAGAACAAGAAGTAAATAATCCCTGAGGTGGAGAATGCCTTACATAGTTCAGAAGTCCAGTGTAGCTGGAGACAAGTGAACAAGGGAGATAAAAATAGAAGATGAGGTAAAAGAACTTAACAGAGGCTACATTTCATGTATGGCTTTCTTAGGCTGTTAGAAGGAGTTTAGATTTTTTGAGTGAAATGAGTTAAGCATGGCTTAATAGGTACTTGTCTCCCTATATACTTTGCATCAAAGGATATATGTTATTTATTGTAATCCTTGGAGAATTTCGAAAAATTGGTTGAATCTAAGACAAGATAAATAGTATCGTCTGCATTGTGTGAATTAGAGCCCCAAATAAACAGATAGAGACAGACAGGCAGTCTAGAAAAGAGTAAATGAAGACTCCTCTGAGTACCTGTGTGTTAAAAAATCAGTGCACTCAAAAAATACCGCTAGTGGAAACATTATTTATCAAAAATTTCTGGAATGTGGTCAGAATTGTACTAAACATTCATAGTCTTGAATGCTTTCATTTTTAGATAAGAATGAAAATAAATGAACTTATTATTTATCCAAGAGGCTACATTATCACTAGATGGTAAATATAGAAAGACCAAAAAAAAGCCCATATACAACATAAATTGAAATTAGCTATTATCATGATACTGAGTACATTAAAATAACTAAGACAGTGTTGATGCATACTAATAAAAATCACATTCTTAATGACATGTAATTTTAAAGAAGAATGTAAAATATTAAAATAGTTCAGATTAATTTTAGGACAATTGGGATAGACCAGTAACCATAATTACTAATTTAATTAGATTCCAATTTAAAAGAAATCCCAGTAGTTTTTTTTAAGGGTGTGTAGAATGTGGCCAATTAACATTGTAAAGTTCATTAGTACAATGAATTATTCAGAAGTTAATGATGAATTTACCTCATCAACTATTAAAATGTACTCTAAGACTGCTGTAACAAAAGAAGCAGAATAAAAATTTAAAATCTACCAAAAAGTAATTAATAGTCTGTGATAAAGGTGGTCATGTAGATCAGTGGTGAAAGGAGAGATTAAATGCATGGTGTTGGGACAAATGGGAAACTATTTGAAGGAAATTTAGCTTGTTTTCACTTACTGAAAGAGTTCAGTTCAGCTAAACAATAATTTAAACAGCAATAGAACTATAGAAATGAAGAAAGAAGTCTACCCTACATATAAGAAAGCACCACAAACAAAATTTAAACCCAAATTGAGAAAGGCGTCATAATTAGGGCAAGTAAATGGCTTAATTGCTTCAAAATATTAAAAATTTTGATAATTTTATTTATTTTATTATTTTTTTGAGACAGAGTCTCACTCTGTCGCCAGGCTGGAGTGCAGTGACGTGATCTCAGCTCACTGCAACCTCCACCTCCCGGGTTCAAGCGATTCTCCAGCCTCAGCCTCCCGAGTAGCTGAGACTGCAGGTGCGCACCACCGCGCCCAGCTAATTTTTATATTTTTAGTAGAGAAGGGGTTTCACCATGTTGGACAGGATGGTTTCGATCTCTTGACCTCGTGATCTGCCTGCCTCTGCCTCCCAAAGTGCTGGGATTAGAGGCATGAGCCACCGCTCCAGGCCAATTTTATCTTTTTAATGAAAGCTCCAAATAGAGTAAGAAAATGGTTCAGGACATCAATATTTTTAAAAGACAAAAATTCACACATTCAGCTCACATGAAATAATACTCAATTTTTGCAAATAAATAAAAGCAAAATATAGAATAATACTAGATACCAAAGAAATCATCTGATAGTTATGGCTAAAATCAAAGGGATGTTCCAAAATGGAATTACTATTACTTGCAATGAGTGTATGTGCTCAACCATGTGCATATTGGGGAAGGGTAGGTGGAGGAAGGGAGAGTGGTAGTTGAGTTGATAGTCGTCCAGGAAGATAATTTGGCAGTATATACATGTGATCAATGCTAAAATAGTTTGATTTGGTAATTATACACAAATTTATTTCAAGGAATGATTCTAAGTACTATGTAAAGATTGTATACTGGTATTAATCATATGTGCAAAAATTCTGGAAAAATAAACATGCCCAGCCATAATAGAATAGTTACAGAAATAGTGCTACAACTATAGGATGGATTACTTTACTGCTCTTAAAAATAATATTTAGTAGTTGAATTGAAAAAAATGCTAACAATATAAGTGAAGCCAGAAATGTATGAACTTTATAGAGTTATATTTCTGAACTTTTGTAATTGCCTATTGATTTTGCTTTAGAATTTTTATATAACCATAGTACAATTAGCAAAATTAAAAAATTGATGTATCTCAGAAAACCTAAAATTTTTACTTTTTAATTTTTTACAAATTAAATTTCAGCAGTGTATTCACTAATGTCCTTTATAGAAAAAAAAAAAAATCTGGTCCAGGACCAATTCTGAATGACTTGTTGCATTTATTTGTCATGTCTCTTTAATCTCCTCTAAATTGGTACAGTTCTTCAGTTTATGACATCAACATTCTTGAAGAGTGTAAGTTATTTATAGGATTTCCCTCAGTTTGAATTTGTCTTGTGTTTCCTTATGCTTAAGATTCAGATTATCTATTTTCGTCAGGAATACTATAGTAGTCCTATTTTGTCCTCCTTAGTTTGTCATATCTGGAGGCATATGGTATCTATTTGTCTCAGTGCTGGTGATGTTAACTTTGATCACTCGATTAAAATGGTGGCTGCCAGATTTCACTGCTGTAAAGTTTCTTCCCTTTGAGCATCTATCATTGTATCTTACTTATAATAATAATTGTTAATGTGTTAGTTGTCCAAATGATGATTTTCTGAGTTTTTATATCTTCCACATTTATTAGTTAGTCCTTCTCTTTGTATGTTTATATTGTTGTGGAATCCTGGGTCATTAATATATATATTCTGTTACTAATTTTGAAACTCAAATCATCTTGTATTTGGCTAGTTGGAGCTCCTTCATACTGACTTCTGTATCCTTTTGACATATTTCTATCATTCTTTATAAGTACTTTCTTAGACAATAATGTTCCAGCTTCATTCCGTACTGACCTTGCTCCAGTCCTGGAATAGTCTTGTATCCAAGAAACCTCTTTTCTTTTAGTGGAGAAATATATTTTAAAACCAAAAATCTTAAGTATGCTCATTGTTCTTGGAGTATCATTGCTTGCAAGCTTTCTCAGTGGACAGAGCTAGGAAATATATGTATTCATATGTATTAATATACATTGTTATATATTTATATCCATAATATATATGCATTAATTACATATTAATCACTGTGTTTGATTACTGAAGGACTCCCAGGAATCAAACCATTTATATTTCTGGAACAGTGTGATTACAGGCAATGGATATACAGAACAGCCCAGCAGCAGTAGTGTATTTATTGAAAGGGATCCAGAGAATTCAGTCACAATATTCTTTGTCCTTCCACTGCTAGGTTGCACCGGAATTGCTTTGTCACCAGATTTAGAATCACTACTGGCTTGGGTTTGAAGCACCTGAATGCCAGGAGATCCAAAGTCAGCTTTTGGTTGGAGTCTCTAATTGTGAGCTAGTCATGTAACCACTCAATGGATTCACCTTGCCTGCTGCCTAGACAGAGTCAATTTATCAAGACAGAGGAATTGCGATAAAGTAATTCATGCAGAGCCGCTGTGCTGTTACTCAAATCAGTCTCCCCGAGCATTTGGGGATAAGAATTTTTAAGGACAACTTGGTGGGTTGGGGGAAGCCAATGAGCCAGGAGTGCCTGATTGGTTAGGTAGGAGATGAAATAATAGGGAATTGAAGCTGTCCTCTTGCACTGGGTCAATTGCTGGGTGGGGGCATAATATCAGATGGGCCAGTTAATCAATCTGGGTGTTGCCAGCTGATCTGTCAAGTGCAGGGTCTGCAAAATATCTCAAGCACTGATCTTAAGAGCAGTTTAGGGAAGGTCAGAATCTTGTAGCCTCCAGCTGCCTAACTTATAAACTTATAAACTATAATTTCTGATCTTGTGGCCAGTGTTAGTTGTCTAGTTGCCAGGCAAGAAGGAGGTTTGTTTTGGGGAAAGGGCTGTTATGGTCTTTGTTTTAAGCTGTAACCTGTAAATTGGCTGGGCACAGTGGCCCACACCTGTAATCCCAGCACTTTGGGAGGTCAAGGTGGATGGACCACCTGAGGTCAGAAGTTCAAGACCAGCCTGGCCGACATGGAGAAACCTCGTCTCTACAAAAAATACAAAAATTAGCAGGGTGTGGTGATGTATGCCTGTAATCCCAGCTACTCAGGATGCTGAGGCAGAAGAATCACTTGAACCCATGAGGAAGGAGCTGCAGTGAGCTGAGCACACGCCACCACAGTCCAGCCTGGGCAGCAGAGCGAGACTCTGTCTCAAAAAAACAAAACAAAACAAAAAACAAAACAAACCTGTAAACTAAGTTCCTCCCAAAGTTAGTTAAGCCTGTGCCCAGTAATGAACAAGGACAGCTTGGAGGTTAGAAGTAAGATGGAGTCAGTTAGGTTAGATCTCTTTCACTGTCTTAGTCATAATTTTGCAAAGGTGGTTTCAGTCACTTAGATGCATACATTTTGGTTATGTGACCAGCTTTAATAGATACTACTGAAATCAGGTGCAAATCATGAAAATCATGAATTCAATTATTATTACTAAACAATGCTGACCAACTGATGTGTTTTGCGCCAAAACAACTCCCTGACTCATGATTACAGAAAATTATTTATCTTTAGTTAATATATTCTATAGCATAGGCAAGGGTCAGTGGTCAGTCCATACAAGCTGAGGTCAATCCATGCTATTCTACCATGTTTAGGGTTCATTCTGGCATTTGTCCTTTCTATATTTATAATTTCCTTTTCTGATGGAAACCTAGCTGTCACGATCAAAATACACTTACTTATTTGCATGGTCTTAGAATATATATACAAAAGTTAGCATGAAAATTGCTGAGAAAACCAATGTAACTAGAGATATTTCTTTGAAATTCCGTTTGTCTTTAGCCTGAGAATATATACTGAAAATATAGTATATTCAAAGGTTATTTGGATTTGTTTAATTTTCTTCAATTTTCGTTGTGATATTTCTTTGAAATACAGTTAGGTTCATTTACTTCTATTTGTATTTCACCCCACTTTCCATCCTTATTATATATATCCTTTTTGAATATGTAAAATATTACCCTGATTCTAAAAATCAGAGCTGTATAAAAAGTTATAATCAATAACGGCTACCCTTTCAGCTTTTCTACCAATTTCCCTACCTCCATCTTTTCTACTCCATTTCTACTTACCTTCTTTAGGTCACCAATTTTATTAGTCAGATTTACAGATACATATGCACATTTTCTTATTTTTACTCTCTTTCACAAAGGGTAGCTTTCTAGTAATTTTTTTTCTGTACTTTATTTAACAATTTATGAGGAAGGTAACTCTATGGAAGTTCATAGAAGTCCTCCTCATTCTTTTTTACAGCTGCATGAAACTTGTCATGTGGTTGTACTGTAATTTACTTAATCACTTTGTTATATAATGACAAGTACGCAGTTTCCATTATTTTGAAATTACAGCCAGTAGAGAGTGACTAATTTGTGCCTATGTATTTTCATATTATTGGAGGTGTACTTTCAGTGTAAATACCTAGAAGTGGGATTGCTGGGTCAAAGGTATGAATGGATAGTACCAAATAAACCACCCTCCAAAAGCAGTTTGTGTCTTCACCAACAACATGTAAATATGTCTGTTTTCCCCACAGCACCTCTAACAGAATGACTTTGAAAAGTTTCATAGTTTTTAATTTTTGCCAATATATTAGGTGAGAAATATATCTCAGAATAGTTTTGTGTTTCTTTAATTATAAATGAGATTGACTATGTTTTCATATGTTTACTGGTTTACTAATATACTTATTAGTGAGTAGTATACTCATATCTTTAGCTGACAGACCCTTTTCTTCTATTAGGTGCTTGACTTTTTGGGTTCAATTTATAAGACTTTGTTATATTAGGAATACTAGTCTGTTACCTATGACCTGTGTTGCCTATATTTTCTTCCTATTTTATTTTTTTACCATTCAAAAGTTTTTAGTTAAAATTATCAATTTTTAAAAATTACATCTAGATCTTTGAATCACAGTTAAAAGCTTCTCCCTACAACCAGGATGTAGAGAAACCCCTTGTTTCTTAAAATACTTGTCTCATCTTTATTTTTTTACATTTAAATTCTCAATCTATTTGGAGTTTATTTTAGTGTATGTTTTGAAATGTGGATTTAATTTCATCCATCCAAATGACTAGCTATGTGCCCCCAGCCCTATTTTAAAAAGTTTATCCATCTGCTGGTCTGTTTCTGTTTCTGTATTGTTATCATTCCTTTATTGTAGACGCTTTATGATATGTTTTAATGTCTGATACTTCTCTTCTTCCCCTATCTTAGCTTCTCTTTTTCATTGTTTTAGAGAATATTTCTTCCTGTTTGTTTTTTCATAGGAACTTTAGTATCAGTTTATCTAGCTCCCTAAAAAAGCTTCTTGGTATTTTTTATTGGAACTGCCTTTATCTTACCAATTATCTCAGGGAGAATTGACATCTTTATGATACTGATTTTAACTCTAGGTTTTGCCTATATTTTTCATAAGTTTATTTCTAAGCATTTTTTAAAGCTGAAAATTTGTTTTTAAAAATTTGAAATTAAACTTTTAATTTTGAGATATTAATAATTATAGATTTACATGCAGTTATAAGAAATACAGATTTAGCATCTGAAATCTAAAAATCCAGAATTTGTAATGTTCCAAGATTTGAAACTTTTTGAGCTGTGATATGGTGCTCAAAAGAAATGCTAATTGGAGCATTTTGGACTTTGGATTTTCAGATTAGGGGTGCTCAGTTGGTAAGTACAATGCAAATATTCCAAGGTAGGGAAGAGGATGGTTTGCAGAGCTTCCATGCCCTCTCTGGGCATGCATGCTCTCCTGATCATCCTAGACCTCAGTGTGTTCACCAACCTGGAAACTCATTCAATCTTATTGTTTAGGAGCTTTATAGAGTTTTATAGAGCTTAATCTCCAGGCCTCACCCGCTTCCTGGAGGTTGGTGTGTGTGCAAAAGTTCCAACTAATTACTTGGTGATCTTTTGACCAGCCTTATCCTAAGGCTTTGTGGGTGTCTCACCCTAAGTCACTTCACTAAATTCAGGTATGATCAAAAGGAACTTGCTGTGAATAACAAAAGATGCTGATATCACTCAGGAAACTCCAAGGATTTTAGGAACTGTGTGTGAGGAACTGTAACACCCTAATGGGTTCCCCTTCCCCCACTGCCTAGACAGAGCTGATTTATCAAGACACTGGAATTGCAATAGAGAAAGAGTAATTCATGCAGAGCCAGCTATGCTTGAGCCCAGAGTTTTATTACTCAAATCAGTCTCCCCAAGCATTTGGGGATCAGAGATTTTTAGGATAATTTGGTGGGTGGGGGAAGTCCAGTGAGTCAAGAGTGCTGATTAGTTGGGTCAGAGATGAAATCATGGGGAATTGAAGCTGTCCTCTTGCACTGAGTCAATTCCTGGGCCAGGGCCACAAGATCAGATGAGCCAGTTAATCTATCTGGGTGGTGTCAGCTGATCCATCAAGTGCAGGGTCTGCAAAATATCTCAAGCACTGATCTTAGGAACAGTTTAAGGAGGGTCAGAATCTTGTGGCCTCCAGCTGCATGCCTCCTAAACCTTAATTTCTAATCTTGTGGCTAATTTGTTAGTCTTACAAAGACAGTCTAGTCCCCAGGCAAGAAGGAGGTTTGTTTTGGGAAAGGAAAGGGCTGTTTTCATGTTTTTTAAGCTGTAAAGTAAGTTCTTCTCAAAGTCAGTTCAGTCTATGCCCAGGAATGAAAAAGGACAGCTTGGAGGTTAGAAGCAAGATGGTTTGTTTAGGTCAGATCTCTTTCACTGTCTTAGCTGTAATTTTGCAGTGGCAGTTTCAGAACTTTGGACAGAGACCAAGTATATTTCTTAGACCACATTTCCTTTTCATGTGTGTAGTGATATTGTTGCAAAACTTTCTCCTTAGTTCAGCTAAAACTGGGCTCTTGTCACACGAATGGGAAAGATTAGGCTTGCAGGCACGTACAAGGGTGAGGAAAACGTAATTTATTGGGCGAAAAGGAAAAAGGGAAAAATAACTCTCAGCAAAGTGAGACAGAATCCTGCTAGCAGGTTTCTTGCCTCACAGATTGAATCCCAGGTCACCACCCAGGGACAAGAGAGACCAGGCTCCTCCCCGCTGCAAATGGCACAAACTTCCTGAGGCCCCACCCCATCCTCTCAGTGTGCAGATGGGTATTATTCAGAAAGAATCAGCTGGGAAAGGGCAGGCTTCATCCAGGATGGGCAGTCTGGTTTTTCAGCCTTCAGACTGTTTTAGGCTTGAAGGAGGGGTTTTGCCTGGGGACACTTGGCTTCCTCCTGTCTCTATCATTTTCTCCTCTAAAGAAGTATATATCTAACTGCCATAAGGATAAGGAGGAAGATTAATCTTAACTGCTTCCTGCTGACAGGGTGTGCTGTTTTGGGAAAATGGCAGTCAGATCTCCCTGAGAGGCCTGTCTAAGGGTCCCATCAAAAGGGGCCATCATCTGAGGCTTCGGTTGCATGACCATTTGGAGTGTGATGGCCTGAAGGCAAGAAGAGACAACTGGGTTATTAGAAAACATGTATCAAAACAAAATAAGTGGGGAGGGTGTGAGGACAGCTAAAAAATCTCGAGACCTTTTACTAGTTAGTGCAGGGAGATGGGGGCAGAAGCCCGACTAGTAAAACAAACTTTTACCCTTTGCTGGCATGTTGGGCTTCTGGGTTCCCTTCCCCTGAGCCCAATCCTAAGCCAACCAATTTAAGGTTTGGGAAATTAACTTTTCCCAGTTTGGAAGATGCATCCAAGGGGAGTGTCCCATAGTACAAAGACACGATTACTTATCAGTGAAGAGAGGACAGAGGAGGAGAAAGGAAAAAGAAAGCCTTTTTTTTTCCAAAGGAGTCCTGGGATTCAGGATGCATTCAAAAGGGTTACAGAGTGAAGATGAATGGCTGCTTATCTAGAAAGAGAGGAGCACGGTGCCCCAGGTTCCCTTCTCTTCCTAGCAAATACCTGGAGTATTTGAGGGAGGGAAAGTGAGGTGTTCCTCTTTCTTTCCTCTGTCCTTGGATCCCGAGTCCCACCAGCCACGATAGGGTGCCACCCATGGGTGTCAAAGCAGCTTTCACTGATGTTGATGGTGGGGGGCATGCTACAGGGTGGGAGTATTCACTCTTACCCATGTACACCTTATGTCCCCTGCTGTCAGTAGCCTTTGAATTCCCTAGACCTTATTTATGCCATGGATAGTAGCGTGACCTTTATCTATGCAATGGGAAGCTTGGCTTAGTAAGAATCAGTCACACTAACCTATGCTGTGCCTTTTAACTTCTGTTATCATCTGCCTCTGGATCCATCAGATCCGGTTTTCTTTCCTAGGGCTTTGACCCAAAGCTTGGAATTGAGTTTGAGACAAAAATGTGTCTTGGGGGGTGGGGGTGTTGCACGGACTCCTTTTCTTAAGCTGAATGCTATGGTGAAGCTGTGGAATTGAGTCCTGCTCCAACAAGGGAGAAAAGGATATCTTGTGACACCCCAGATAACTGGTGGATATAGTTATGCCTGCTAAGATTTGGGTGCATAGTTCTTGTCTTTGGTTAGCTCCCTTGTTCTTAGTTTTCCAAAAAGGAAACCTCCGAGTGACGGGCATTCTGTTTATTCCCATCACCCGGCAGGATAATTGCTCAGAACTATAATATTGATCCAGATTTCTACATTACCCATCCCTTTTGTTTTTTTCTGAGCTGCAGCTGGAAACTACTGTTTGGTTCACAGGAACAAGCAGGGTTAGTCTAAAATGTAGGCAAACACTTAAAAATAACAAAGGAATGTAGAATTTAATGACAAATATATGATAAGTCTTGAAATATAATTTATCTCTCTCCAGTCTTTTTTTTTTTTTTTTTTTTTGAGACAAAGTCTCGCTCTTGTCCCCAGGCTGGAGTGCAATGGCGCTATCTTGGCTCACTGCAACCTCCACCTCCCAGGTACAAGCGATTCTCCTGCCTCACCCTCCCAAGTAGCTGGGATTACCGGCGCCTGCCTCCACACCTGGTAAGTTTTGTATTTTTAGTAAAGACGGGGTTTCACCATGTTGGCCAGGCTGGTCTCGAACTCCTGACCTCAGGTGATACACCTGCCTCGGCCTCCCAAAGTGCTAGGATTACAGGCGTGAGCCACCGCACCCTGCCAGTCCTTATTTTTGTTAAAAAACAAATCATGATAGGATTGAATTGTTTGCAAAATAGACCTTAGTCTTATACTTGGCCTGATTATTTGTTTAAAGTGCAGCAAGATTAATTATTTTTACATAGGCCTTTTAGATTGGCTTGGACGGAACTCTTCCACAAGAAATCCCAGATAAGACCTTTTAAAGCCAAGCCCAGCCATCAGTTTGTATCCTCAAATGCCTGTGAGTTGGGTGATCCTGCTCTCTTAACGTCTCAAAATAAACTTGGAGCTCTGGGCCTGTAGAAGGTGACATTCTTTACTTATCACAGGTCAGGAACCCTCTACAGCAGCTGTGTAGACAAGGGTATGAGGCCATTTTTCCCAAGGGGCTTTTATTGGCTCTGCAAGTCGAGCTTGACTCCTTAAAGGGAAGCATACCCTTCAAGTTAAGCCTTGGTAAAACAACATTTCTCCAGTTGCATCCAGTTGCAAAAGAAAATGGATTCTTATTGCACTGATGTAAACAACTATATTGCCATAAGTTAAGAACACTTACAACTAGTTTCCAAATTCTGGAGAAGCCAGGGAGAGAGAGAGAGAGAGAGAGAGAGAGAGAGAGAGACAAATATGCTCCAAATTTTTTTCACAGGAGTGTGCCATACTCATTTATTAAAGACTGTAAATAGTTCAAAATAAGTTTCCTTGACTATGAAAAAACAAAACAAGGATCAGCAATATTCCAAGCAAAAGTTAAAAAGATTACCTCAGTTTTTGGTGAGTTCAGTTCATTTAGTTAACTCTTATTTTGCTTGATATTCATCAACATTTTAGTTCTTCATGAGTCCTGCACGTTTTTCCTGTATTGTAATGTTACAATCTCCAAAGTTATTAGAAACCTGTATTTGAGAGTACCTGTTAGAGTCCTATAGCTTGTTATAAGCCATTTTTTGAAAAGGATCAAAACAAGACAGCAATTGTCTGTGAATAACAAAATGTCCAGGGTAGTTACAGTTAGAAGCACAATTGACAAAGTAGTTTGATTATCTCTGTGGTTTACAATAACTTAACATAACAACCTTAATTATGATGGATAGCATATACTTTAGACATTAGAATTTTTGGAATCCCATACAGTTTTGAAACATATATTAGTAGTAGTCACCAAAATATAACCTAAAGAAGATTGAACACCATTTTGGCAATCTCATGTAAGTAAACGTGTTCTGTTTACCCCTCATTTGGATACTCCAGGGACTCTCTGCAGCATCCAAAAGCTAGGCATCAGGAAAGACAATTTTGAAACTGAAGTTTGATTTTGGGAAGCCTGTTAAATATGTTAGAGGTTTAAAACACTTGATGTTATGAAATAGAATTCCAAATTATTCCAGGTAAGTTATTTATTTTGCCAAAATGATGACTCAGAAATTTGAAAAACAAAAATCTTTTATAACCCTTTACAAATTTTCCTAAAGAGCAGATTAGTTCCTTAAGAGTACGTTTTTCTGCTTTTATTTCAATGCTTAGTTTACAGAAAAACCATATAATGCCTTTTTGAAGTTAGTCAATATGTTAACACAGAGAATTTATTTTGGAAGATTAATTTTTACAATCCTTCCATCACTTGTTTGAACTTTTAGCTTTTTTTGTTTGTTTGTTTTTTGAGATGGAGTCTCGCTCTGTTAAACTTTTAGCTTTATCTTATCTAATTCAGAACAATCCTTAGACCCTAGGCAAAAATTTACATTTCCACACCTTCTTATAATCTTTTATTAAAAACACATCATAACACACCTCACATGTAAATCTATTTCCAATAGTTTCAATTACATATTATAATGGTAACTCTTAGCAATTTTACCTTTAAAACCTGGTAAATTGTTTTAATTATTTGCTTGGTGCAGCCAAGGTTTGACTTCTTCCAGCATAATTAAGGGCATGGTTAGTTCCTTATGTCGCCAGGTTTTACCAAATGTGGAGCCATCAAGTTAGATCGTTCTCAAAAACCAAAAAAGGCAGGTTATAACCTTAAAACATTTAGCAAACCTAATATCTGACCTATATAATTTAGTTTACCTATTTACATTTTGATGACATCTGTATTTTACCAATAATCTTTAAGGCTGTTTTTTATTTCTTAAAGATTAAAGTCACGTGAACTGAAAGGCACTACAGCTTTTATTTTCCTTTTAAAAAACATTTGATCAAAGTGTTTATCTTCCTTTAGGCCAATTAATTAGAGCTTTTTTTTTTTTTTTTTTTGAGATGGAGTTTCACTCTGTTGCCCAGGCTGGAGTGCAGTGGCATGATCTCGACTCACT
The DNA here is from genome assembly GCF_000001405.40 of Homo sapiens. NCBI lineage: Eukaryota > Metazoa > Chordata > Mammalia > Primates > Hominidae > Homo > Homo sapiens. The sequence goes on along the minus strand of NC_000001.11, from coordinate 176,097,809 downwards.
GCAACCTCCGCTTCCCATGTTCAAGCGATTGTCCCGCCTCAGCCTCCCTTGTAGCTGGAATTACAGGCATGTCCCACCACACCTAGCTAGTTTTTGTATTTTTAGTAGAGATGGGGTTTCACCATGCTGGCCAGGCTGGTCTTGAACTCCTGACCTCAGGTGATCCACCTGCCTCAGCTTCCCAAAGTGCTAGGATTACAGGCTTGAGCTGCTGCACCCAGCCAGTCTATAAAAAAAGCTCTATAAAAAAAAGAGCTTTTTTATAGACATCACACACACAACACATATATATGTACACAGATAGACAGAAGAAAACCCAATTGCCATAAGATCTTTCATTTGCCAGTCTCCTAATTGAATTAATGGTCTCCAGGTGGAGCCTTTAAGAGACAGGGCTAGGAAAACATTCAGCTTCTAAGGCCTAACAAACAGGCATAAATGAGGCAAAAACAGATTTTGAGAGGGATCTATTTGCTTTTAATTACTGGTGTTCCATGAGGAAAACAGAGGTCTCTTCCTTCTCATGTGTGCATTGAGAGTGGCAAGGAAAAATGGAGAAAAATAATTCAGTCGTTTTTTTTTCAACAAAACAAGGTCCTAGAAGAGAAAAACATAAAGACCTTTTACCTATGCCTACAACTTGGATATCTACTTTTAATTAAGCTGAGTGTTCTTTAAGAAAATCCTTTTAAATCCCCTATTACCTGACTTTAGCCATCCCAAGTGGCCAATATTTCTGGCTTTCAAACTTTACTAAAGGCTCAAAGAAAGTAAAATCCAAGGCATTTCGTGGAGGGGAAGAGAATCAACAAATAGCAAAGGTTGCACAGGTATCAAACCAAAAAGGACTCATTCCCTAAGCCAGGATCGAACCCCGGGCCACAAATGTAAAATGGCAGAGGCTAGAACAAAACATTGTCATGTGGTTACAGGTCTGGCTCTGAAGGACGTAAAACAAGATGGAGGCCTGCAGCAAAGTTTGCTACTTACCATACAGAAAGTTATGTAAAGCAGACCAGATTGGCTACAGCTTAAGACCAATATAAATCCTTTTTCATAGTTAAAACTTTACAGAGAATATAAACAGTGATAGTTGGGGTCTTGGCCTTGTAAAACATTTTCTAAAAAGGAAAAAAAAAATCCTCTCACGTAAAAGTTAACTGCTAATAGGTAGAGAAAAAACAGTTCATAGTGTAAGGGTAACCCTGGGAGAAGAACCTCTTATTCTTATACAAATGGGTTCCTTTCCCCCTGGCTCAGACCAATGGTAGTCTGGCCAGTCAACCATGCAGGGCCCAGGCCCCTGAGGCCGCCTTGGGGCCTGGACAGTGGCTGTGGCTCATTCCCGCCCTGTGTGGTCGTTGGACACTGCACTCATGTGGCAGACATGGCCATGCACCCAAACCAGGAGGTAAGGGGAGTGGGGAGCTGCCATTCGCCCAACCATCCTGAGCCTGAGCCTGTGGCCATTTAAGTGGGTGTGGACCACCTCCAGTATTATAAAAGAAAAGATAGGTGCTGTTACTGTCCTGAAAAAAAAAGAAGAGGCATGCCATAGGACCAAAAGGCTCAGAAGCGAAAGTGAGAGGTTTTGGGTTCACATTTTACTCACCCTTCCTTTGGCCTCACATTGGGCAGCAAAAATGCTGCAGAACTCTCTCCTTAGTTCAGCTAAAACCAGGCTCTTGTCACACAACTAGGAAAGATTAGGCTTGTGGACACCTAGAAGGATGAGGAAAGTGGAATTTATTGGGTAAAAAGGAAAAATAACGCTCAGCAAAGCAAGAGAGAGTCCTGCTAGCAGATAAAGTACAGTGCATACTTCTCATTTTGTCACAGAATAGTAAAAAGGTATACATGCAAAGGCCTGGATTTAATGCAGGATTTAATTTGTGTGACCTTGTTAAGGGCATCCTTAAGTGAACTGATTCTTAACAGATTTTTATATGTTTTTTTAAAAAAAATTATGAATAGTAATGAAGAACAGTGTCTACCAGTCGGATTTGGTGCTGTTGCCTTTATTTGTGCTAAGAGACCAGCAGTCTTATACTGATCTTTGCTTTTGTATCACAAGTACAAACATAAGCACAAGGAAAATTGCAAAGAACATCTTTTTTTTTTTTTTTTTTCTGAGACAGGGTCTTGCCCTCTCACCCAGGCGGGAGTGCTGTGGCAGGATCTCAGCTCACTGCAACTACCTCCTGGGCTCAAGCCATCCTCTTACCTCAGCCTCCCCAATAGCTGGGACTGCAGGTGTATGCCACCATGCCCAGCTTATTTTTTTTTGTGTTTTATAGAAACAGGGTTTTGCCATGCTGCGCAGGCTGGTCTGGATCCGGACTCAAGCAATCTGCCTGCCTTGGCCTCCCAAAGAGCTGGGATTACAGGCGTGAGCCACCACACCAGGCTGCAAATAACATCTTACTATTTTTAAGAACATAGCTTTGTCCTCCCAGATTCCTGAAAAGATCTTAGAGAACTCCCAGTGGTCCTCAGCCACATTTTGGGGATCACACTATGATAACCACTATTCTAAATTCTGTAACTCTTTGCTTTAAAGCTAGTCATTAAATCTGCTTGTATGAAAATGTGTGTATGGGTTTAATAGTTAATTTGTTTTATTATTTTGTATGTATTCCTTGAACTTATAAAGTTTACTTATTGTGTAAATAATGATAGTTTTCCATGCAGTGTTAATTTATGAAATTAGTTTGAGAAAAAAGTATTTGTAGATTGGAAAAATTTCAGGTTTCAGTCAATCATACAGACACTTTTAGCTTCATTTGAAGTAGGAGTCTCCTCTTAGTGGAATTGACAGGGAACTTTGCCATGGTAAGTTACTTATTTTATTATACAAGCATTGATTTCATTAGTCTTTTGAAGATCTCATTGCTTTTGTACTCCGCTATTTTATATTAAGTATATGAAATAGAATATTCAGTTTTGCTTGCTGCTTTTCTGTTTTCATGTTAATTGCATTTATTGGGAATTAAAGTAGTTATATGTGTAAAGATTTTTCATAATTTACAGGCTGACCATAAATTATCTTTTTGTATGATCATCTAATTTGCTCTTTTATCTTCATAGTATGCCTATTAACTTTCTAGCATTTATTTGAGGACTTTTTTTTTTTTTTAACTTTTTCCAATGACCAAATAAGATATGCTTCTGTTTTTGCTGTGGTGAAATTTAATTATCTTTGAGTTTGCTAAATGTGATCATTTTTCTTTAGAACCAAGCTAGGTAAAATTAACATAGTTGATAAATATTTCTGTTTGATTTGTGTCGTATTTATATCTACCTCTAGGTAAAAGAGCTTATCTTGAAATTGTTTTATTTGAAGATTGGCCTTGTAGACTATCTGCATCCAATATGTATTTTCAAAACATTTATCTCTGCATACATAGCACATTTCTATTTTTTATATTAATATTATTTATAATTTAATAATTAAACTGGCATATGATGATGACCCAAGTGTTGCATATTTACCAACAATTATAAGGCAACCTAGTTGCTTGTAGAGTTTTTGAGTAAAGGATTTACTCTAGGGTTTTGAATAAATTTAAGAAATGTCAAGAATAAATACAGGAAAATAATTGAGAAAATGAGTTTACTATAAAAACTGGAAGCCAAATAAGTAAAACAAAACAGTGTTGCTGACTACTTCCTATTTGTTTTATATGCCCTGTTCCTGATTATTGTTAATTATTCTCATCTTTCAGGCTTTGAAGTCTTATCTGTTTTTCCGTTAAACAGATCACTTTTTTTTTTTTCCTTTTTTTTTTGAGACAGAGTCTCACTCTGCCTCCAGGCTGGAGTGCAGTGGCACAATCTCAGCTTACTACAACCTCCGCTTCCTGGGTTAAAGTGGTTCTCCTGCCTGAGCCTCCCGAGTAGCTGGGACTACAGGTGTGCGCCACCATGCCCAGCTAACTTGTTTTTGTTTTGTTTTGTTTTGTTTTGTTTTGAGACAGAGTCTCTCGCTCTGTCACCTAGGCTGGAGTAGTGGCTTGATCTCGGCTCACTGCAGGCTCCGCCTCCCAGGTTCACAGCATTCTCCTGCCTGAGCCTCCCAAGTAGCTGGGACTACAGGCACCCACCACCACATTTGGCTAATTTTTTTTTATTTTTAGTAGAGACGGGGTTTCACCGTGTTAGCCAGGATGGTCTTGATCTCCTGACCTCGTGATCTGCCCACCTCGGCCTCCCAAAGTGCTGGGATTACAGGTGTGAGCCACCGCACCTGGCCACTAATTTTTATATTTTGAGAAGGGGTTTCACTGTTTTGGCCAGGATAGTCTCAATCTCTTGACCTTGTAATCCGCCCACCTCAGCCACCGAAACTGCTGGGAGTACAGGCATGAGCCACCATGCCCAGCCAGATCACTTTTGAAGAGATCTGTAGGCTAAAATCTAGAATTACAATCTTAGTATTATTAAAAAATATGTTGGTACCTACAAAGGAATATATTTCATTAATATGTAAATTAGAAATATAGCAAAACTTTTATGGAACTGGCTTCTGTGTTAGTTATTTAATAATAGAATATTAAAAGTAGTATACAGGTTACTCATGTGTTCCTAACCAATTTTATCACCTGCTTCCTATCCAAATATAATTATTTTTCTGATATTTATGTTTATCAATATGTTGACTTTTAAAAAAGTTTTACCACATATATACACACCCCTATATTATTTGTTTTGGCTGTATTTGAACTTTATAAAAATATTATAGTAAGATTTCTGAGATTTGTTTTTTCAGAGATTAATTGCTGATGCCTGTGGCTGTAGTTGTCACTGACGTATAATATTCCATTGTGTTACTATACTACAATTTTTCAGTTGAATCTGTATACATTACATGCACTTCTAGGGTTTTTGTTGTTCTTGCTATTAAGGGCATCTTTGTACATGTCTCCAGATCCACAGGTGCAAGAGTTTCCCTAGATATGTACCTAGGAGAGGAATTAAAGGGCATTGGGTATGCAAAATTTGTATTTTGAGTTAATAACAAATTGTTTTCCAGTGTACTTTTATCAATTTAAAACTCCCACTACATGAGTGTATGAGTTCCAGGTTCTCAGCATTCTTGCTGATAATTAGTATTGTTGGACTTTAAAATGATTGTCACCTTAGTGGTAATAAATAGAGCATAGTTGCGACTTTAATTTTTATTTTCCTGCCACTATAAAACAGCACCTTTTCTTATATTTATTGTCCTTTATGTTTTGTCTTTTGTGAAATGGCATTTCAAGTCTTTCCCCATTTTTTTGTGTTGGTCTTAGAGAAATAGATATATTCTGGATACTAATCATTTGTTTTTGGATACTGCAAATATCTTCTTACAGTTTGTATCTTGTCTCACCTTTTTAATGATTAATTTTGGTGAACAGAAGTTCTTAATTTCTATGTCATGCAATTTATAATTTTTATATTAGTACTTCTTGTGTTTCATTTAAGAAATTCTGCCCTTTCTCAAGATTGTAAACATATTATCCAGTAACATATTACATGGTCAGTTTTTGTAAATGTTCTATGCATGCTTCAGAAGAATGCCTATTTTTAAATTAGGTACAGTGTTTTCTATATATTCATTATATCAAATTTTATATTTGGCCATATATAAACTAGTGTTACTTGCATAACACTAGTTGCATAACTCAGTTGACTTGCAGATTTATCTCCCATTGTGTTAATAGGTTTGTCCACTTCTCTGGCAATTTCTGCCTGAAAAATGTTAAGGCTCTCTTATTACATACAGATGGGTTATGTTAAATTGAACCTTTTCTCATATACAGTGGCTGTTTTCATCCATATTAATGTTTTTCATCTTGAATCTATTTTTTCTCTTTTAGTTAGTATTCTTTCATGTTATTCTAATTTTTTAGTTTGTCTCTGTTTTAAGTATTTCTTTGGCAGATAGCATACCTTTATTTTAAATCTATTATGTCACTATTTCTATTAGTGATTGTTTCCATTTACATTTATTGCTAATACTGATATAATTTCATTCTGTTTTACTTATTATACTTCTGTTTTTCTCAGTTTTTGATTTTTTTTCTTACGTTTTTACCTCCCCCACCATCCCTCTTCTGGTTCGATTGTTACCTGTTCTATCACTGTGCTTTCAGTAGTTGTCTTTGAAATTTATTCACACTTATCATCTAAGCAGAGTATCTTAATTATCTTAATTACCTTCCTGAACAATACAAGAGCTCCAGAATGCAACTTTTTTCACTTTCTTCTGACTTATATATTGTTACTTGGATAATTTTTTGTCTTATTCTTAAGCCCCATAAACTAGATATGACGATTAATAGTAATATTTAGAATCACTTATTTATTTGCTCGTTTCCTTGCTCTCTTTTTTTATTTTGTGTCTCAGATCTTCCAGTTGGTGTCATTGTATTATTCAAGTACACAACTTCAGAAGTTTTTTTTTTTGTTTTTTTTTTTTTGAGACGGAGTCTCGCTCTGTTGCCCAGGCTTGAGTACAGTGGCACAGTGGCACGATCTCAGCTCTCTGCAACCTCTGCCTCCTGGGTTCAAGCTATTCCCTTGCCTCAGCCTCCTGAGTAGCTGGGATTACAGGCAGAAATTCTTTTAGAGATGGCTCACTGGTAATAAACTTCATTTTTGTTTATGATGTTGTGAGATAGCCTTTTGGGGTTCTGAATTTTAGGCTGAAATTTTTTTCTCTCAACTTTTTTAAGATTATTGATGTCCTTTTTGCTCTAGCTTCTTTCTACTGCTCTTGAAAAGCATTTTGCCTTTTTAATTGTTGTTCCTAAATAAATTATCTTTCTTTTGGTTTTAAGATATTTTTGCTGTATAGACAAAAACACAGTTTCACCTTAGTGTGTCTAACTGTGGGTTTCTTTTTAATTATCTCACTTGATCGGAATAATTTCACTTTCTGTGTATTCATGTCTGTTTTCAGTTCTGGAAAAACCTCAGCCATCAACTCTTCCAATATTTCTTCTTTAGTTTCTTGGTCTTTTCTTCTGAGTCTCTGGCCATATTTCAAACTATTATTCTTTTATGCCTTTTATATTGTTTTTCAAATTTTTTGTCTTCTTGGCTTTTATCCTACATTCTAGGCAGTTCTTTCAGATTTCTCTTCTACTTTGTAAATTCTGTTTTCAGTTTCCCTACTTGCGGTCCCTGGGCTTAATTCTCCAAATTCCAGTTCAATTACTTTTGTGTAGGTATTGTCCTCCTCTTTCCCCCTGCCCTGTGCTGCTGCTGTTATATTTTGTTTATCATTACATCTCTGAGTTCACCTTCCTGTTTGTCTGTTAAGTCTTTGAAAATTATCTTACTTTCTTGTGAGTTATTGACAAAGAGAGTCAAACGCTATAAAATATTTAAAGAAGTTTATTTGGAGACAAATAAACTTTTTTAAAGAGGTTTATTTGGAGCCGAAAAAACCAAAATGAGTGACCCTGGCCTGAGGCATAGTCTCAAGAGGTCCTGAGAACATGTGCCCAAGGTGGTTGGTATACATTTTAAGGAGACATAAGACACCTGTCATTACTTAGGAAGTTTACATTGATTCGATCTGGAAAGGCAGGACAGCAGGCAGGGACAGGGGGTGGGAACAGGGATTGGCTTACAGGTCACACATGGATTCAGAGATTTTTAGATTGACTCTTGGTTCAAAGAGTTAAGTTACTATCCAAAGACCTGAGATTAATAGGAAGGAGTGTCTGGGTTAAGATAAGGGGTTGTGAAGAACAAAGTTTTTATGTAGATGAAGTCTCATAGGTGGCTACCTTTAGAGGCAGTAGATGGTAAATGTTTCCTAATTAGGCTGGACTCTCAGTTAATCTCTTCAGGATTGGGAGGGCCTGGAAGGGGAAGGGTGTAGTTATGTTAATACAGATGCAAAATTTTCCTCACAAAAGACTGCTTTGCAGGATCATTTCAAAATATGGCAAAAAACTATTTGGGGGTAAAATATATTGATTTCCTTCTTTATTTGTCGTGACATTATTCAGAGTCAGGTTGAAAACTAAGAGAGATTATATAGGGTTAAGTAAAACCCATCTGATGAGATTTTATCGTTTGTAGGGCATGACTGCAGTCTCCTTAAATAGGAATTTGGGCAAGAAAGAAAAAAACTCAGAGTTTAGGTCTCAGAGTGAAGCAGTGCTTTAAAATATGACTCTTACCTCCTCCCATCTAGTTTTATCAAAGCAGGGATACACTGTAGTATACATTACAGTACCTTAGTACTTTTTACTTTATGCATTTGGCATTGTGGTACAGTTGTTGGTGAACTTGTGCCAGCAGGTAAATACCATACATATTTAGGACCACAAACCTTTGTTTTTTATAGGATTTATATGCTAACATTTTTCAAGTTTATTGCCTTTTATCTGATTTTGTTATTTTGTTCTTCTAATGAATATATCAAACTCTTTGGCATGTGTATATTATTGCCTCTTAATCTGATAATCAGTATTAAATAGATTGTTGTTGTTGTTGTTGTTGTTGTTGTTATTGTTTTAGACAGAGTCTCAGTCTGTCACCCAGGCTGGGGTGCACTGGCTCGATCTTGGCTCAGTGCAGCCCCTGCAGCCCTGGTTCAAGTGATTCTCCTGCCCCAGCCTCCCAAGTAGCTGGGGTCCTGCCACTGTGCCCGGCTGATTTTTGTATTTTTAGTAGAGACGGGGTTTCACCATCTTGGCCAGGCTGGTCTTGAACTTCTGATCTCGTGATCCACACACCTCGGCCTCCCAAAGTGCTGGGATTACAGGCGTGAGCCACCACGCCCGGCCTAAATAGATTTTTTTTTTTTTTTTGGAGACTGAGTTTTGCTCTTGTTGCCCAGGCTGGAGTGCAATGGTGCGACCTCAGCTCACTTCAGCCTCTGCCTCCTGGGTTCAAGTGATTCTCCTGCCTCAGCCTCCCGAGTAGCTGGGATTACAGGCATGCACCACGATGCCTGGCTAATTTTGTAGTTTTAGTACAGACGGGGTTTCTCCATGTTGGTCAGGCTGGTCTTGAACTGCCGACCTCAGGTGATCCGCCCAACTTGGCCTCCCAAAATGCTGGGATTACAGGTACGAGCCACTGCGCCCGGCCAAATAGATATTTCTTACAGCTAAGAACTATTCCAGTAATTCCAGGTTGTAAGGCTACAGTGTAGGGATAATGAAAAAGCAATTCATTTTTCTTTTTTTGGAAGTAATAATAAAATAATTTTTTATTATGCCTTCTTTGAAATGGAGGTAAAACACATATAAAGAAAAGCGCAGATCTTATGTATTTGCTTGAGTGAGATTTGACAAACACATACATGTGATCCCACAATACCGAGATGAACATATGGAACATTCATCTTGCCTTATGCTCCTTTCAAATTCAGTCCCAGTTCTTCAGGGGCAAATATTATACTGACTTCTAGAAACTCATAATTCACCTGTTTTTAATCCTTATATAATGAAATTTTGTAATAACATTACCTTTTGTGTATGACTGTCATTCAGTGTTTTTGAGATTCATTCTGTTTTGTATGTATCAGCAGCTCATTCTTTTTTTTTTTATGATACTTTAAGTTCTAGGGTACATGTGCACAATGTGCAGGTTTGTCACATATGTATACATGTGCCGTGTTGGTTTGCTGGACCCGTTAACTCGTCATTTACATTAGGTGTTTCTCCTAGTGCTATCCCTCACCCATCCCCCCACCCCATGACAGACCCTGGTGTGTGATGTTCCCCTTCCTGTGTCCAAGTATTCTCATTGTTCAGTTCCCACCTATGAGTGAGAACATATGGTGTTTGGTTTTCTATCCTGCGATAGTTTGCTGAGAATGATGGTTTCCAGCTTCATCCATGTCGCTACAAAGGACATGAACTCATCCTTTTTTATGGCTGCATAGTATTCCATGGTGTATATGTGCCATATTTTCTTAATCCAGTCTATCATTGATGGACATTTGAGTTGGTTCCAAGTCTTTGCTATTGTGAATAGTGCTGCAATAAACATACATGTGCATGTGTCTTTGTAGTAGCATGATTTATAATCCTTTGGGTATATAACCCGTAATGGGGTGGCTGAGTCAAATGGTATTTCTAGTTCTAGATTCTTGAGGAATCGCCACATTGTCTTCCACAATGGTTGAATTAGTTTATACTCCCACCAACAGTGTAAAAGCGTTCCTGTTTCTTCACATCCTCTCCAGCACCTGTTGTTCCCTGACTTTTTAATGATTGCCATTCTAACTGGTGTGAGATGGTATCTCATTGTGGTTTTGATTTGCATTTCTCTGATGGCCAATGATGATGATCACTTTTTCATGTGTCTGTTGGCTGCATAAATGTCTTCTTTTGAGAAGTGTGTGTTCATACCCTTCTCCCACTTTTTGATGGGGTTGATTTTTTCTCGTAAATTTCTTTGTGTTCTTTGTAGATTCTAGATTTTAGCCGTTTGTCAGATGAATAGATTGCAAAAATTTTCTCCCATTCTGTAGGTTGCCTGTTCACTCTGATGATAGTTTCTTTTGCTTTGCAGAAGCTCTTTAGTTTAATTAGATCCCATTTGTCAATTTTGGCTTTTGTTGCCATTGCTTTTGGTGTTTTAATCATGAAGTCTTTGCCCATGCCTATGTCCTGAATGGTACTGCCTAGGTTTTCTTCTAGGTTTTTATGGTTTTAGGTCTAACATTTAAGTCTTTAATCCATCTTAAATTAATTTTTGTATAAGGTATAAGGAAGGGATCCAGTTTCAGCTTTCTACATATGGCTAGCCAGTTTTCCCAGAACCATTTACTAAATAGGGAATCCTTTCCCCATTTCTTGTTTTTGTCAGATTTGTCAAAGATCAAATGGTTGTAGCTGTGTGGTGTTATTTCTGAGGCATCTGTTCTGTTCGATTGGTCTGTATCTCTGTTTGGGTACCAGTACCATGCTGTTTTGGTTACTGTAGCCTTGTAGTATAGTTTGAAGTCAGGTAGTGTGATGCCTCCAGCTTTGTTCTTTTTGCTTAGGATTGTCTTGGCAATGTGGGCTCTTTTTTGGTTCCATATGAACTTTAAAGTAGTTTTGCCAGTTCTGTGAAGAAAGTCATTGGTAGCTTGATGGGGATGGCATTGAATTTATAAATTACTTTGGGCAGTATGGCCATTTTCACAATATTGATTCTTCCTATCCATGAGCATGGAATGTTCTTCCATTTGTTTGTGTCCTCTTATTTCGTTGGAAAAAGTAACTCATTTTCTATTTGATAATTATTTTCTAACAATTTCTGGATATTAAGATTCCCAAAATCAGGCCAGGCGCAGTGGCTCATGCCTGTAATCCCAGCACTTTGGGAGGCCGAGGCGGGTGGATCATGAGGTCAGGAGATCGAGACCATCCTGGCTAACACGGTGAAACCCTGTCTCTACTAAAAATTCAATATAATTAGCTGGGCGTGGTGGCGGGCGGCTGTAGTCCCAGCTACTTGGGAGGCTGAGGCAGGAGAATGTCGAGAAACTGGGAGGTAGAGCTTGCAGTGAGCTGAGATGGTGCCACTGCACTCCAGCCTGGGCGACAGAGTGAGACTCCATCTCAAAAAAAAAAAAAAAAGAAAGATTCCCAAAATTCTAAATTTTAGAATGGCATAATGAATTCTGTCTTCATTTTATTTGTAGAAGTGAAGATGTTTCTCATTTTAGTCTTGTAAAACTGTCCTTTAGAGCTTATTTTTAGTCATTATTAGTTTTAATCATTCTGCGAATGAATTTGGTTTCTATTTTCATGTTAAAAGATAAATTGGAAAATATCTCAGAATTACAGTTTTTTACTATTTGTGATCATTTTACTGTGATGAACTTCTGAGGGTAAATGCTCAAACATTTGAGTATTCTGTGCAAAAGAAGAGTATTGTTTATTCTAAGTTTTGTGTCTTTTCTTATTATTTTAGACAAAGAAACAGCCTTGGTATAATAGCACGTTAGCATCAAGACGAAAACGACTTACTGCTCATTTTGAAGACTTGGAGCAGTGTTACTTTTCTACAAGGATGTCTCGTATCTCAGGTATATATTTAGACCTTCTCAAATTATCTGAAATCTACATTTCAGATCTGTTTCTAGGTTTTTGTGCTGAATTTATGGAAAGTCCTAATTGCAAAGCAAAAGTATGTATTTTTGACATAGTCTACCAGATCATCATGGAGGTTCTTAGTGATCTTAGAGAATGTTACTTTCCAATGACTATTTTTTGTTCTATATTTGTGAATTCTGAATCTTTATATGGCAAGCTAGATAAAGTTAAAAAGAAATTCAGCTATGAATATGTAGCCAACAAAAATAAGTTTCATTCAGTTGCCTCCTATTTAACATTAAATAAACATGAAGTTCTAAGCACTGTCCTCTGTGCTAAGAATAAAAAGATGAAAGAACTGGTTTCTGTCATTAAGGAGTGTTGTAAATCGAGTCAGGGAAAGCAACAGATAAACAGTTCTGTGTGATATTATGTGTTAAATAAGTTTACAGGAGTATCATGAGAATAGATAATAATATCCACTAATACAACTGATAGTAAAAAAAAAAATCCAGGCCGAATTGAAAATGGGGAGGTGTAAGGGAATGATCAGTGTAGGGATTTCAGAGGAGTTGTATATGGGCTATTCGAGTATGAATTAACTGAAAAAGATACTTAGAAACATGTTCAAAGTAGAGGAAATAACATATGCAAAGATGTGGATGTGATAGCATATGATATTTTTATTACTGTAAAAAAGTAATTTAGTTTTTCCTCTTTTTCTTAACTCTGTTCTTCAGTCTTTCTCAGTGTCTTTGCTCATCTATGAAGTAGAGACATTAACCCTAATGGGTTTTTTAATGATTGTAAGTGACATATATAAGATACAATGCTTGGTACATGTTGGGTGCTCAATTAATTCAGGTCATTAATGAGGCATCTGCTTAAAATAAACCCCACCAAGGGGGAAAAAAAAAAGTCTGGTATTTTATTGGTTGTTAAAAACTGGGTGTTGGTTTTCTCTTGAATACATATGTTTATATTATTTATAATCTACATATTGCTTAGATCCTACAGACAAATTTGCCTCACGATTAGTGGTATAGGAAAAAATATATTAGATTTACAAAGCATTTTTCCTCTGAAGACCAAGGGAGAAGGCAAAATTTGTTTGTTTGTTTGAAATTAACAACAAACAGTTTTTATGCTGGGAAAGCTTTCATTTATTGCCTGGGAATGGAGCCCCTTATTGTGCTTGTGTAATAATTTTTGCTTAGGATTCTCTTGGCAATGTGGGCTCTTTTTTGGTTCCATATGAACTTTAAAGTAGTTTTTTCCAGTTGTGTGAAGAAAGTCATTGGTAGCTTGATGGGGATGGTATTGAATTTATAAATTACTTTGGGCAGTGTGGCCATTTTCACAGTATTGATTCTTCCTATCCATGGGCATGGAATGTTCTTCCATTTGTTTGTGTCCTCTTATTTCGTTGGAAAAAGTAACTCATTTTCTATTTGGTAATTATTTTCTAACAATTTCTGGATATTAAGATTCCCAAAATCAGTCCGGGCGCAGTGGCTCATGCCTGTAATCCCAGCACTTTGGGAGTTGTTAAGTTGAAAGTAGCCCAATACCTGCATTCTGACTGGTAGAGTTCATGTTAACCCTTTCATACATTATTTGTTGGTATGATACTGAAGTACAACTATAGGCAAGTGGCAGACCTTTAAAAAAAGAGGTGGGAAAGAGATTGGGGTAGGCTATTATTAGTAATCTTTAAGTCACTGGCAGCATAGATATGGTATGGAATAGTAAAGGTCATCACAAGTCAGTTTATATTTGGGGGTGTAGCTTTACAAGACAGTAGAATAATAAATTAAAACCAGGTGGAAAATTAGATAGATTTTTATTTGTATGGGTATGGCTGTATTGTACGTAAAACATGTCTCTAGTTTTCAGGAATCTTACGTTAGCTAGCTACTCTAATTGTATTGCTGGATTGTAAGTTCCTCCTAGTACCTCTGACTGTAAAGGGGAAATTTTAACTTCTCTGAAACGGTGTACCTAAGAGGTTGATTGTCCTTTGTATATTTTCAAATGAGAATCTGTAAATCCATCTGTATTCTCTTTTATTTCCAACTATTAAAATGAAAGATGAATATTAAAGAACTATTACTTTGGAGTTTTAACTGTAATTGAAAGAGGAAGTTAATTATAAAGCACTAGGAGAAAGAAAAGAGACATTGAATACACTTTTACAAACCAATTTGTAATTAGGATAGGAGAGGTGATATACCAGCAGATATGTGTGGATGTTGATGATAAAACACCACGCAAACAAAATTCTACCTTTTTTGTAACCTCATAAGTTAAAATCAATTACTATACTTTCAGATACTGAAAAAACTAGTTTTATTGTTTTCTTTATGGTTTCTGTTGAAAGTAGCTATTAATGAGCTTATATGATGGGCAGAAATCCAGTTAGCCTAGAACAGGATTATTAGCTTAGAACAGAATACACAATATTGAATGCTTGTGAGTTTTATGTACTTAGGAATTGATATCAAAATGGGAATGAATAGGATAACATTGAAACAGTTTTTAAATTAATAAAACCAACCATCTTTCCAGTATGTAGAATGTTAAATAACTCACAGTAATAGGATTCCATATAAAAAGAATCATTAACTATTATATCCAGACCACTCTGCAGTACAGTTGGGATTTTTATTTTTGCAAATAACCCATGTTTTATTTATAATACGTGGAATTTCCTGAGAATAATTTTTGTGGAGCAAGAGTTTTGTCTCAATACCGTTATGATATTGCCTGTTAGGTAATTCCTTTTGCTGTCTTTAGAATGGAAGCACAACTAAGTGGACCCTTTAAATCTAGGTGTTTTGATGAATTTGCTTAGTGTTTAAATCTTTAAAATTTGTAAAATATCAGGGACAAAAGCTCACTCAGTTTCCTCAAGTAATGTTATTTATTTTTCTTCTTTCTTTTTTCTTTTTTCTTTTTTTTTTGAGATGGAGTTTTGCTCTCGTTGCCCAGGCTGGAATGCAGTGGTGTGATCTTGGCTCACTGCAACCTCCACCTCCCGGGTTCAAGCTATTCTCCTGCCTAGCCTCCCGAGTAGCTAGGATTACAGGCATGCTCCAGCACACCTGGCTAATTTTGTATTTTTAGTAGAGACAGGGTTTCTCCATGTTAGTCAGGCTGGTCTCGAACTCCCGACCTCAGGTGATCCGCCTGCCTCGGCCTCCCAAAGTACTGGGATTACAGGTGTGAGCTGCTGCACCCGGCCCTGTTGTTTATTTTTTTCTTATAATAATTGTTACATAAATTTCGTCATGCAAACAGTTATTTTCAAGATAACCTAATATCTCCAGATAACATAAATTCTTTACTGTGCATTATATTATCTGCATAACTCTTTTGACTTAATAATTCTTGCATCTTACTTTTATTATGCTTACTATACTTCAGATGGCATTTAAGAAGGGAAATCATGAACATTTACCTTGAAAAAGTTGTGTGTGTGTGTATGTATGGGCTTAGAATAAAGAAGCTATGAAAATACAGTGGTATAACAAACTTGTCTCAGTTTCAGTCTAGGAAACTAAAGTGCTCATTGTTTTTTTCATTCTTCAGAAAGGAAAGTATATGTTCAAACGACACAGTGCTGAAAAGCAATGATTTTTTAAATCTATGCTTTTAGTGTAGGTCTGCTTCTATTAATAGACTGGAGAATAGATTCGTTGTATTCTCAGGTACTTCGTAAACTGATACTATGTTTTAAATTCCACATGATTTATCTTCCAATAGTTTACTGAAGTGGACTTTACCCAAGGTTTTTGTATACTGTACCACTGGATGGAATTATTGTTTTTCATATTTCAGCAAGAGATTTGAATGAATATTTTTTCTTGATGAAGGCACTTTGAGATAAAAAGGAGCAATTTCAAACTTTTTTTGTTTGTTTTTTAGAATTAATAGTTCATAACATTGCAGTTTTCTACTGTCTTCCTGTAATAGGATTTGAAACATTTCAGTATATTATTTGACCAAATATTTCTTCTTATTTATAAACTATTTTATCTAAAATGTTATTATAAACGGGATTTTAAACAAAACATGGGCATAAATATGTGTGCCAGTAAACACGTTCCTTCAAACTAACAAATACTCATCCAGTACTCTTCTTAATATCCTCACATTCTCCATTGATGGATTTTTGTTTTAATGACTCTTAAATAGTAGCTTTATTATTATTATTATTGTTATTATTTTTTTTCCAAGGAATTATTGCCAAAAAAGTGAGAATTCACAGTGGAAAGAGACAGTATCTTTCAAAGAACCAAGACATTTTTTATTAAAACTGAAAAACTGACCAATTAAATTGTGTAAACTAGTCTTTAGTAAAATCTTTAAAAATTGTTTTTTGTATTTAGAATATAAATTTTAATTTGTGGATGTGGCTCTTTGACTTACTTTGCAGTTCAATTCATCTGTTTTGTCTTTTTTTTTTTTTTTTCATATAGATGACAGTCGAACTGCAAGCCAGTTGGATGAATTTCAGGAATGCTTGTCCAAGTTTACTCGATATAATTCAGTACGACCTTTAGCCACATTGTCATATGCTAGTGATCTCTATAATGGTTCCAGTATAGTCTCTAGGTAAGTATTGGTCAAATTACTATTTTCTTTTGTAAGAATGTCTAGAATCTAATTGAATTTGAGAAGCACTTATACCATTATTATTAAAAGCGTGGGTTCTGAAGTAGCCTGCCAATTATTAGTTCTGTGATTTTAGGCAAGTTCCTGAGCTTCTATATGCCAAATTTCTTCGTCTCTAAAGTGGAATAATTGATAGTATCCTTCTCATAAGGTTGTAGCTTGTTTTCTTGTACTATCATTGTCTAGTTTTGATGACAGTATGCTCTTCTCATAAGTGCTTCCACCTCTGCATTTTCTGTAAGTTTGTATAGAATTGGTATTATTTCTTCCTTAAATATTTTGTAGAATTTGCCAGTGAAGCTTCCAGAAAAGAATTTTAACTACCAATTCAATTTGCTTAAGAGATTTAGGGTTAATCAGGTTATCTATTTCTTCTTGATTTAGCATTATAATTAGTTTGTGTCTTTTAAGACATTTGTCCGTCTCATCAGGGCTGTTGAACTTATTGGCGTACAATTATTCATAATATTGCCTTATTATTCTCTTAATATCTTTGGATTGTATGATGATTTTCCCTCTTTCATGCCTGATAGTGGATTTTGTTTCTTCTTACCTTTTTCCTGAAGAGTCTAGCTTAGAAGATTATCAGTTTTATTGATCTTCCCAGAGAGCCAGCTCTTGGTTTTACTGATAGGCTGTATTTTTTTGTTTTCTGTTATCATTAATCTTTGCTCTTAATTATTTTTATTCTTCTACTTTTTGAGGGTTTAATTTGCTCTTATCTGCTAATTTCTTAAGATAAAAATTGAGGTCCTTTAGTTGATACCTTCTTTTCTAATATAGTTATTTTGTGCTACACATTTCCCTCTAAGTACTGTATTAGCCACATCACAAAAAAAACTGATGTGATACTTTTCCATTTTAATATAGTTCAAAGTACTATTTTAGCTTTCTTTTTATTTTTTAGGAAGTTTGTTTTTTTAAAATTGACAGATAAAATTGTGTTTATTGCATACAGCGTGTTTTGAAGTATATATCAAAATACCTTTTAATTTCCATTTTGATTTTTCTCTTCGACCCATGATTACTGAGGCTGTTACTAGTTTCCAGATATTGGGATTTTTCCAGTTATCTTTCTGTTACTGATTTTTTTTTTTTAAGAGACAGGGTCTCATTATGCTGCCTAGGCGATCCTCAGACTCCTAGGCTCATGCAGTCCTCATGCCTCAGCTTCCCGAGTAGCTGGGACTACAACTGCACCCAGCTTGCTTTATATTATTTTTGTCATTATTTGAAATGTTTAATGAAAATTTATACAGGAAAATGGAGAGAATGGACTAATTCCTCACATAACCATCACCCACATTCAGCAGTGGTTAAGATTTTGCTGTACGAGTTTTATGTATCCTCTTCATTTTGATTATTTTTTGCTTAAGTATTTTATTACTTTTTTCCATGTTCCCTGACCACTTTTATTTTTTTATTATTTTTAATACCTTGAACCTTTTTTTTTTAATTATAGATTAAAGGGTACATAAGCAGGTTTGTTACATGGGTATATTGCACGACACTGAGGCTTGGGGTCCTAACATTTCCGTCACCCAGACAGTGAGCATAGGTACACAACAAGTGTTTTATAAGCCCACGACCCCTGCCCTCTCCCACCTCCCCATCTAGTTGTCCCCGGTATGTGTTGTTCCCATGTTTACATTCATGTGTCTTCAGTGTTTAGCTCCCACTTACAAGTGAGAATATACATTATTTGGTTTTCTGTTCTTGCATTAATTCACTTAGGATAATGGCCTCTAGCTTCACTCATGTTGCTGCAGAGGACATGGTTTTATTATTTTTTAAGGCTATGTTGTATTCCATGTGCCACATTTTCTTTATCCAGTCCACCATTGATGGCCACCAAGATTGATTACATGTCTTCGTTACTGTGAATAGCTCTGCAGTGAACATACCAGTGCATGTGTCTTTATGGAAGAACAACTTACTTTCTTTTGTGCGTATACCTACTAATGGGATTGCTGGGTCAAATGGTAGTTTTGTTGTAACTTACATGACAAATCTCCAAACTGCTTTCCATAGTGGTTGATCTAGTTTGCATTCCTAGCAACAGCATGTAAGCATTCCCTTTTCTTCACAGCCTTGCCAGTATCTGTTATTTTTTGACTTTTTAATAATTGCCATTCTGCTATGAGATGGTATCTCATCCTGGTTTTGATTTTTATTTCTCTGATGATTAGTGATGCTGAGTGTTTTTTCATATGCTTGTTGGCGACTTGTATGTCTTCTTTTGAGAAGTGTCTGTGTCTTCTCATTTTTTATTGGATTTTTTTGTTTTTCACAGGTTGATTTTTTTTTAAGTTTCTTGTAGATTTTAGAGATTAGGCCTTTGTCAGATGCATAGTTTGCAAATACTTTCACCCATTCCCTAGGCTGTCTGTTTACTCTGTTGGCAATTTCTTCTGCTATGCAGAAGCTCTTTAATTTAATTAGGTCCCACTTGTCAATTTTTGTTTTTTTTTTTGCAATTGCTTTTGAAGACTTAGCCATAAATTATTTGCCAAAGCCTGTGTCATGAAGGATATTTCCTAGCTTTCCTTCTAGGATTTTTATAGTTTGAGGTCTTAGACTTAAGTTTTGATTGATCTTGAGTTATTGTATATGGTGAAAAGTAGTGGTCCAGTTTTATTCTTCTGCACATGGCTAGCTAGTTATCCAAGCACCATTGATTGAATAGGGAGTCCTTTCCCCATTGCTTGTTTTTGTTGATTTTGTCAAAGATCAGATGGTGTAGGTTTACAGCTTTATGCCTGGGTTCTGTATTCTATTCCATTGGTCTTATGTCTGTTTTTGTACCTACCAGTGCCATACTGTTTTGGTTATTGTAGCCTGATAGTATAAATTGAAGTTGGGTAGTGTGATGCCTCCAGGTATGTTCATTTTGCTTAGGACTGCTTTGGCCATTCAAGCTCTTTTTTTGTTCCATGTGAATTTTAGAATAGTTTTTTTCTAATTCTGTGAAAAATGACGTTGGTATTTTAAGGATAACATTGGATCTGTAAATTGCTTTGAACAATATTGCCATTTTAGCAATATCGATTCTTCCAAATCATGCTTATGGAAGGATTTTCCATTTATTTGTGTCATCTTCGATTTCTTTCAGCAGGGCTTTGTGTTCTCATTGTAGAGATTTTTCACCTCCTTGCTTAGATGAGTTCCTAGTTATTTTCTTTGTGGCTATTGTAAATAAGATTGTGTTTTTTATTTCTTTCTCAGCTAGAATGTTATTAGTATATGGAAATGCTACCAAGTTTTGTACATCGATTTTGTATTCTGAAACTTTGCTGAATTTGTCTATCAGTTCCAGGAGCCTTTTGGCAGAGTCTTTAGGGTTTTCTGTGTATAGAATCATACTGTCAGTGAAGAGAGATAATTTGACTTAATCTTTTCCTATTTGGATGCCATTTATTTCTTACTATTGACAGATTGCTCTGGTTAGGACCTTCAGTATAATGTTGAATAGGAGTGGTGAAAGTGGGCATCCTTGTCTTGTTTTAATTGTCAAAGGGAATGGTTTCAGCTTTTGCCCATTCACTATTAAGTTGGCTGTGGGTTTGTCATAGATGACTCTTACTATTTTGGGTTATGTTCTTTTGATTCCTAGTCTGTTAAGGGTTGTTATCATGACGGGATGTTGGATTTTATCAAAGACTTTTTCTGCATCTGTTGAGATGATCATATGTTTTTTGTTTTTTATTCTATTTATGTGGTAAATCACATTTATTGATTTGCATATTTTGAATCAAGCCTTGCATTGCAGGAATAAAGCATACTTGATTGTGGCAAATTAACTTTTGATGTGCTCCTGGATTCAGCTTACAAGTATTTTGTAAGCTGAACAAATACAGAGTATTTTGTCGAGGATTTTTGTATCTGTGTTTATGAGGGATATTTGCCCAAAGTTTTCTTTTATCATTGTGTCTCTGCCAGATTTTGGTATCAGGATGATGCTGGATTCATAGAATAAATTAGGGAGAAGCCCCTCCTTGATTTTTTGGAAGTTTCAGCAGGATTGGTATCAATTCTTTGTACCTCTATTAGAACTTGTCTGTGAATCATCTGGTCCAGGGCTCTTTTTGGTTGGTAGTTTTTTGTTTTGTTTTGTTTAAATTACTGATTCAATTTCTGAACTTGTTACTGGTCAGTTCAGATTTTCACTTTCTTATTGTTTGAATCTTGGGAGGTTGTGTGTTTCCAAGAATTTATCCATTTCCTCTAGATTTTCTAGTCTGTGCATAGAGATGTTCATAATAATCTCTGAGAATCTTTTGTATTTCTGTGGTATTGGTTGTAACGTCATCTTTGTCATTTCTGATTGCACTTATTTTGATCTTCTCTTTTTTTTTCTTTGTTAATCTTGTTAGTGGTTTATCAGTCTTGCTTATTCTTTTGAAGAACCAACTCTTGGTCTTATTTATCTTTTGTATGGACTTTTGGGTCTCAATTTCATTCAGCTCTTCTCTGATTTTAGTTTTTTCTTCTACTAGCTTTGGGATTAGATTGTTCTTTTTCTTCTAGTTCCTCTACATGTGATGTAAGGTCATTAATTTGAGATCTTCCTAACCTCTTGATGAAGGCATTTTTAGTGCTATAAATTTTCCTCTCTACACTGCTTTAGCTGCATCCAAAGATTTTGGTAAATTGTATCTCTATTTTCATTAATTTCAAAGAATTTTGTTATTCCTGCCTTAATTTCTTTGTTCATCCAAGAGTTATTCAGAAGCAAATTGTTTAATTTTAATGTTTTTGTGTAGTTTTGAGAGATCTTCTTGATATTGATTTCTATGTTTATTCACTGTGGTCCAAGAGTTATGCTTGGTGTGATTATGATTTTTTTTTAATTTATTGAGACTTGCTTTATGGCCAAGCATGTGGTCTATCTTAAAACATGTTCCATGTACAGATGAGGAGTTTGTATATTCTGTGGTTGTTGGGTGTAGTACTCTGTGTCAATGTGTATCCAGTTGGTCAAGTGTAGAGTTTAAGTCCAGAATTTCGTTAGTGTTCTGCCTCCATGATCTGTCTAATGGTGTGAGTGGGGTATTGAAGTCCCCTACTATTTTTTTTTTTTTTTTTTTTGAGATGGAGTTTTGCGCTTGTTACCCAGGCTGGAGTGCAATGGCATGATCTTGGCTCACTGCAACCTCCACCTCCCAGGTTCAAGCGATTTTCCTGCCTCAGCCTCTTCAGTAGCTGGGATTACAGGTGCCCACCACCATGCCTGGCTAATTTTTGTATTTTTAGTAGAGACTAGGTTTCATTATGTTGGCCAGGCTGGTCTCGAACTCCTGACCTCTTGATCCACCTGCCTCGGCCTCCCAAACTACTGGTATTACAGGCATGAGCCACCGCACCCAGCCTGAGGTCCCCCACTATTATTGTGTGGCTAAGTCTTCTTGTAAGCCGAGAATAACTTGTTTTATGAATCTGGGTGCTCCAGTGTTGGGTGTGTATATGCTTAAGTATTTTAAAGCAAATCTCAGAAACTTATCTGCATCTCTTAAAATGGACATTGTTAAACCACAGGGCTGTATCACATCTAAGCAAATTAACAGTAATTCCTTGGTATAATCAAATTGCTACTTTGTGTTCAAATCTCTTAGAACGAATAACCCTAAAAAGATGTTTTTTGAGGCATATCGGGAATTTGGTAAGTTTTAACGTGTCAAATATTGCTAAAACTTAACATGCTTTTCATTTACAGGACTAAGATTTGAATTTATTATGTATATGAAGATCTTAAAATTTAAGCCATTAGCTAAAGAAACTATTGGAGGAGATCTTTTATTGTATTCTGTCAGCTGTTTAACTCAGTAATGAGTAAGACAAAAATCATACATTCCTTTATTTTTCTGTATGTTGGCACTTGACTGAGTAAAATTTGAAAATGCAGCAGATTATGGGGTGCATTTTATTACATAATTTAATTAACAAAAAATCATTGATAACGTAGTGCAGGCTAGGCCAGACTAGGCATATAGTCATGAACAGGCCAGACGTGTTACTTGGATTCAGGAGAGCTCACAATCTTATTTTAGGGCCCTTATAGATAAGAAATAAAAGAATAGTTTATGAAACAGTTTACTTTGGAGCAACATATTAGCATTCTTACTTAAATTCTTAACTATGTTAAGAATGTATACTATGCTTTTAAGGACTTCAGAAATGTAGATTGAATGTGAAATGGCAAAAATAAGTATCAAAGTTTATTTATAATATTGACCTGATATGTATGCACTTACCTGTAGTTATGTGACTATACAAAGAGTAATAATCTTTTTTTTTTTTTTTCATTCCTGAAAGCCATTTTAGCTTGATTTTGGGGAAGAGATGGTTTCATTATTGCTTTTTTAAAGCTTGATTTAATGTAGTGTTGAATTTTTTACAATTGCTAATAAACCCTAATCATACTGACATTTATGTGAAAACATTGTGCATTCTGAGGCAGAAATACATTCTTAGGAAGACCTAAACAAGATCTTAGTTTGGAAATACTTACAAATTGTGGTTAGATTAAAACATTTAGACTAATATAAGAAATTTTTAAGATACCTCTGGTTGGGCCGTCTTGCATGCTACATTCGTTTTTTTTCTATTAATTACACCAAATTAATGTTTTTTAAAGAAAAAATTCCAATTTTAAAGTTTCTTAGGCATGAGAGATGAAGACTAGCAAGAAAGGATGATATGGCCAAAGAAATGAAGGTGTGAAAAACTCTCACAGCTCTGTTGATTTTTTGCTTTTCTTACTTTCTTATATTCAAACACATCATTGATAATAAATTTACTTCAACGCCTTCTAATTCCTCCCAAAAAAGGAAATTTAATTAATTTCTTTCAGAAAGAGGAATAAAGAGGCCAGGTGAGGTGGCTCACACCTGTAATCCCAGCACTTTGCGGGGCCGAGGCAGGCAGATCACTTGAGGCCAGGAGTTCCAGACCAGCCTGGCCAGCATGGTGAATCTCCATCTCTACTAAAAATACAAAAATTAGCCAGGCATGGTGGCGTATGCCTGTAATCCCAGCTACTTGGGATGCTGAGACAGGAGAATAGCTTGAACCTAAGGGGCAGAGGTTGCAGTGAGCTGAGATCACTGCACTGGGCAACAGAATGAGACTCTGTCTCAAACAAAGAGGCCTAAACAAGTATTTGAGAAGGCAGATAATGTTGAATTTGGTGCATTATTTTGTTACTTTGTAGAAGAGATAATTATTCTTACTGTAAAATTGCATGACATAATGTTGGTCACTTACTGCAGTGATAATCTGAGAGAAAAGGCCGAACCAGAAACGTATTTTTCTTCCTTTGCTTATTTGGAGTTAAGACCATACCCTTCAGTCCACAAGGTGGCAGCATTTGTTTACTTTGACAGTATCTCGACTATTAAACAATAGACAAGGTACGGAATTGGTGACATACAGTGAAGTTCACTCTCATAAGTAGAAGATGGTCCTAGGTTAGCAATGGCAAGGAACAGGAAAGAAGACAGTTAATTGCATTCTTTTTACACACAGCAATAATAGCATATTTTGCATTTTTTATTCTATTAGGTGTTCAGTGTCCACCAGAGAGAAATAGTTTGAAACTGTATAGTTTAAACTTAATATACTTAGTAGTGATGGTTGTCTTTTGAATTCCGAGTTTGAATTTTGTACAACTAGATTGTTATGGTAAAAATTGTTAAACATTCTACCTCTAGAGAGTTTTTCAATATTTTTACTTATGTTTGTTCAAACTGTTGGAATGGAGTTGTATCAAGCATTAGTAAATTCCTAAGAAGAAAATAGTTATCTATGGTGGCATTCATTGATGCTAGAATAGTCTCTGTACTGGTAATGTGGAGTGTGTTACCTACTCATTTTTAGACAACATCATAAATATTTTACATCAATTCCCTAATTCATTTAATCCTTGTATCAACCCTGGGTAGCAAGATATTGCTATTAACCTCATTTTACAGATGAAAAAAACTGAGATAGAAATTTTGTAACTTGTCCAAGATAAACCTAATGCCAATAATAGACAGAACTGAGATTTGGATACAGGCGTACCTGAATTCTAGTGCTCTTCTATTCACTTAAGGATTTATTGAAACTTTGTAAAGTTTCAGAAAACACTTTTCCTTTGAGACACCCAGAAGAAAAAGAGGAATTAATTCTTTTGAGGTTCTGACACTGTGTATCCCTATTCCTATAAGGAGGTCAAAATAATGAATATTTTTTATACTAATTTTTGACGTATAATTCTGCACCTTAGATGTCACTTTACCATAGTTTGAAACTATTCAAATTAAACTTTATGTTTCTATGATAGTTACAAGGATCATTTTTGCTAAGTTTCAATTTATAATTGCAGCAAATGTGGATCCAGATTGAGGGTAACTTTTAATATGTTCCTTATTGTAGAGTGCTTGTGAGCTTTAAATTTATACTTAAAAAGACATCTCTAGATAATTATTGACTTGTTTTCTAAGGAATGGATATGATTTTTAAGACTGCCAATGTACTTTCCCTTTTTGTCAGAAGGTATTTCCATTATTGTCTTAAGCGTTATTGACCATCTGGGGTTGGTTGAGAAATGAGATGAATGGGAGTGCAGAGGGAGGGATTTCCTTCCCAAATTTTGCCTGGGATCAGTCTTTTAAAGCAGTTATTTTTAAAGCTGTGTTTTAGGCTGAGAGATTCATCTAGGCAGGGGCCTTACCTGTCTTATTTCTTGCATATTCCTATGTCTGTAAATATTTGTTAAATGAATGCATGAATGAATGAAAATTTGTTTTACCTGCTGGGAGAGGATCCAGAGTAAGTAGGACTCTAGCATTTGTCCATATATGTCCACATATTTGCTTGTTGAAAAATATTCCTTTGAAGAAATAATCCTTAGGCTATAAAAGAAGTTTGTGAATTACCAATGACATGTGACAGAAATATAAATTCATGTTAACAACTTAAAAAGGAATGCAAGATTGTCAGCAAGTGTTGGTGAGTTTTCTACTTCTATGGTAATTCAAAACATACATGATTCAAAATAAAGGTTAAAAAGGAAACACAAACAATCTAAGCTTAAACTTTGAAAGTCACTACATGTATTCCCACCCTCATAACTTCTACCCTAAAATTTTCTTCTTCTAATCTCGACTTGGTTTTCCTGTTTATTTTCCCTTGCCTTTATTAGAGGCTTGTCAGTAGTACAGAGTGAAGCCATAAGCTGAAATAATTTTACACATATCCACAAAACAAGCATTAATTAGGTTAGCATTTAAAATTTTAGTAGACTTGTGAAGGTTTGTCACAAACCAGTGTTTGGTATCCAAGAAATAAAAGTAGAACTTACGTCTAGAAGCCACATTTTAAGGTTAATATAAGGAAGATCTTTGTAGTCAGCAGTGTGCTGAGGTAGAATAACCTTCCTCAGGAGGCAGTTGCCATACATTCTTAAGACTTTTTAAAACCAAATTCTAGCCATTTTATTTAGAAAATCTTTCTGTGATCCTAAGATCAGTTATATATTCACGTATATTTGTCTAGAATATTTTTATGCTTAATTTTTTTCAAAATCATACCTATTCATGTCAAACAGTTTAAGTGCTGAGAGTGTAAGAGTGATGTACATGGTAGTGAGGACACAGACGGTTAAGCGAGTATACTAGGCTGTTCTCGCCTTGCTATAAAGAAATACCCGAGACTGGGTAATTTATAAAGAGAAGAGGTTTAATTGGTTTACGGTTCTGCAGGCTTTGCAGGAAACATGGTGCTGGCATCTGCTCAGTTTCTAGGGAGGCCTCATCATCATGGTGGAAGGTGAAGTGGGAGCAGGCAAGTCACATAGCTAAAGGAGGGGCAAGTGAGAGAGAGTGAGGGGGGAGGTACCACACATTTTTAAAATGACCAGATCTTGCGAGAATTCACTATCATGAAGATAGCACCAAGCCATGAGGGATTCATCTCCATGATTCAGTCACCTCCCATCAGGCCCTACCTCCAGCATTATGGATTACAAGTTCAATATGAGATTTGGGCAGGTACAAATATCCAAACTCTGTCAGTCAATATCTAGAATAAAGTGTTTTAAGTGCTTTGAAAGTATTTACAGTGTACAGTATGGAGAAGAATTGGACAGAAGCAGGAGTGGTTGCACATGGGAGCTCATGCCCATAATACCATTGCTTTGAGAGGCAGAGACAGGAGGATTGCTTGAGGCCAAGAGTTCAAAACCAGCCTGGGAAGCATAGCAAGACCTCATTTCTACAAAAATAAAAAAATCAAAAATTAGCCAGGCCTGTGGTGTGCACCTGTAGTCCTAATGAGGAGGGTGAGGTGGAAGGATCTCTTGAGCCCAGGAGCTCAAGGTTACAGTGAGCTATGATGGCACTACTACACTCCAGTCTGGATGACAGAGGTTTTTTTGTTTTATTTTTTTTGAAATGGAGTCTTGCTCTGTTGCTCAGGCTGGAGTGCAGTGGTGCGGTCTTGGCTCACTGCAACCTCTGCCTTCTGAGTTCAAGTGATTCTCCTGCCTCAGCCTCCCGAGTGGCTGGGATTACAGGCAAGTGCCACCACAGCCAGCTGATTTTTGTATTTTTAGTAGAGACGGGGTTTCGCCATGTTGGCCAGGCTGGTCTCGAACTCCTGACCTCAGGGATCCACCCACCTCGGCCTCCCAAAGTGCTGGGATTACAGGTGTTAGCCACCGTGCCTGGCTGGCAGAGTTTTTAATTTAAAAAAAAAAGTTAAAAAAAAAAAAAAAAGGCAGCACAAGTGGCAATAGGGAGATACAGTATGTAGGTTCTGGGAGGTCTGTGGGGCAAGGCAGAAGAAGTATTTAAGAATGTATAAGAACTAGGGTAGCCAGAACTTCGTGATTGATTTGATGTTGACCTTGAAGCAGAGGGAAATAACTTCTAAGGTTTTGGTTGGAGCAGCTGGGCAGGGAAAATATGGGTATCATTTACAGAGATGGGGATACTGGAGGAGGAGCTTGTTCAAGTAGCAACAGGGTTCGTGGGGGATATCTAACATTTGACATAAATTTTCTGGTTATACAGAGATGAGGTGAGGGCTGTGAATTTGGAAACTTTTGCAGCTAGTAATTGACACCATAGTTGTAGATATATAGAACACTGACTAACATTTGAAGACTTGGTAGCTACAGAGGAACTAGTAAAGCACACTGAGAAAATTGGAAAGGAGGATGAGAGAGTGTATTGCCATGCAATCCAAAGGGGAAAGGAGATAATCTGTTGGATTAGATCATGAGATCTTACAGATGGGATTGGATCTGAAGCAAAGTAAGACTTTTTGCCTTAATTAGAAGGGAGGCTGCTGCCTTCTGGGTAATATAAGGAAACAAGAAGAGAGTGGATGCAGAGGCAGGTACTTTTTTAGATTTGCTGGCAAGGTGTCAAAGGGTCCTTAAAGAGCTTATGCAGTAAGTAAGTGAGGGAGAACCCTCTGGGGATGGTGGTCAGGGAGAAGTGTTCACATCTTTGGCAAGAATACTTCTTCATCTTTGTACTTCTAGCACTGGATAGTTTACTTGATACCTAGTGGGTATTCCTGTTTACCTGATATACCTGAGGAATACTCGATTGGAGGATAAATAACTTAAATTCAAGGTAGAAAATAAATAGTAAATGCTTGTGGCAAGTCAATAAAATACTGTGGGAGTAGACTAAAGAGAGAGTTCTCTTGAGGTGATGGCTTCTAGTTTCCTGGACACATTTGAAATGCTGCTTTAAAGTTTTCTTTAATGAATTCCTAAGATTATTCTTTCTGTGCTTGATTTTAAAGATAGGATGCTGCACTAACATATTTACTTTTATTGCTTCATTATGTCCAAAACCACGTATTACTGTATTACATATAATTTCTTTTCTTCTTT
Organism: Homo sapiens; assembly: GCF_000001405.40. NCBI lineage: Eukaryota > Metazoa > Chordata > Mammalia > Primates > Hominidae > Homo > Homo sapiens. Next base: position 176,069,201 of record NC_000001.11, on the reverse strand, counting down.
TCTTTTTTTTTTCTCTTGAGATGAGGTCTCACCCTGTTGCTCAGGCTGGAGTGCAGTCGTGCAATCCTGATTTACTACAGCCTTGACCTCCTAGGCTCAAGTGATCCTCCCACCTCAGCCCCTGTGGCTAGGACTACAAGCACGTGCCACCACGCCTGGCTAATTTTTGTATTTTTTTGTGGAGACAGGATCTCACCATGTTGCCGAGGCCAGTCTCAAACTTCCAGCCCCCATTGATCCACCTGCCTTGGCCTCCCAAAGTATGGGGATTACAGTTTTGTAATTCCTTGCAGAAGTTTGTGGTGGAGGTAGTACTTGTTAAAGGCTGGGCTGTTGTTGTACTTAGCAAGTTTAAAGGGAAGGCATTTTGCATTTCCTCTGGATAAAACGTGGAAGAAAAATAAGAGAATGTAATTATTCACATATATTCAATTATATAGACTACTTCTAGAGAAGTCCTTTGTAAATCTTTAGAGTGCAACTAGTAATTTAAAACAGGAGTTAGAAGGATTGGTTTGAATGAATAAAGTTCATTCATTCAAGGTTTCATGTGGTTTGGAAAAAAATGTGCTTTTATCTCTTAGTTATCTAGCTTAACTGGAAATAGGCTCAATTAATCATATTTAAATAAGATGAAATGAGACCTTTGAAATTTTTCTGTGTTTTATATGGCATGTTGTAAATACTACGTAAATGTTAGTCGTTCTTACCCTTTCAGACTTACTAACCTGTTTTTAGGACAGTGCCTCATAATCATCTGGAGATCTTGTTGAAACACAGATTGATGGGCTCCACTCTCAGAGTTTCTAATCCTGTAGTCTGTGCTATGTGTAAGAATTTGCATTTCTAGCAATTTCCAGGTTTATAGTGATGCTGCTGGTCTGCAACCACACTTTGAGAACCATTGTCTTAGGTTAAGAGCTTTAAAAAGAAAGGAGGGAGGGAAGAAAGGAAGAAAGCAGGCAGGGAGAGAAGGAAGAAGGAAGGGGAAGGAAGGAAGACATTTCTAATAAGAAATATTTATATTTTTAATTCTTTAGGGAAAGATCATAATTACTTTTTGATAGACTTTATTTTATGGAGCAGTTTTAGGTTCACAGTACAGAGATTTCCCATATACCTCCTGTACCCGCACATGCATAGCATCACCCATTACCAACATTCCCCACCAGAGTGGTACATTTTGAAATGGGAAAAGTTCCCTTGTCCCCCTTGCAGGGTGTGCGATGGGGGTGTGGCTTGTTTCTTTGGTGCCCTGCTGCTCAGAGGAGTTGTGACCCTATGGGGAGGGGACAGACAGGCAGATCGTGGGAGCGTGGGCTCTGACCCCACAGCAGTGTCTGGGGGTAAACGTTTACAGCTCCTGAAGCCCCAGTGGGCATGTGTTATAGAATGCTGTTTTGGTTTTGCCATCTGTAGGTGGCTTGTGTTAGTCAACTCAGACCCTCTGCCTTATCACAAGGTCAGAGAGCTTTCTGTATCCTGGGGTTCTTGTCTTGGTGTACCAGAAAAATTGGATCTCACATGGGCTTGGAGAATGAGTGCAAGCTTTTGTATTGAGTGGTGGTAGCTGTTAGGGAGGTTGATGGAGAGGCCAGAAGGAGGATAGAGTGGGAAAGTGGGTTTCCCCTGGAGTCGGGCCGCTCAGTGGCCAGGCTCTCTTCCAACCGTCCCAGCCAAATTCTGCATCCTCCTGCTGGTTGATGGCCTGCCGGTGTCTGCTGGTGCCTGTCAGTGTGCTCTTGTACCGATGTGTTCCTCTGCACATCCAGTTGCTGTGTCTCTGCCCACTAGGGTGTCGGAGTTTTTATAGGTGCAGGATGGGGGCGCGGTGGGCCAGAGTGGTCTTGGAAAATGCAACATTTGAGCACAAAAACAGAAATGCTTGTCCTCACCTTAGTCCGTGGGCACAGGCCTGGGGTTGGAGTCCTCACCAGGGACCCAGACCTTCTCCTCCCAGCACTTCACTGCCCCTCTCCCATATCAGTTTGTTACAATTTGTACCTACATTGACACATTATTATCACCCAAAGTCTACATGAGGGGGTCACTCTTAGTATTGTATATTCTATGGGTTTGGACTAATATATGGCATATATCTACCATTATAATATCATACTTTTTATAATTTCTTATATTTATACTTTGTGAATCAATGAAAATAGAGTTAAAAACCATTTAGTTTCTAGAGCTTCTTGCCCAATAAGTTGTCATATGAGTGGGTTGCATGTGTACCAGGATACTTATTCCATCTGTCCCTGGGAAAGTTGGATAGGGGCTAGGTCTGGAAAACAGCTGGTAACCAACTGTTCCAAGGGCGGAGGGGATCAATCACATGTAACTTACTTGTCTTAGTGCTGAACATTAATAGAGAAACTCTAGTTTAGAGACCAGAACAAAGGAAATATCTTTGTTTTTCTCAAAAAAAGCTGTTCTAGTTATCATTTTTTGGTGAAGGAATTTCATAGTGAAATTTGAGATTGAATTCATTAATGTTTAAAATAACTGATATTTCATCTTGGTGATTGACCTGCAGAGCTGGTCTTTAAAAGGAAACATACTCTTACTCTGCTGGAGAACCATCTCACCTTGACGTAAAAGTCAGCAGCCACTGGGCTGCCAGTAAATAACACAAACATTTTGTAGGATTGAGAGGGAAGTTTTGGACTTTAAAAAATTTGATCTCCTCATTTATTCTTTTTTACGCTTTTTACAATTAGGATAAAATGGGCAAAGTCTTTGCCCATTTTATCACTGGAAGGAGTTTAGTAGGAGTTCACTTTACTATTTAGGAGAGGAAAAGCTTTTCTGTACCCTCTCAGGTTCAGTGGCTGGGCCTGTGGAATAAGTTGACAACAAATTGACAGGAGAAAAGGCACAAACACTTATTTGATGTTGAAAGTTTTACATGACATGGGGCATGGGGGCTGAAGAGGTGAGGGAGGTTCATAAAAGAAGGGAGAACCCCAAAGAAATGGCTAGGCTTAGAGGCTTTTATATCATTTGAACAAAGGGCAATAAAGAGAAGTAACAAGAGAAAGGAAAGGGACTTTGAGCTTCTAGGGTCAACACATATATGGGGAAACTGATGGTAGATATGGGCTTCTTAGTCTTGAAAGACTTATGTAGATTCTTTTTTGGTGCCATCTCATCTTGTGATAAAATCATTATCCCCCGGCCAGGTGCGGTGGCTCATGCCTGTAATCCCAGAACTTTGGGAGGCCGAGGCAGGTGTTTGAGGTCAGGAGTTTGAGGTCACCAGGTCAGGAGTTTTGAGATCGGCCTGGCCAGCATGATGAAACCTCATCTCTACTAAAAATACAAAAATTAGCCAAGCATGGTGGTGCGCACCTGTAATCCCAGCTACTCAGGAGGCTCAGGCAGGAGAATTGCTTGAACCCAGGGGGTGGAGGTTGCAGTGAGCCAAGATTGCGCCACTGCACTCCAACCTAGGCAACGGAGCAAGACTCCGTCTGAAAAAAAAAAAAAAAAAAAAATCATTATCCCCTTCCTGGTACAGGAAGTGGAGTGGGGGAAACACTTTCCCAAAAGGAGTTTATGTTCTGCTTTCAGGCAAATAGGGGAGGACAGAAAGCTCATCCTATGTTTACTCTTTTTCCATTGTCCTCAGCTCAAAAGAATTTTTATGGCAGAGTGACATATTTTGGGGTGGCAAGTTTTGATCCCTTACAACTGCAACTTACAAATAACTGATGTCATTATATGTAAAACTTAATCTGGTGACAAGTGTTTTATAACATAAATATTTGACAAAGAGAGCTTCAATTCACCGTTTGTCCTAGGTATGATAACTTCCCCATATATTGCTTCCATCAGACATTTTTAGACATTTAAAACTTCTTAGTAAGATAGGACATTACTGTAAGAGCATTTGTCTGCATATACTATTTCAGTTTTTTTCCCCTTTGTCTGAGTTAATTTCTCTATCTACTGTTCACAGTAAAGAGTTCCATAACATACTAACACTTGACCTAAACAGATTTTAACCTCTGGCAGTCTCATCTGACTGAAACACAGTAAGTAAGGCTTACATAAAATAAAAAGGCACTGGAATAAAATGAATGCCATTAAATTAATGACTAAAACTCATATTAGTTTATTGGGTTATTTCAGGGCTATTGACTTACGTACAACTTCTATAATCTTAGTTATATGGTTTGTGTCTCTCTAAATTATAAAGGGGAGAGTAATTGCAATAGGTAGGTTAAACGGCAACAGCAAGAAGTGGTAGCTACTACAAGCTTGAAAAAGGGAAGGAGGCCAGGCATGGTGGCTCACGCTTAAAATCCTAAGCTTTAGGAGGCTGAGGCAGGCAGATTGCTTGAGCCCAGGAGCTCGAGACCAGTCTGGGCAACATGGTGAAACTCCATCTCTACAAAAAATGCAAAAATTGGCTGGGCCCAGGAGGCTGAGGCAGGGGCATCGATTGAGTCTGGGAGGTCGAGGCTGCAGTGAGCCATGATCACACCAGTGAACCCCAGCCTGGGCGACAGAGCAAGACACCATCTCAAAAAAAAAGAAAGAAAACGGGGAAAGAAACCGTAACACTGCGGATGGAGCTCAAAAAGTAAAGCTGCTTATATTAATTTCATATGAGGTCAAATGGTTTTAGATATTTTAATACACCCTGAGATCATTGAGGTGTATTAGAGTGTGGTAACTAATGTTGATAGGGCTATTCACATTACTGTGTTCAGTGTATTCATATGAAGGTAGTAAAGAATGTATTACATTTGACAAATTATACTCAGGGATTCAAAAGTTGGTTCCAGAATTTACTGAACTAATATTTTTGAGCATATATTGTCTTAGAGCAGTATATACATATGTCCTGGAAATGCTAGTGTGTCCATTAGCCTTTAAAAATAATATTAAAAATATATATCCTTATTTATGTAAATGAAATATGACAAATTTTTTGGCAATTTTTCAGTTTTTTGGAATTGTAAGTTTTCAAACTTTACATTGGGTTTGTTTTTATGCAAGGAAGGTCATTTTGATTGAGAAAAGTAAGAGCTTTTTTAAAATCAGCAAACTATGGACCATGGGCCAAATTTGACCCATTACCTAGTTTTGAAAGATCCGTCAGGTACAGATGGTTTTTATACTTTTAATTGGTTAAAAAAGATTTGTTTAGGCTCTAAGGATGTACTGCTACACTTGATTAAACTTCTGTCATATTTTCAGACATCAAAGTGTGTCTGTGAAAGAAAGTGGCTTTTGTCGGATTTTCTGATCTATTTGTGATGAGTGGCTATTTTATGTTTTATCATTACTTACTTAACAGTAATAACCTGTCACTTGGCCTGTCATATAGTAGACAATCCATCATTGGTTTAACGAGAGCTACAGGTTTTATTTACATAATAACAAGTTCTGGTATGTATAGCAGAAAGTTTCCTATTTGTGTATTTTTACAATTATTTATCAAACAGAGCCCCCCAAAAATGCCCTGAAATAAGACAAAAGCTAACCTATGTTTAGGCAACTTAGCTATATCATACTAACATTGAAACAGGGCTGTTTTTCTACCACTAATGATGTTTGGTTGTGTTCACATTCTCTCCTCTTCTTCTCTTCTCCCCATCCACATCAATAGGTGATTTTGTGGATAACTTGTGGAGTTATAAAACTTGATGCTTTGATCTGTGCTTGAGAGAGATTAATTTGCAGGATGTTTTACATAATTTAAGAAATATAAAATCACAAGTTGGATAGTTTTTAAAATCACCTTTACTGAAGTATAATTTATATACAATAAAGCATAAAGTTTGAATTTTGATAGTTGTGTTAATGACAGTCAAAACATAAAACATTTTCGGGCCAGGCGCGGTGGCTCATGCCTGTAATCCCAGCACTTTGGGAGGCCGAGGCGGGTGGATCATGAGGTCAGGAGATCGAGACCATCCTGGCTAACAAGGTGAAACCCCGTCTCTACTAAAAATACAAAAAAATTAGCCAGGCGCGGTGGCGGGCGCCTGTAGTCCCAGCTACTCGGGAGGCTGAGGCAGGAGAATGGCGTGAACCCAGGAAGCGGAGCTTGCAGTGAGCCGAGATTGCGCCACTGCAGTCCGCAGTCCGGCCTGGGCGACAGAGCGAGACTCCGTCTCAAAAAAAAAAAAAAAAAAAAAAACATTTTCAAAAATTTTCTCTTCCACCACTTGCAGTTAATTCCACCCCTCCTTCAAACTCCTGCCACAGGCAACTATTTATCTGCTTTCTGTCACTATACAATAATTCAACCATTTAAAAATTTCTTATAAGTGGAACCATACAGTATATGTTCTTTTGTGTCTAGCTTATTTCGCCCAGCTTGTTTTTGAGATTCATTGATGTTGCTGCCCATATTAGTAATTTATTTACTTATTGAGTAGTATTTTATTGTCTAAATATTCTACAGTTTATTCATTTGAATAATTGTACAGTTTATTTATTTGAATAAACTTGTCTGGGTTTTAGTTTGTTACTATTATGAATAAAGTAATGAGTATTCATATACAAGTCATTTTGGATATTAATGTTTATATTTATTTCTTTGGGTGAATACCTGAAATTGGAATTGCTGTGCTGTATGGTTAGGATGTGTTTAACATTTTAAGAAGCTGCCAAAATGATTTTTAAAGTGGTTGGATTGTTTTACCACTTTAATCAGCAGTTTAAAAAATTCCAGTTCTAAATCCTCAGCAATTCTTAGCATTGTTATTTTTTTTAAATATCAGGCATTTTATTAATGGGTATGTAATGGCATTTTCTCATTGTTTTTCTATGCTTTTCCCTTATCACTAGTGGTGTTTAATGCACTTATTAACTATTTGTATATCTTTTGTGAATTGTCTATTCAAATCTTTTGGCCAGTATTTAAAAATTCAGGTCTTTCTTGGCCGGGCTCAGTGGCTCATGCCTGTAATCCCAGCACATTGGGAGACTGAGGCGGGCAGATCACAAGGTCAGGAGATCGAGACCATCCTGGCTAACATGGTGAAACCCCATCTCTACTAAAAACACAAAAAAAATTATCCAGGCGTGCTGGCGGGCGCCTGTAGTCCCAGCTACTCGGGAGGCTGAGGCAGGAGAATGACGTGAACCTGGAAAGGCAGAGATTGCAGTGAGCCCAGATTGCACCACTGCACTCCAGCCTGGGCGATAGAGTGAGATGCCGTCTCCAAAAACAATAATAATAATAATCAGGTCTTTCTCTTGTTTAGTGATGAGAATTCCTTTTATATTATGGATATAAGTTCTTTGTCAGATACATGTGTTATCAGAATTTTCTTCCTTGCCTGTGGCTCATCTTTGTATTTTCTTAATAGTGTCTTTCAAGGAACATGAGTGATACTTAATTTTGATGAATTCCAGTTCATCCATTTTTAAAATTTTTCTATCCTGTAGAAATGTTTCTGCCCCGAAGATTTTTCTTCTATATTTTCTTCTATCATTGTAATAACTTTAGCTTTTACTTACAGGCTTATAATCTATTTCAAGTTATTTTTTATTTAGATTGTGAGGTAATGGTTTAGTTTCATTTTTTCTTTTTCTTTTTCTTTTTTTTATTTTGAGACGGAGTTTCACTCTTGCTGCCCAGGCTGGAGTTCAATGGCGTGATCACGGCTGACTGCAACCTCTGCCTCCGGGGTTCAAGTGATTCTCCTGCCTCAGCCACCTGAGTAGCTGGGATTACAGGCGCACGCCACCATGCCTAGTGAATTTTGTATTTTTAGTAGAGATAAGGTGTTTCCATGTTGGTCAGGCTGATCTCGAACTCCTGACCTCAGGTGATCTGCCCACCTCGGCCTCCCAAGTGCTGGGATTACAGGCGTGAGCCACCATGCCTAGCCGAGGTTCAGTTTTTTCCTGCCAGTATAGAGATACCCACTTGTTCCTAGCATCATTTGATCAAAAGATAACCTTTTCCTGTTGGCATCTTTGTTTAAAATGAATTGACTGTATATATGTGAGTCTACTTAACTGTCTGTTCTGTTGTATTGATCTGTATGTCTCTTTGTTTAAAATGAATTGACTGTATATATGTGAGTCTACTTAACTGTCTGTTCTGTTGTATTGATCTGTATGTCTCCTCTTAGGCCAGTACCATACTGTCATGATTACTGTAGTTTTATAACAAGGCTTGAAATTAGGTAATATAAGTTCTCCGTCTTTGTTACTCTTTTCAAAAGTTATACTGGCTAGTATAAGTCCCTTACATTTCCATGTACATTTTAGAACAGGAGCTCTTCTTTTTTTTCTTGCTGCAATGGTTTGAAGGGATTTATCTGGTAAAACTCACATTTTTTAAAATATTTTTCTTCAGTGTTTTTTACTACTTATTTTTATAAGAAACACAAAATGGGTTTCTGATTTTTTAAGTCTGCTGTGTTAACTGATATTTTGGGGACACATTTTTAAATATACATGATGAAATATTCTTCTAAACTGTAAATTTTTGCTCCACGTTAGTCCTTGGTAGGATTAAATGGTTTCTTTATATCATAGTTTTAAGGTTTCCTGATGAAACATCACAGCAGTGACATTACTGATTTAATATTGTGATCCTATTGGTTGCTTTGTAAATACTACCAGAGAACACAGAACTGAGAAATTAGATGTATTTTATTTTGCAGTTTCAAAAGTTAAGAATTGAAATTTTAGCTTCATATGATTCTCTGTTGAGTCTCTGTTGTACTTTTACTAAACACACATTTCAAAGTGTTTACTAAAAACATTTTAAAGAGGACAAAATGTCGTAGTAACTTTGGGGACAAAAATATATTTTCTTTTTCAGCTCTTGTTATTTTCTCTACTAGATGTTGTTCTGAATGAACAAAAGTTGATATTAAGTATATTGATTTTAAAGGGCATCTTTAAGTGCTTTAAGGAGAAAGACATTTTATCACAAAATAAACACTTGATATTCACAAAAGTTTTTCAGAATATAGTCTATCAGGTAGTGTATTTATTTGTTTTAGCTATTCAATGATAGCCAGAGGGAATAAGAAAGTAAATTTTTTTAAAGTAGTTGTTTTAAAGCAAGATCTTGAGGTTTTATGGAATTCAAACAAAATGAGCCACCTAATAAAAATAATAGAATAAAAATATGCATAGACTTTAAAATGTGGCTTCAATTTAGTGCCTATGGAATAAAGTCTGTCCATTAATTCAGAATAAGGTCAGCAATTATCTAGCAGGTTGCTATTAAAAAAACAGTTTAAGGTCAGCAAACTAATACCTGCGAGTCAAATTTCAACTCATTGCTTGACTTTGTAACAACTAAGAATATTTTTTACATTTGCAAAGGTTGAAAAAAAATACAAAGGATAATACTTTGTGACATGTGAAAATTCAGATTCTAGTGTTCATAAATGAAGTTTTGTTGGAACCACTGACGCTGTTCTGACATAAAATTAATAGATATCAATGGCTCACACCTGTAATCCTAGCACTTTGGGAGGCTGAGGCAGGTGGATCACGAGGTCAGGAGTTCGAGACCGGCCTGACTAACATGGTGAAACCCCGTCTCTACTAAAAATACAAAAATAAGCCAGGTGTGGTGGTGTGCACCTATAATCTCAGCTACTCAGGAGGCTGAGGCAGGAGAATCACTTGAACCCAGGAGGCAGAGGTTGCAGTGAGCTGAGATCACACCATCACAGTCCAGCCTGGGCAACAGAGTGAGACTCTGTCTCAAAAAAAAAAGAAAGAAAAAAGATTTTGCAAACTCCCTAACTACAAATTTTTAAAAAATTATAGTGTCTTAATTCTAATATAAAGGAGAAATAAAAGGAAAATAAGATGATTTTAATTTGTAAATACTTACCTATTCTGTATGGTTAAAATAAGGAGATGGTCAAATAATAATTTAATGACTCACTTGTTTTATTGCCATACAAAGATAATTTTTTTCTTAGGTTCACAATGCTTAAGAGGGAGAGAATAATGTGAACAAGTTTCATACAGAATACACTTGATAGATGAATTACATTAACCACATAGTGAGTGAGCTCCAAAATTATTAAAGTCTGGTTGCTCAATTAGGATGGAAGCAGGGCTCTGTGGAAAGTAAAGTTTAATTAAACATTAAAGTGTGCTTTTGTGTGAGCACAGCTGAGATCTGCAACCACCTGTAAGGTCCCTTGAAGTTAGAGGGCAGTGCTGGTGTTACAAAGCAAGGCTTCAAAGCTCCAATCCATGTCACAGTCTGAGCATTCAGTCTTCTGAGAAGTGGCTGACAGAGTGAAACTTGACACAGCCTAAGCTCTCAAAGTGTTGTCAAGCTCTTAGGTTTATATATGTTTGAAGTCCAGTAGTTGAAGTCAGTAACTCACATATGGGATCTGAGGAGGCGTGTTACCACATTCCAGAGGGGAGGAGAAGTTTCAGGTTCATATATGGGATCTGATAAGAGGTCACATTCTTTTTTTTTTTTTTTTTTATTGATCATTCTTGGGTGTTTCTCGCAGAGGGGGATTTGGCAGGGTCATAGGACAATAGTGGAGGGAAGGTCAGCAGATAAACAAGTGAACAAAGGTCTCTGGTTTTCCTAGGCAGAGGACCCTGCGGCCTTCCGCAGTGTTTTTGTCCCTGGGTACTTGAGATTAGGGAGTGGTGATGACTCTTAATGAGCATGCTGCCTTCAATCATCTGTTTAACAAAGCACATCTTGCACCGCCCTTAATCCATTTAACCCTGAGTGGACACAGCACATGTTTCAGAGAGCACAGGGTTGGGGGTAAGGTCACAGATCAACAGGATAAGAATTTTTCTTAGTACAGAGCAAAATGAAAAGTCTCCCATGTCTACTTCTTTCTACACAGACACAGCAACCATCCGATTTCTCAATCTTTTCCCCACCTTTCCCCCTTTTCTATTCCACAAAACCGCCATTGTCATCATGGCCCGTTCTCAATGAGCTGTTGGGTACACCTCCCAGACGGGGTGGTGGCCGGGCAGAGGGGCTCCTCACTTCCCAGAAGGGGCGGCTGGGCAGGGGCTGACCCCCCCCCTCCCTACCGGGCGGGGCGGCTGGCCGGGCGGGGGCTGACCCCCCCCCCACCCCACCTCCCTCCCGACGGGGTGGCTGGCCGGGCGGGGGCTGACCTCCCCACCTCCCTCCCGGCCGGGGCGGCTGCCGGGCGGAGGGCCTCCTCACTTCTCAGACGGGGCGGCTGCCGGGCGGAGGGGCTCCTCACCTCTCAGACGGGGCGGCCAGGCAGAGACGCTCCTCATATCCCAGAAGGGGCGGCGGGGCAGAGGTGCTCCCCACATCTCAGAGGATGGGCGGCCGGGCAGAGACGCTCCTCACTTCCTAGATGGGATGGCGGCGGGGAAGAGGCGCTCCTTACTTCCCAGACTGGGCAGCCAGGCAGAGGGGCTCCTCACATCCCAGACGATGGGCGGCCAGGCAGAGACGCTCCTCACTTCCCAGATGGGGTGGCAGCCGGGCAGAGGCTGCAATCTCGGCACTTTGGGAGGCCAAGGCAGGCTGCTGGGAGGTGGAGGTTGTAGCGAGCCGAGATCACGCCACTGCACTCCAGCCTGGGCACCATTGAGCACTGAGTGAACGAGACTCCGTCTGCAATCCCGGCACCTCGGGAGGCCGAGGCTGGCGGATCACTCGCGGTTAGGAGCTGGAGACCAGCCCGGCCAACACAGCGAAACCCCGTCTCCACCAAAAAAATACGAAAACCAATCAGGCGTGGCGGCGCGCGCCTGCAATCGCAGGCACTCGGCAGGCTGAGGCAGGAGAATCAGGCAGGGGGGTTGCAGTGAGCCGAGATGGCAGCAGTACAGTTCAGCTTCCGCTCGGCATCAGAGGGAGATCGTGGAAAGAGAGGGAGAGGGAATCCGTGGGGAGAGGGAGAGGGAGAGGGAGAGGTCACATTCTTGAAGTGGGGAGGGAATACACTCTTAAGTTCTTATTATAGCAAAGCATATCACTCATGTAGCAAACTATATAAATGTTTAGAATCATTTCGGAGCTACATAGCAGGTATACCTGCATTAGACAATATAATGGATAATAAGATTCTTACACCTACTTATAATTAGTAAGTTTGGAATGTTCAGCAAATATTGGAAACGCAGGGGTAGTTTGTCTTTCTATGTAAAATGGATTTCATTTCTATGCTCAGTTAATTATAGGATTTTCATTTGCATAAGGATGAGAAGTATAAATATTTTTGGAGGTATAACGTAGATTGTGAGACAGTGAATATGATGAGTAGGATTGGAAGAGTAAGGGCAAAAATAACTTTATCCTTTGCTCAGAGTAGAAACTTAGTAGATACATTGAATCCTTTATTTCTTTCTGTAGTAATTAATAAAGTGTTTGTAGTCACTAGACAGAAATACTACAATTCCCATTTAGGAGAATAACACAGAAAACAAAAGAAAGAAATCAGATGGTCAAATACTTTAATTAAAAATGTGATTGAAACAATATATATCACAAAATAAGATGACAGATACAAAAGTAAACGTGATTGATAAATTTAAATAGGCTAAACTTCCTGGCAATAAGAAAATATTTTTATAGTAGATTATAACATAAACCACAAATCAGTGCTTGTATAGACGAGTTCTGAAAACTTCAAACTGTGAAAGTTGAAAGTAAGGTTTAATTCAGGCTAGAAAGCATTAGATCAATCTCTCTTTGTCTTACACACACACACACACGCCCCATTATAATGATCAAAGTTCAGTCTGCACTGAAGTTTAAGTCTAATTGTAAGTATCTTTATATATTAAAAAATCCCTGTGTTAACTGTAAGACAAAATAAACACATTTAGTGGTATGAGACTTTAAATTAAATCAGATCTTAGTCCATGACAGATTAAGTGCACAAAAAATAAATGTTAATAAAACTGTAGAAGCCCTAAATAACATAATTAACAAACTAGAACACATATACAAACATTTATAAAGAATATACCTTCTTTTAAATTGTCCATGGAACATCAGAAAATGTAAAGAATCTAGATCATATACCAAATCTCAAATTACAGAAAATAAAAATTAACATTTTCTGATCACAACACAGTAAGATCAAACATTTATTACAAACTTAGAAAACAGGAAAAATATACCACACGGAAATTTAATAGCTTTTTTGGCAACGCTGGGATCAAAATGGAAATCAAACCAGTATGATGAAATTTCTGTGTATCAGAACTTATGGGACATAGCTAAAAGTGCCCAGAATAAAACTCCTTACTCTAAAGGAATTAACCTACTCAAAAAGGAATTAACTGAAAAAGTAATGATAAATAAGATGATATAAAACAATTTAATTAAACAACCAAGCAAAGAAATTAGAGAAAGAACAAAGTAAACCTAAATAAAATAGAAGGAAATTAAATAAATATAAAAATAAGAATACATTATGAAAAAACAATTACTAAATCAATTCATGAGCTTTTAAAAACAAAAGATGAAAATTGTTAGTCAACCTAATCAGGTAAACCTGGAAGAAATTACTAGATGTTTGGCAGGGGATTCAGAAACTCAATTTTGGACGGGTTAACTATGCCTATCAGGTTAAAATTGGAGCTGTCAACTAGACATGAGGCAGTAGTGTAGAGAGAGGTCTGGTTTGGGAGACAAACACTTGATAGTCATCAGTGTACTATATAGATTGAAAGTCATGAGACTATATGAGATCACCAAAGAAATCCAGGAAGATAAAAAGATGGTGAGGTACAAGAGCTTAGCTTAGCTCTGAGATGCTTTTGTTTTGTTTTGTTTATTTTTTGAGATGGAGTTTCACTTTTGTTGCCCAGGCTGGAGTTCAGTGGTGCGATCTCGGCTTACTGCAACCTCCTCTTCCCGGGTTTAAGCGATTCTCCTGCCTCAGCCTCCTGAGTAGCTGGGATTACAGGTGCCTGCCACCATGCACAGCTAATTTTTTGTATTTTTGGTAGAGGCTGGATTTCATCGTGTTGGCCAGGCTGGTCTCAAAGTCCTGACCTCAGGTTATCCACCTGTCTCGGCCTCCCGAAGTGATGGGATTACAGGCTTGAGCCACTGCACCCAGCCTGGGATGCTTTATTATCAAAGTGAAGATGAGGAGGAATGACCAAAGTAGACTGTGATGGAGTTGTCAGTAAGGTAGGAGAAAAATCACTCTATTGTGGAAGAGAGAGTGATCATCAATGTCAGCTATTGTTGATATTTAAGGAAGGTCAGAATTCGGAGTTGACTGCTCTGTTTAGCAACTTAGAGGTCATTATTGACCTTCATACAGCATTTTCAGAGGTGGAGGTAAAAGCTTGATTCCAGTGAGTTAAAGAGAACGAGAGGAGAGGTTATGGAAAACTTTTTTTTGTAAAGTTATGGTATTAGGAAAGCAATAGGATAGTAGCTAAAATAGATATAGGAATATAAGAGGTATTTTGTTTTGTTTTTTACTTGAAAAGGAAGAAAAACATGGAAGCCTTATGGAAAAGATCCAGGATAGATGGAAAAATTGATTGATACAGGAGAGAGGAGGGAAATTTAGGAAACAATCCTTGAGTAGGTAAGCAAGGATGGGACTTACCGCACAAGTATAAATGTTGGTTACATCTAGGAGCACATCGTTCGGAATGACAAGAAAGACCACAGAATATATCAAAATATGTTGGTATAAATACTGATAAGTGGAGGATGTGGTTAGTGGGAGCCTTTGGAAAGTATATCTCCTTGTTCTTTTTATATTTTTCAGTAAACTTAAAAACAGAGTAATTTGGCCGGGTGCAGTGGGTCATTCCTGTAATCCCAGCACTTTGGGAGGCTGAGACGGACAGATCACCTGAGGTCAGGAGTTTGAAACCAGTCTGGCCAACATGGTGAAACCCTGTCTCTACTAAAAATACAAAAATTAGCTGGGCATGGTGGTGCACGCCTGTAATCCCAGCTACTTGGGAGGCTGAGGCAGGAGAATCAGTTTGAACCTGGGAGGCGGAGGTTGCAGTGAGCCGAGATCATGCCCACTGCACCCCAGCCTGGGTGACAGAGTGAGGCACCATCTCAAAAAAAAAAAAAAAAGAATAATTTGCTGAGAGTGATTATGAAGGTATGGGAAATTTGTGAAGAGTAAGAGAAATTATTTAACTTCTTTCAAGAGTGAGTGGATGAGGGTAGTTTCCTGTGAAGTTAGTGTTAAGTGCCTCCTTAAGGATCACTATACCTTAAGGATAGTGATCATGAATTTAAAATGAGACCAGAGAACATGGTTGCATGTTTTTTCTCTAACCATATTCAAGTCTGCCAGTTCAAATGTAGAGTGAGTAGAGAAATTTAACTAGGGTTAGTTTTGCCAGGGAGGTAAAGTACAAAAAATAAGAGAATGAAAATGGTAACAGAGTGCAAAGTTGTGTGAGGGAGTTATATTTACTGGCCATGTAATTTATGTTGGGAAAGAAGAAAGTAAATACATAACAGAGTGAGGAGCAGTGGGTGTAGGTTCCATAGATTTTTAGATCACAATGGCCTTGAAGGATTGTTGGAGACAAGGAATCAACTGGAAAGAATGGAAGTAGTTGTCAGAAAGTGTTATGTCATAAGGTGAAGGAGGGAGTGAAGTTATTGGTAATGAAAAAGTGTTTAGGGTGTGGTCATGGTTGTGTGAAGTGGAAGTGGGCAGAATAAAAGATCTTTGGAGAAGAGGAAGTCAAGAAAACTGATAGACCAGGATATTAATCATCTATATATAGTTATTAAAATAATTAACAATTAGGCAAGGAATAATTTTTAAGAAAATGACAGTGAGCTGAAAGTTAGAATTTCCAAGAACTCGTGGGTTGGTAGAGGAGCATCAAGGACACATATTGGGTGGTATATGTTACAGGAGATTTTGAGCTGGGAGGTTTCAGGGAGAAGAGAGAAAAATGACGAAGAAGCTATGTATAGTAAGCACACTGAATTTACTTCCAGGCCTATTTGAACATGGAATGTGGGAAGACTTTGAGGAAGCAGTATATTCAGGGGAGAGCTGGGTTTCACTTAGAATGAGAAAGCAAGGGGAGCATTTAGGGAAGAAATTGCAATTATTAATGGCTTATCTGGGTGGAGAGAGATTTAGCTTTTACTTAATAGAAAAGTGCACATATTTTTTGACCTAGCACTTCATATTCTAGGTGTATTTAAGAGTACTCTTGCTTATGTGTCAATTGACACATATAGAAGGGGTTTTTTTTTTCCCCAGCATTGTTTAACAGTGAAAGACTAGAAGTGAAATGTTCCTGGTTAAATAATTTGATACATCCAGGCAATGTAAATCTGTGCAACCATTGGAGACAAAAATGAGGTTGCTCTCATATGTGCTGATATGAAATGATGGTCAAAATACTATGGCATGAGGGGGAGAAAAGCAAGTGCAAATCAGTATATATGATGTCATCTCATATGTTTAATTGAAAAAAACCAAATACGTGTATGCGTGTTTATGCATAGGAAACTAGTAAGATGCACAAGTTGAAATTATTGGTTGCCTACAGAGAGGGCAATTGGGTACTTATTTGGCAAGAGTGGGAGGGAGGCTTGCTTTTTTTCTGTATACTTTTTGAACCATTGCCTACATAAATTTTTTTAATGAAATATGTTCTAAGAAAACACTCAAGCCACATTTTGAAGGATCTTCAGTAATAGTTGGAGTCTGAATTTTACATAGTAGTAAATGGGGAGAATTATATGAATAGAGCTGTGTGTTTGGAAATTTATCCTAATTCAGTCTTTAAAATCGATTGGAAGAGGGAAATTTCAGGAGTAGGAGTCTTGATAAGGAGGCTGTTTCAGTAGCCCAGGCCCAATATATACTTCTGTGAATTTCTCAAATACAGTCCTGCATTGCTTAACGATGGAAATACATTCTGAAAAATGTGTCATTAGGCAATTTTTGTTGTGCAAACATCATGGAGTGTACTTAGACATGTAGGTGATATAGTATAGCCTCTTGCTCCTAGACTGCAAACCTACATAGCGTGTTACTGTACTGAATGCTGTAGGTAGCTTTAACACAATGGTATTTGTGTATCTAAATGTAGGATATACCAGATAGAAACTGGTACACGTGTATAGGGCACTTACCATTAATGGACTGGAAGTTACTCTGGGTGAGTCAGTGAGTGAGTGGTGAATGAATGTAAAGGCCTAGGATATTACTGTATATTACTGTAGACTTTATAAACATTGCACACTTTGGCTAGCTAAATTTATCTAAATTTTTTTCTTCAATAATTAACCTTAGCTTACTGTAACCTTTTTATTTTATAACTTAAAAATTTTTTTTTGACTTTGTGATTTTTTTGCAATAACCCTTGGCTAAAAACACACATTGAACAACTATACAAAAATATATCCTTTCTTCATACCCTTTTCTATTTAAAATTTAATTTTAATTTTTTTTATTTGTTTGTTAAAATCTGAGACACAAACACATGTATTAGCCTAGGCCTACATACGGTCACGGTCAACAGAATCACTGTGATCTCTTCCACATCTTGTCTCACTGGAAGGTCTTCAGTGCCAGTAACACACATGGAGCTGTCATCTCCTATGATAAGATCTTCTGGAATACCTCCTGAAGGACCTGCCTGCGGCTGCTTTACAGTTTGTTTGTTTTTTTTTAAAATAAGTAGAAGATATACACTAAAGTAATGATAAATGTATAGTATAGTAAATACACAAACCATTAACAGTTGTTTATTTTCAAGTATATGTACTGTACATTAATTGTGTGTGCTGTACTTTTATACAACTGGCAGCATGGTAGGTTTGTTCACACCATCTTCTCCACAAACCTGAGAATCGTGTTGTTGCACTGCAAGTCATTAAGTTAGGAATTGTTCAGCTTCATTATAATTTGTGGGAACATAAGATGTCCTTAAATAGCACATAACTGTAATGTGTTTTTTTTAACATCTTGGTTTTTTCAGCAGCTATGTTAGTATCCAGCAGATAACTGGCACTCTGGACATTTGATGGCTGAAAATATTCACGGTTCATTCTTTTCTTCGAATGAGCCCCAATAATCATTGCCTCCTGAATTCCTCTATCAATATTTTGTCCTATCATTTGACATTTGCATATATTGTCTGTAATCTCTTCTACTAATTATAAAACCGGTGAGGCTACCTTATTCTTTTTTTTATCCCTTTGTGTTTAAATTGTTGCACAGGCTGAATTATGTGTTATTATCACTATATATAATGTAATGTATATTATTATTCTGTGTTATTATTCTTATTTTGCCTGTGTATATGTTCATTGAAGACCAGCTCATTTGTTCTAATTGAAATTGCAAGTTTGCATGATGATTGAGAGCATAGACTCTGGAACCAGTTGCTTAAATTTGAATTATCTGGTGTATCCGTGGACAAATTACTTAACATTAGTATACCTCAGTTTCTTTATACAGTGGAGATTTGAAGCTTGTATAATTTATGTAAGGTGGTTAAAACAATGCTTGACACATCTCAAGTGTTATGTATGTTATGGAAGTTTCAAGTAGTATTGATTGGAAGAAAGTTGAGTAACATCAATTCTTAATTTACTTTACTTGTGTTTGTATTTTTTTAAAGATCTGCTCATCACTTTTCGTTAAAATGGCCAGTTTCTAAACGTATATTTTGTTTCCTTAAAGTTTTAGTTACCTGCTCTTGAGGCACACTATCATGGTAATGAATGAGAATGAGACCTTTGACAACTGCTCTTACTTTATATTTTAATTTGATATAAGTTGGGCTCTAGCATCCAGGGACACTAATCCACCATGTTTGTTAATACTTATAATTGCAAAAAGATATGAGAGACATTGGAAACACTGACAAAATTCACTGCTTGGGCTTATTGACGGCTTTCATTGCTTTGTGCCGCATTGTACTGGCAGTATGCATTAATCAGCTGTCCTGTGCAGTTTCTTGCCTTGCTGCTTAATCACTTGACTAATGACATTTTTGACAAAGAATACAGCTAGTTTCCTACAGCTGAATTACGTATTTCAGCTGTTGATATAAATCACTCTTTTAACAGTTGAAATGTTTCAAAATGTGAAAGAAAAATGCAATTTATGTCCCCAGAAACACGATTTTTCAAAAGTATACTTGTATGTTGAAATTAAAAACAAATTCTGTGAAATTGAATTTGTCATGCAGTAAATTTTTATAAATCTCTTGTTTTAATTATTACTGCTGACAGTGGATGGCAGAAATGAACGTTGTATAGCAGTAGTAAGACTTAAAGTTTGTTTTTGAATTTAATTGCATAAGCAACATTTCAGTTAATTAGTTTACCTTTTATTTAGTCTCAGCCTAACTAGTCACTGTTTAACTTTTGAAGTACTTTTGCTTGGGTTATCAGATTTCATAATAAAAGTAGTTGAAATATCATACTGTTAATATAAGAGGTCATCTGTTTTGTATTAGTTCTAGAAAGCTTTCTGCACCTGAAAATTACAGTGTTCATTTCAGTTAGTTCATGATCTGTTTTTAGAATCTCATTATGTTCATGTTTGAGAATATATATGATTAAATATGTCAGAGATAGGGAGCAAATGTTTCAGTATCTAGAAGTCCTTAAATCCTGAGTCTTAGTGATGTGGAAGTTCTTCCACTAAAAAAGGTGGTTTGAGGGGGGGGACCTGTTTGTCTTTCTTTCCCTTTTAATCAAAATTTTCTAGAAATAATATTATTCTTTATACTTTTTGATTAATATTTCTATTAAAATCTATTTTTACAGTATAAAAGGATCTTGTTACCCCCAAAATATTTTTAAAAACATACTCTACAGGTTCTTGATACCTTAATATATTAAAAACAAAACATAACCAAAATGTAAGAAAATAATAGCAATGAAATCAAAACAAAAAGTTAACTTTTTAATATGAGAGTTAAGAGTTAGCTAATGTCACTAAATAATAACATGTAGAAAAAAGAGAGAGAGCTGTCTTGAATAACAGGATACCAGCAGAAGAAATAATAGACATATTTAGGTCATCATCTTAATTCTTTTTTTTTTTTTTTTTTTTTTTTTGAGACGGAGTCTCGCTCTGTTGCCCAGGCCGGACTGCGGACTGCAATGGCGCAATCTCGGCTCACTGCAAGCTCCGCTTCCTGGGTTCACGCCATTCTCCTGCCTCAGCCTCCCGAGTAGCTGGGACTACAGGCGCCCGCCACCGCGCCTGGCTAA
Source organism: Homo sapiens (assembly GCF_000001405.40). NCBI lineage: Eukaryota > Metazoa > Chordata > Mammalia > Primates > Hominidae > Homo > Homo sapiens. Next base: position 176,049,022 of record NC_000001.11, on the reverse strand, counting down.
TTTTTTGTATTTTCAGTAGAGACGGGGTTTCACCTTGTTAGCCAGGATGGTCTCGATCTCCTGACCTCATGATCCACCCGCCTCGGCCTCCCAAAGTGCTGGGATTACAGGCGTGAGCCACCGCGCCCGGCCCTTAATTCTTTTGACAGCATTTTTACTTATGTGTCAGTTTTCTCCCTGTAATGTATTTAAGCTATTATTTTGATAGGTTAGTGTTTAAACGTATTATATATGTTAAAACTAATAGTTTAGTAATGGCATACTTTTACTGGCACAACATTGGAATGGTGTTGATTAGCTATGTATATGAGTAGGCGGAGAAAAAGTATTTAGTGATAACTAGTTCACTTGAAGTCTCAGCTATACCAAAACCTCCTAAATTAAAAACAGGATTTCAGTTCTGATAATAACTCTGTCCTTTACCAGATAAAGTAGTATTTCTCCTTCAGTGACATGAGACTATGGGTATAAATTGAGTTGGGATAGATGAATAGTTGTCATCATTATAGTTATGGTGCATTAAAATCCACATGGCAGCAAGTAGTAGCTGAGGCAGCAGTTCAATTGAGGTTGTACAAATAAATCTACTGCATTGCTATAGTATCATACTTTACTGGAGGGAACATTTGCTGAATTGTGCCCTAGTCAGTGACACTTAACTGAATAAATTTTTTTTTTAAATTGGCTGGGCACCATGTCTGACGCCTGAAATCTGTAATCCCAGCACTTTGGGAGGCTGAGGTGGGAGGATTGCTTGAGCCCTGGAGTTCAAGACCAGCCCAGGCGACATAGTGAGACCCCATCTCTGTAAAAAAAAAAAAAAAAAAGAATTTTAATTCTTTAAAAAATTATATAAAATTAAGGAAGCATTTAAAGCTGTAAAGAAAAGTGGGCGTATCAATGTGTGTCTTTAAGGGAAATAGTCCTTGTTGTTGTTGTAGTTGTTTTTTAAGACAGGGTCTTGCTGTGTCACCCAGGCTGGAGTGCAGTGGCACAGTCATGGCTTACTGCAGCTTCAAATTCCTGGGTTCAAGCAGTCCTCCCACCTCAGCCTCCCAAGTCTCTGGAGACAAGAACCCATCACTATGCCTCACTAATTGTTTCATTTTTTTGTAGCGATCGGGTCTCACTATGTTGCCAGGCTGGTCTCAAACTCCTGGACTCAAGGGATCCTCCCACCTCGGTCTCTCAGAGTGCTGGGATTGCAGGCATGAGCCACCGAACCCAGCCTGAAATATTCTTAATGTGTCTTTTTCTTACTTACCATCATCAGTTCAGCAAGCTTCTTAATAAATCATTAATCATTAACTGTTCTGTGAATGGATATTAAGAAAATGGATGTTTGTATTTTTGTATGTAGGTGTTTGTATTTTGTGCATTAAATGAATGCTTAATAGATACAGAGCACTAGCTAGGCATTTTGAGAGAAGAAACACACATACATAGATATTGAAGATACATTCATACACATAGATTTTAAACCTTTAAACCTTTAGCCTTTACACTTTGAGTTTTACATTAAGAGCTTTGATCTGTAATAAAGCATAGTAATTATTAGCACCAGCTCTGAAACCAGACTACCTTGTGTTTGAATCCCACCTCAGCCACTTACAGATTGACTAACTTTGGGCAATTTACCTCACCTCTAATCTTCATTTTCTCATCTGTAAAATGTAGATAATAATAATACATATATCACAGGTTGTTATGAGGACTAAATGAGGTAATACATGCAAAATGTTTTAGTAAGTGAATGATTAATGAATATTAGGTATTATTGTGTAATTAATTGTAGATCAGTGAGAATTCTTATCGCTAAACCTCTAGAAAAGATGCTTAAATCATATTGAGGAATAATGTATGTGATGATTCATTTCAACTTTTACTACCTTTGGGCTAATTAGATTTCCAGCTGGTTATGTAACAACTGTGTTTAGGCTGCAAGTTCTGTAAAAGCGAGTATGATCTTGTACTTGCTTTCAAATAGCTTGTTTTGGAGCTTATATAAAAATGATCAGCAAGAGAGGAGTGAATAACGCTGAAGGAAAGGAGATTATTTATTTATTTATTTATTTAACCTCTTTTGTGATATGAGGAATGTGTATTGGGGTTTTATAATTCAGAGAGATATTTGGGGAGGGGGATTAGGTATGGATTTGGGGAAAAGTAATGATAATTCAGTGGTTCTGTTATATGTATTCCATCCCCTTGTCATCACCCAATTGCTTCAGTAATTCAAATTATATACTAATTTATTTATTAAAAATAAAATTTAATATTGTGAAATTCTACTACCTCCACAAAATGGCAGGGAAATAAGTAGAATGTATGGAAAAATTAGTTGATAATTGTCTTTTGGCATACTTTTAGTATATCAAATGATTCACGCCATTAAATCTTTCTCAGTAAGCTGTAATATGGTTATTAGAACTGAATGAAAAGCATGTCAGGTGTCTTGGAACAAAAGTACACCTGTGCACAATTGTGTAGATATACAAATGTATATATTAAAAGTTTTATATTACACAAATCTCAACAACTTTTAATTTGATATGTGTTGATTACTTAATCTGGATATGAGGTCTAGTACAATTTGAAGGTATTTAAAGTAGATCTTTTATCCTTGTAGACCGAATTACTTTAGAAATAGAAAATAGCAAATTCTGAAATGTTGTCATTACATACTTTTTCCCCTTAGTATTGAATTTGACCGGGATTGTGACTATTTTGCGATTGCTGGAGTTACAAAGAAGATTAAAGTCTATGAATATGACACTGTCATCCAGGATGCAGTGGATATTCATTACCCTGAGAATGAAATGACCTGCAATTCGAAAATCAGGTATTTACATTATTTTCTTGACATGATGCAGTATAGATGTAACAATTTGCATATGTAATTATCATGAGATTATTTTACCTTTGCATGACACTTTTTACTCATGGTGAACACTATTATTGTACTATGTATACAGAGTATATATTATTACTTATATCATCTTTCTTACAGATATTGGTTGCTTTTTTCTTGTGAGGTTAGCCTTTTTTTTTTTTCTGGTTGCCAAATTAAAGTTCTTCTTTCACTTAATCAAATAAAGGTCTTTGTTGGACATGGTTGTTGGAGACTCTATGGAGTACTGAATGAGGATTAATGTAGCTTATGAATAGTATTTGAACATCAGGAATTTTTCCCCTAGCCTGCACATATCTCAACATATTAGAATTGTTTCTAGTTTTAAGAATTTTTTTTACAAGAATATTCTGCTTTTCACTGAAGGAATGGTGTTTATGTTTTCTGTATTAGAGATTATACTTTATAAGCAGTGCTTTTCAAACCTAAAATACTCTTAAACACTAACAGTATGTTAAGACTCTACTCCTGATCTGCTCCCCAAAAAATCTCAGAAGAATTCTAGAATCTGCTTTTTTTTTTTTTTTTTTCCTTCTAAACAAGCTTCCCAAGCTGTTCTCATGAGCACTGGCTTTAAAAGAGAATTATATGAGGAAATCATCTAATAATAACTTTGTATAGAACTTTGAACATTTTCAAAATAGCCATCCTTGAACCTTTTTTATCTTTAATGAATGGCATACATAGTATGTTTGTTACAGTCTTTGTATAATTTATTTGTTATAACTTTCTTTTTTCTAGTTCATTTATAAAAATACTATATCGATAATTGGTGAGCTTCCCCATTCATTTGTGGCACTCATCATTGAGAATCTGTTATAGTTTATGTCCTAAGTGAAGAGGATATAACATGAATTAGATACAAGTTTATTGAATTCTTATATATCAGGCATTATCCTAAGTGCTTGGTCTTTAGCAGACCTATGAAATAGTTACCATTATTGCTCCATTTTATACAAAGAAAGCTGAGCACAGGAAGGTAAATAACCTGCCTAAGATTATACACCTGCTATATAGAGGAGCCAGGATTCAGACTGAAGTAGTTTGGTTCTAGAGTCTGTGCCCTTAAACATTTCCTGCTCCTTATTTATAAAATGGAGGTCACAATAGTAATACTTATTTAATAGGATTGTACTTTTAAAAAATCCCCATAATGCACTCAGAACAACACTTGGCCCATGGCAAGTACTCATAATATATTACATAATGAAAACGTGGATTAGAAAGTTTAAATGTGCTGTCTACCTGTTCTGTATTTGTATGTGTAAAAATGTGCAATACTTCCTGATATATTGGAATAAATGGTGAAAGCGCTCAAGGCTGAAAGCTGTGGGCCTGGGGCTGAAAGGATCAATACCTAAGGATGCCTAAAATAGATTCGGAGCACATCTACTGTGAAAGTGTACTAAATTAGCCAGAGCCACAGCTAATAAGTAACAGATCTGGAATTTGAACTCAAGTCTACCTAAATTCAAAATGTGTCTCTTAATTGTTCCAGATAATTTCTACCAGAAATTCTAATTAAGTATATTTAAAAATGCAAATAAACTCTTCCAGTCTCTGGAATTTAGCATCAATGCAACTAGTAGAAAGCAAAAGACCTTGTGTTCATGTCTTAGAAGTTACCTACATTAACTGCCTTCTAAGTAACTTCTTCCATAATATGCATTCCCTTTACTATATGCGTGATGCAGATATGTATCTCAGCAGAAGTTTTTAGATGTTGTAGACTTCTGGAGTACTTGAGAATAGCCAAAACCATAAATGATAAAAGTTTGATTCTAACTTTTAGATGCTTTTAATTGGAATTTTAGTCATAAGTTATAATTAGTCAAGTCAAGACTTTTGGGATGTAAATACAGAAACCCAATTCACTGTAGTTTATTTGGCTTATATGATTTGGCACAACTGGATCCAGGGGGTTAAACAGTCTCATCAGGTCTGTCATTCTGCCATGGTATGCCTTGAGCCCTCTGGATAGTATCACCTTCACTGATAGACATCGTTTCCTCATGTATCAAAGATGGCCAGTGATAGCTCTAGGCTCACATCCATCTTAACAGCTAGTGATCACAGTAAAAGGTGGTTAGGGTCATTACTTGTTAATTTTTATTTTTAAAATTTCAAAATTATTGGTATGTCTTTTCCCAGGTATGTTGTGGGCAGAATAATGATTGTGAACTGATAGAGACCATTTTAAAATAGTGCAAATCTTTCTGAACACATTAAAATTATTTTTATCCCATTGTTATTTATTTTTATGTAAAGTAACTTTTAACTGTATTTCTTTCAGCTGTATCAGTTGGAGTAGTTACCATAAGAACCTGTTAGCTAGCAGTGATTATGAAGGCACTGTTATTTTATGGGATGGATTCACAGGACAGAGGTCAAAGGTCTATCAGGTAAATAAGGGTACTAGTTACATGTTATATGAATCATACATTTGGTTTGTTAAAACTTTTAGAACTTCATGTGCCTTATAATTACAGATTTGAAGTCACTATTTAGTATTTTTTATACCTGTGTAACACCTATGCAATACCAAATGCTTTTTTTTCCTGTCTCCCACTTTTGGTACCATATGCTTTTCCAAAGCATTTCTTCAGACTTCGGTCTTTATGGAATGTATCAGGTAAATTTCTAAAAGCAATAATTTTGGTAAATGTATAAAAAGTTTTGGAAGTACTTTATATCAACATCTTATTTGCTTTTCATTTGTTTTCTAGCCTGTTGTCTTTCCCTCTCCCCGTAACAATAAATTGATATCAGGTTTTTTTTTTTCTTGCTTTATTCATTTTGAGATCTGTATTCTATCTGAGGCTACTGTCTTCTTTCTGCTTCCAGGAGCATGAGAAGAGGTGTTGGAGTGTTGACTTTAATTTGATGGATCCTAAACTCTTGGCTTCAGGTTCTGATGATGCAAAAGGTACTGTTTGAATCTCTTTCTCAGCACCTCCTTCTCCCTGGCCCTCTTAACTGTAATTCCTTTCATCGGCAGAAATACAAATATTTACTCAAACTCATGTCAGTCCTTTGTGATTACTGATTATTATTATTCCCCATGTTGTTTTGTTTTGTTTTTTGAGATGGAATCTCACTCTGTCACCCAGGCTGGAGTACAGTGGCACAATTGTGGCTCAGTGCAACCTCTGCCTCCCGGGTTCAAGCGATTCTCCTGCCTCACCCTCCCGAGTAGCTGGAGTTACAGCCACGTGCCACCATGCCTGGCTAATTTTTATATTTTTGGTAGAGATGGGGTTTCAACATGTTAGCCAGACTGGTATCAAACTCCTGACCTCAAGTGATCTGCCTTGCTGCCTCGGCCTCTCAAAGTGCTGGGATTACAGATGTGAGCCACTTTTTTTTTTTTTTTTTTTTTTTGAGATAGAGTTTCACTGTGTCGCCCAGGCTGGAGTGCAGTGGCGCAGTCTCGGCTCACTGCAACCTCCACCTCCTGCGTTCAAGCAATTCTCCTACCTCAGCCTCCCATGTAACTGGGATTATAGGTGTGTACCACCACACTTGGCTAGTTTTTTTTTTTTTTTTTTTGAGACGGATTCTCGCTCTGCTGCCCAGGCTGGAGTGCAGTGGGGTGATCTCGGCTCACTGCAACCTCCGCCTCCCAGGTTCAAGCGATTCTCCTGCCTCACCCTCCCGAGTGGCTGGGATTACAGCCACCCACCACCATGCCTGGCTAATTTTTTGTATTTTTGGTAGAGGTGGAGTTTCACCATGTTAGCCAGACTGGTATCAAACTGACCTCAAGTGATCTGCCCTGCTGCCTCGGCCTCTGAAAGTGCTGGGATTACAGACATGAGCCACCTTTTTTTTTTTTTTTTTTGAGATAGAGTTTCGCTGTGTCGCCCAGGCTGGAGTGCAGTGGCGCAATCTCGGCTCACTGCAACCTCCACCTCCCGGGTTCAAGTGATTCTCCTGCCTCCACCTCCCATTTAGCTGGGATTATAGGTGTGCACCGCCACACTCGGCTAATTTTTTTTTTGAGACGTAATCTCGCTCTGCTGCCCAGACTGGAGTACAGTGGGGCAATCTCCGCTCACTGCAACCTCTGCCTCCCAGGTTCAAGCGATTCTTTTGCCTCAGCCTCCTGAGTAGCTGGGCCTACAGGCACGTGCCACCATGTCCGGCTAATTTTTGTATTTTTAGTAGAGATAGGGTTTTACCATATTGGCCAGGCTGGTCTCGAACTCCTGACCTCATGACCTGCCTGCCTCAACCTCCCAAAGTGCTAGGATTACAGATGTGAGCCACTGCACCTGGCTTCACCCAGTTAATTTTTTAAAAATTTTTAGTAGAGATGGGGTTTCACCGTGCTGGCCAGGCTGGTCTCGAACTCCTGACCTCCAGTGATCTACCCACCTCGACTTCCCAAAGTGCTGGAATTACCGGTGTGAGCCACCATGCCCGGCCTACTGTTTATTTTTTTAAAAATCCAAGCAGGGGCCGGGCGTGGTAGCTCATGCTTGTAATCCCAGCACTTTGTTTGGGAGATTGAGGCGGGTGGATCACTTGAGGCCAGAAGTTTGAGAACAGCCTGGCCAATGTGGTGAAACCCTGTCTCTACTAAAAATACAAAAATTAGCCAGGTGTGGTGGTGCAGGCCTGTGGTCCTAGCTACTGAGGGTGGCTGAAGCACAAGAATTGTTCGAACCTAGGAGGCAGAGGTTGTAGTGATTCCAGGTCTCGCCATTGCACTACAGCCTGGATGACAGAGCGAGACTCTGTCTCAAAAAAAAAAAAGAAAAAAAGAAAAAAAATCCAAGTAGAGAAATTGATTTCTCTTCTTGAGTGAATGAAAAATGAATGTACTGCATCCTTATTCTAATGATGTTTTTAGATTCATTCCACATGGAGACATTTAGAAATTGCTGCTATCTTATAACCAAGTCCTTTAGATAGATATACCACCAAATAACCTTTTTTTCCTGGAAATATTTAGAAATCTCTATGTGCTGCATTGTATTTAATTTCTATTGTATACTAAAATCTCTTAACGAAGTTCATCATATATCAAGGCAAAATTCTACATCACTTTTTGCCAATTTAATTGACCTTTTTTTTCTGTTTCTTGTATATCCATCTTTACTATTCACTGTTTTCTGTTTTTCCTTAATGTGCTGTTTTGGTCTGGTTCTTCTCACCATTAAGTGTATAAAGCTATGTTAACAGATTTATTTTATCTTAACATTACTACCCTTAATTTCTTTGCCTTTTTCTTCTTTTCTGCCTATAACTTTCAGTATTGTTTTGATAGGCAAGGATAGCTCTAGCATTGGAAGCTTTATTTCGCATCATGTTATGCCTTTCCCTTTGGCCTTTTAATACATAAAAGAAATGAAATAATGGAGCACAGTCTATTCTGTAAAAAGGGAAACAAACAAGAGTGGACTGCCCCTAAAAAGTTTTGGGCCATAGAGTAGCAAGTTGTTTATTCCTACTATATACAGAATGGAATACCTTTTTTCCTTGATTTAAGAACTCGTCAGCCAGGCATGGTGACTCACACCTGTAATCCCAGCAATTTTGGAGGCTGAGGCAGGAGGATGGCTTGAGGTCAGAAGTTTGAGACCAGCCTGCATGAGACCCTGTCTCTACAAAAAATTTTAAAAATTACCTGGGCGTGGTGGTGCGCACAGGTAGTCTCAGCGCTTGGGAAACTGGGGCAGGAGGATCTCTTGAGCCCAATAATTCAAGGTTACAGTGAGTGAGGATTGTGCCACACTGTACTCCAGCTTGGATGACAGAGCAAGACCCCATCTCAGAAAAGAAAGAGAAGGAGGGAAAAGGGGGTGGTACAGAGAGGGAGAAGGAGAGAGAGAGGAAGGGAGGTGAGAAAAAGAGGGAAGAGAGAGAAGAAAGAGCAAGAAAGTAAAGAAAGAAAAATTGTCCTTGAATTTCTAAATTAGTGAGAGTACCATGTTACAATAGATATATTTATTTTAGTTTTTTTATAGTGTTCTTTAATGCACAAAATTGTTTTCATTTTGAAGAAGTCCAGTTGGTGAGTTTATTTTTTCTTGTGTTGTCTGTGCCTTTGGTGTCATATCCAAGAAATCATTGCCAAATCCAGTGTCATGAAGGTTTTCCCGTAAGTTTTCTTCTAAGAGTTTTTAACTTTTTAATTTTTGTTTTTAAAGATTTTTTATAGTTTTAAGCTCCTATATTTATGTCTTTGATCCATTTTGAGTTAATTTTTGTAATATGATGTTAACGATCCACCTTTATTCTTTTATCTGTGGATATTTCATTTTTCCATCATCACTTGTTGAAAAAACTGTCCTTTCCCTATTGAATGGTCTGGCACCCTTGTCAAAAATTATTTGACCATATATGCAAGAGTTTATCTTTAGTCTTTCTCTGCTCTTCTGTTGGTTTATATGTCAATACCACACTGTAAGGCTGTTTTGAAATCAGAAATTTTAAGTCCTCCATCTTTGTTCTTTTTCAAGATTGTTTCAGTTATTTGGGATCTCTTGAAATTCTATATGAATTTTAAGGTAATTTTTTTTTTTTCTGTAAAACATTCTTTGAGGTTTTGGTAAGGATTGAATTGAGCCTTATTGATGTTACTGATCTTTTCAAACCACCAACTTTTGTTTCATTGATTTTTCTCATGTGGTTTCTTGTTTTCATTCATCTATTTTTGCTCTAGTTTTTTTTTTCCCTGCTTACTTTAGATTTAACTTGCTCTTATTTTCCTAGTTTTCTAAAGCAGAAGCTTACATTATTGATTTTAGATCTTCTAATATATGTATTCAGTGCTATGAATTTCCCTTTTATGTAGTGCTTTTGATTCATCCTGCAAATTTTGATAAATTGTATTTTTATTTTCACTTAGTTCTGAATATTTTAAATTTCCCCTGAGATTCCTTTTTTGATGTATGTGTTACTTAGAATTATTTGGGAATTTTTCAGCTATTTTTCTGTTACTGATTTCTAGTTTAATTCCACTGTGATCTAACAGATACAATGTATGATCTCCAGTCTCGTAAATTAACATGTTAAGATGTGTTTTATGGCCCCAGAATGTGGTGTGTCCTCCTAAAAGTTCCATATGAGCCTGAGAATAATGTGTATTCTACTGTTAGTGAAAGAAATAATCTGTAGATGTCAGTTACATCCAGTTGTTTGATGGTACCATTCAGTTTAGCTGTTTCATTGCTCATTTTCTGATTGTTGGATCTGTCCATTTCTGATAAAGGGATGTGTATGGGCCTGTTTTTAGACTCTGCATTGATCTGTGTATCTATCTTTTTCTTTTCTTTTTTTTTTTTTTGAGATGGAGTCTAGCTCTGTTGCTCAGGCTGGAGTGCAATGATATGATCTTGGCTCACCACAACCTCCGCCTCCCGGGTTCAAGCGATTCTCCTGCCTCAGCCTCCTGAGTAGCTGGGATTACAGGCGCACGCCACCACACGTGGCTGATTTTTGTATTTTTAGTAGAGATGGCATTTCACCATATTGGTCAGGCTGGTCTCGAACTCTTGACCTTGTGATCTGCCCGCCTTGGCCTCCCAAAGTGCTGGGATTACAGGCATGAGCCACCATGCCCAGCCCTATCTCTTCTTTTACTTGTACCATGTTGTCTTGATTTGTAGCTTGTAATAAGTCTGAAATCAAGTAGTAAGTCCTTCATCCTTGTTTTTGAAAATGATTTTTAACTCTTCTATTTCCTTTGCCTTTTCATATACATTTTAGAATCAAGTTGCTAGTACCTACATAAAATCCTGCTGAGATTTTGATTGCCATTGTATTCAATCTATAGATCAATTTGGGAAAAATTAAAATCTTAATATACTGAGTCTTCTAGTCCATGAACATGGTTTATCTCTCCATATGTAGGGCTTTTATGATTTCTTTTCTCATAGTTTTGTCATTTTCAGCATGCAAGTTTCGCAGGTATTTTATTTTTTGGTGCTAATGAAAATGGTATTTTTAAAAATTTCATTCTTACTAGTTTATAGAAATACAGTTGATATTTAAAATATAAACATTGTGCCAATGTACTTGCTAAAGTCACTGTAGGTATAGATTACTTTTTCAGATTCCTTGGGATTTTCTACATAGCCAATTACGTCATCTGCAAATAGAAACATAAATACTTTTTCATTTTCAACTGTATGCCTTTCTTTCCCGTTCCTGCCTTGCTTTTTTGTACTGGCAAGGACTTCAGTATAATGGTAAATAGGAATGACAACAGTGAACCTTTCTTGCTTTGTTCCTGATGTTAGGGGGAAATCTTGCAGCTTTTCATCACTTAATATACTGACTAAATTAGGCTTTTAGTAGGCACCTGTGTCAATTTAAAGACGTTCTTTTCCATTCCCTTGTTTGCTGAGAATTTTTATCATGATGGATATTGAATTTTGTTAAATACTTTTTATGCACGTATCATCATGTAGTTTCTCTTTATTAATATTATGAATTATAGTCATTGACTTTCAAAACTTGAATTAGCCATACATTCCCAGGATAAACATGAATGTATTATTCTTTTTCTGTATTTCTAGATTTGACTTGAGGTTTTTTTGTTTGTTTGTTTTTTTCAGAGGGTGAATTTTTTTGTTGTTTTTTTTCTGTTTTTGTAATTTTTCGTGACTTTGATATCAGGGTAATGCTGGCCTCATAAAATGATTTTCCTCTTCTATGTGCTATGTGTTTTTTTTTTTCTTATACTTTTTTTTTTTGAGACGGAGTCTTGCTCTGTCGCCCAGGCTGGAGTGAAGTGGCATGATCTCGGCTCACTGCAAGCTCCACCTCCCAGGTTCATGCCATTCTCCTGCCTCAGCATCCCGAGTAGCTGGGACTACGGGCACCCGCCACCATGCCTGGCTAATTTTTGTTTTTGTATTTTTAGTAGAGACGGGGTTTCACTGTGTTAGCCAGGACGGTCTCCATCTCCTGACCTCGTGATCCGCCTGCCTCGGCCTCCCAAAGTGCTGGGATTACAGGCTTGAGCCACTGCGCCTGGCCTATTCTTTTGTTCTTAAATGTTTGGTAGAATTTGTCAGTGAAGCTTTCTGGGCGTGTAGTTTTCTTTGTTTGAAGGTTTTAACTAAGAATTTAATTTCCTTAGTAGATTTCGAACTAATAAACTTATCTGTCTCTTCTTGAGTGTAATTTTTGACAGTTCATTTCCTTCAGGGAATCGATACATTTTATTTGTTACAAGATTTATGGGCATCAAAGTCCATAAAATGCTCCTCCACTTACAATGGGATTACAGTCCCAATAAGTCCATCATAAATTGAAAATGCATTTAATACTTCTAATCGTAGCTTAGCCTAACCTACCTTAAATGTGCTCAGAATATTTACATTGGCCTACAATTAAGCAAAATAACACAAAGACTTTTACAATACAATGTTGAATAATACAGGTAAGAATATCATACCACATATCACTAGCCTGGTGAAATATCAAAATTCAAAATTGGAAGTATGGTTCCTACTGAATGCACATTGCATTCTCACCATTGTAAAGTCAAAAAATCATAAGTTGAGCTATTTAAATTGGGGACTGTCTATATTTGTAATATACTCATATCTCTAGGGTTTGTAGCCATGCTTTTTTTTTTTTTTTTTTTGTTTTTTTGTTTTTTTCATTACCTCTGAGAAGCTGTGATGAAGTCATCTTCTGTCTTTTATTCCTGATAATTGGTATTTTGTGTCCTCTCGTTTATTTATTGTTTATTAATTTAGGTCAGCTTGGCATTAGGTTCTTAATCTTTTCAAATGCTCAACTTTTGGTTTTGTTGATTTTTCTGTAATTTTCTATTTTTAATTTCATAGATTTCTGCCCATTTTTCTTCTTGCTTTGGGTTTAATTTCCTCCCCTTTCTAGTTTTTTGAAGATTGAAGTTTATGTCATTTGATACTTCTGTCTTTTTAATCTGAACATTTTTTGTTATATACATTTCCCATTAAGCACTACTTTAGCAAATTTTGAAACAAATTTGAAACCAAGTTTTCATGACTATTTACTATTATATTTGCTATTATATTATTTTCATGACTAGTATATTTGCTTTTCCATTCTGTTTAAAATTCTGTTTGATTTCTCTTGTTATTCTCTTGTTCATCTATGGATTGTTTAAAGTATATTTAAATTTCCTTAAAATTTTCAGAAATCATTCTGTTGCTGATTTATAACTTAATCCTCTTATGGTTAAAGGATATATTTTACATAGTGTTAACTTTTTTAATTTGTTATTTGTTTTATGGTCCAGAATATGAACTACCTTGATAAATATTTCAAATGCATTGAAAAGAAACTGTACTATAAATGCTGTTTGGTGAGTGTTCTGTAAGTGTCAGATCAAAGTTGTTGCTACTGTATTTCTGATTTTCTGTATGCTTGCGTTTTTTTTTTTTTTTTTTTTTTGGTCTCGTTTTATTGATTATGAGACAGAAATGTTAAAGTCTGATTTTATTTCTCTGTTTAGTTACCTTTTTTGTGTTAAGTGTGTTTTTACCTGATATATTTTGAAACTATTGTTAAGGGCATAAATGTATTTGGGATTGTTATGTCTTGGTGGACTGAATCATTTGTTAATATATAATATCACTATCCCTGTCAATATTCCTCTGAAAACTACTTTGTCACATACTTATCAAACTACTGCTAGTAATCTCTTTTTCCTCTCCTCTGGGATTTTAATTATGTTAGTGTATTAGACCCTTTCGTTCTGTCTCATAGACCTCATATTCTTTTTCTTGTCAATATTTTTTTCTCTTCAGGTTGGGTAATTTATATTGTTCTGTCTTCTAGCTCATGATTCCTTCATCTGTCATCTCCATTTTGCAAAAATTTTCATTTGATTCTTTTTAAAAAAAAAATAGTTTCTATATATTCTCTGAGTACTTCTATCTTTCCATTAATTTTAAGTTTGTTTATTTTTACCCCATGGAGTATAATTACAATAGTTGCTTTAAAATCTGTTTCATTTAATGTCTTGGGATCCAACATCTAAACCTTAGGACTGACCTTTGTTAATTGTGTTTTCCTTTGAAAATTCTTCACATTTTCTTGGGTTTTTGTATGTTGAATAATTTTGGGGTTGTCTCTTAGCCATTTTGAATATTATATTGTAAGATGTTGGGTCCTGTTTAAATTGTGTGGGAAATGTTGGTTTTTTGTTTGTTTCTTCATTTCTTAGTAGGTGATCAGTTGGCTTAGATTTAGACTGTAAGTTCTGTCTTGCTTTCCCTAGGTGATTGTTGCCTTGTCAAAGGAAACAATCAGTTCATTTCTCAGAGCTTTTGCTGTGGTACTTTGAGTCTGCCTAATGCCCATGCCAGTTAGAGCTTAGTTTAGGACTTGGGTCATCTTTTCAACTGTAGTTCAGTGCGCAAAGCATTTGCTGCTCTGCTTTGTGTCCATCTTGCACATACACAGCTCAGAAGTGACTGTGCCAGTGAATGCACAGAACTGTAGAATCTCCTTCTCCATTACTTTCTTTCCAGGTTTCTCCCCGACTCTTTATCTCCCAGGGCCCCCTTTTACTGATACTTTGTCAAGAAGGTTGGGTTGTTTCATTTTAGGAGACTTTAGTGCCCAGTCTACTGCTGAATTCTGTTAGTAGGGCCCACCACAAGGGCAAAGAAGCAAGAGAATAAATAAGAAAAATATAATGGGGATTCGCCTTTTTCATATTCGTTATATCACAGATGCTCCTTTTTATATACACAGAGTTTTACTCTGAGTATTAGCTTCTCATACTGCTGTAGCTCTGTGACTGAAGCCCACCCATGGGGAAAAGTTGGAGGAGAAAAAGAGTAAAAAGGAAAAAATTACTCCCAATCCCTGGTTTGCTGAAGTCATTAATAAACACAACAATTTTACTTAGTGTTTGTTGCTTGAGGTGCTGACTTTAGCTTGCCAAGGGAGAAGAGAGGGGGAAAAATGGTACTCTTCATCCCGAATTTCATTTAAGTTTAGAATTCTGTCCTGGAAATGACTGTTTTTGTTTACTTTTTCAGTTTCCTCATATAGTTGCTTTTGTTTTTTGGATATTGTCCAGAGTAAACTCAAAGTGAGAGAGATTGGCTTACTCTCTCAGCTTGGCAGTAAAAGTCTCAAATGCTTTTAAGCCCATCTTAAGAGTATTATTTAGTGTTACTTAAATGTATTTATTACTCTTGTCTGTTTGGCGATCATATAAAATATTGCCTTTGTGATAACTTTATAGTTAGAGAATATTTTAAATCACTTATTTTATACAAATATATTTTGCTTATTTTCTATATTTTGTATTTAGTAAATGTTTAACTGAGGAATTTTTTAAACAGCTATTTTTTTCATTGCTTAAATAAAAACTGAGTTCATATGAATATTTTTCCTACATATGCTGTATATTTTTAAAATAATTTAGTTCCAAGTATATATGCACGTAATTACATGTTAAAGAACCATCATTATGTGGCAGCTAATCAGAAAGGAATTTTATGAGTCATTTTAAAGGTTCTTTTGGAGAAATATATTTTCCTTTTTAAATATGTAACCTGAGAATTGTTTCCAATAAATAACCTTGCCTTTGAATTAAACACATTCTTTAAAGGTATTTTTCTTTAAATGTGAGTTTGAAGAATTTAGACTGTATGATAGCAGAAGTTACAGGTTCTTCTTCATTCCAGATTTCCTTAATATTATTATTATTATTATTTTGAGACAGAGTTTTGCTCTTGTTGCCCAGGCTGGAGTGCAATGGCACGATCTCAGCTCACTGCAGCCTCCACCACCCGGGTTCAAGCAGTTCTCCTGCCTCAGCCTCCCAAGTAGCTGGGGTTACAGGCATGTTCCCCCCACCCTCGCCCCGACAGCTGGCTAATTTTGTATTTTTTTAAATAGAGATGGGATTTCACCATGTTGGTCAGGCTGGTCTCCAACTCCTGATCTTAAGTGATCCACCCACCTCGGCCTCCCAAGGTGCTGGGATTACAGGCATGAGCCACCGCACCTGGCCCTTCATTCCAAATTTTCTTAGTTGCATAAGTTAATGCACAAGTGACAACTGTGAAGTCTTGGTAGATTTTAGAAATCAGTTAGTGAAACTCATGCTGATTGTAATGCTTCCAGTTTTTCATCAGCAGATTAAATAACTTAATAAATAGCATTATGATAACAGTTATTATAATTTATAACTTTAGAGGCAATTACCTTTCCTATAAGTTAAAGCTTTACTAAGTATATTCTCTCCTGAATTTAAATGAAATGTTAAAGACTTATGTTGATCAGCATCCATCATGGCCTCCAGGGATCTCTGCCTGCTAGTGTTCTTATGCTTGTGTAGTTCCCCTTCACCTACCTTGTTCCAGGCTTCATTTATGTGACCAGTAGATGTCTCTTCTAAAATTAGGTTATAAAAGACTCTGTAGCCTCTATCTTCATCATTTTCTCTCTTCGCAGTCGCTTGGTTTGGGAGAAACATCTGCGTTGTCACAAGCCCACATGGTGGGGAACTGAAGCCTTATGCCAAAAGTCATGTTGAGTGAGCTTGGAAGTGGTAGTTTAATAGTCTAGAGTCCTAGGAGGGACAGCTCAACTGCAGTGTGTTGAGACTGAGCCACAACTACCCAGCTTACCTGCTCTGAGATTCTTGACCTCCAAAACTGTGTGAGATAGTATATGTTTGCTGTTTTAAGTAGCTAAGCTTTAGGGCAGTTTGCTGTATGACAACGTCTAGCTACTAATACATGGTCTGTTGTTTCCCTTTGACAAAGTTTTTAAGAGTCCAGCTTATTTATATTTGGTAAACAGTATTAAAGTTTACATCTTTGTATTTAATCTTTCATACTTTTTATAGAGGTATAAAACAATACACATTGCCCCTGAGTTTTATGGTAGTTTTTGTTGAAATAGCACTCTCCCTTTTTACTCATATGGGTAACTTTCTGTTTTCTGTAGGACCTGGACAGTAGTTTAGAAGCGAGTCTGGAAGAATTCCATATGAAACTTACTCATATTTGCACATCCTCATTAAAGCATTGGGCTGTTTTACTGTGTCAAACTTCTGTCCCTGTTTTCTCTTTCTTTGGTAATGAATTCTTTCTTAGGATACTTTGGTGCAAATAGACATGCAGTAGGCGCTGTCAGAGAAACTCAGAAACATAAACCTTGCACACTGGAACTGAATCTGATGTTATTATAGATAAGCAATATCTTGTTCTCTATTTTTGGAAACAATTTTAGCAAACTACTTTGGGGAATGATTCACTCAAATTTTACAGATTATTAGATGATATACTTTATTCTGTAGTGTAGTTGGATTTTTTAAGATTCAGGATTTCAAAATCGAACTGAAAAATTAGGTGACACTTAGAAGACACTTTACACATTAACGTTAAAGAAATAAAACTTGTATAGAACACTTAGTGTTAAGTAACAAATTTATGGCCAACTAGAGTATGTTTCTTTATTTTAACCTCCTAATTATGGTATGATTTTCCTAATGGTTACTCTTTTGATTATTTACTGAGAGCCAAAGGAGGCCATATGTAAATAAATACAGTGTATTTTATTTGATTTAATTGCTTTAGCTCTTCACCTAGAAGATGATATTTTCTTTTAAATTTACTTTTTCTTTCGAAGGGAATTTTCGTCAATAAATTCTGAAATTTAAATTTTGGAAGTTAAATGAAATTCTTACTACCATCCTTGCAAGGAAAAAGTAACAGTAAAGGTGTTCTTATTAATTTGTATACTGTCTCCTTATTTTGAGGATCGCCTCATTTATATTTGGCTTAGTTTCTTCTCATACTTGATTTCTTCTACGCTTCCTCCAAAAGATTATACTATTTTATCTTTCGATCTGTGATGCCATCTTAGGATATTAAATAGATTTCAATATTATTTCATTATATTTGTTGTATTAGTTTTTTAGGGCTACCATAAGAAAGCATACCACAAACAGGCTGGCTTAAGACAACAGAAATTTGTTCTCTCATAGTACTGAAGACCAGAAGCCCAAAATTAGATTGTTGGCAGGGCCACACTCTCTGTGAAGGCTCTGGGGAAAAATTATTTCTTGTCTCCTTCCTAATTTCTGGTTATTGATGGTCATTCTTATTATTTATTGACTTGTAGCTGTATCATTCTGGTCTTGGCTCTCTTCACACATGGCCTTCTTCTCACTGTGCCTTTGTCTCTAAATCTCTCTCTCCTTATGAAGACACCAGTCAATGGATTTAGGACCCATCCTAATCTAGTCTGACGTAATTTTAACTTTGTTACATCTGCAAATACCCTATTTCCAAATAAGGTGATGTTCACAAGTACCTGGGGTTAGGACTGAAACATGTCTTTTTGGGGAACACAATTAACACCTGTTTTGTTTAATAACCACTGAAATTATTGTAATCTCTATACCGCTTTTCCATGCTGTATTCATTTAGTGTATCTTTATTTTTAATCTTAGTTACCCTTGTAGCTCAGACAGTTATATTGAATTCTAATATCTTATATATTGAAAATTATAATCATGGTGGTTAATGTTGTGACTTATTTAAATAATATTAATGATTACTGCATTGAGAAAATTACCATGAAATTACAAAAGACCTGCCACCCTTCTAACTTAACTGTCATTCTGTCAGTACTGTTTTTTTCTCACTTATATTTAATTAACGTTAAACAACGATACATAATGCTTGTTTGTAAAGGTTTTTAGTGATTATAAGTGGGGTTATGGGCACAGTAAGTGCTCCATACTTATCTATTGTGAATTACCTTTGGGCCTAGGCTGTTAGAGTATAATCCAGTCAAAGTCCACTTAATAATCTAATCTTTAAGTGCTATGTTCGGCATGTTGACTTTTAATTCCAGGGAGCCATCTCATCTTAGAATTGTATGTCGTGATTGACCAAATGATTGCATTTTGATTGAAATAGTACATCATGCTTATTGGAGAATAACATGGAACAAATCAAATATTGCTATTTAAAAATCTTACTCCATCTCTACTTTAAAAAAAATATATTAGCCAGGCGTGGTGGTGTGCATCTGTAGTCCCAGTTACTCAGGAGGCTGACATGGGAGGATCACTTGAATTCAGGAGTCCAAGGCTGCAGTGAGCTATGATCATACCAGTGCACTCCAGGATGGGTGGCAGAGTTTGAGACCTTGTCTCAAAAAATACTACTACTAATAATAATGATTCCTATTTTAATATTGAGGGTCTTAGTTTACTGTGGGAAGGCTAATAAATTTATCAGATTGTAAATTAGCAATATTTTTTGATAATGATTAATTTCTACTTGGAGATTTCACATATTAAATTCTTACGTAATCCCGTTTCATAGAAGTGGTATTTATTGGAACCAGTTTTACTTATTTTATTCACTGCTGTCTACAGGTTACTGTATCAGTATTTCTAAAAATATTCTAAGATTTTTTACTATGCTTCCATTCCCAATACTGGTTTCCAACCCCAAATGCATGTTAGAATCACCTGGAGAGCTTTTTTAAAAAACAACAGTACCTGGACCCTCTCTGGATAATGTCCTGGATGGGACACTGGGACAGATTGAAAGATGGATGGAAAGATTTTGTTGTTGTTGTTAATGTTCATTTATTTATTCTAATGTGCATCCAGGATGACAACTTATATACTGAAAATCTATTTTATGGGTGTATCCTGTCTTACTGTTTTTATTGTTGAAAAATGATATGATAGTTGCTCTGGTACCTTTGTAAAATGGCAACTCATTTTCTGCTTCTGCTTTCAAATCAGACCTATTTTGCTTAGTCAGCTTTGCTCTCCCTAATCATTACAAATTTTAATATATATCACTGGCTTAGACTACTTATTCAAATACAAAACCAAAATTTTGCAATTTAACTAAATAATTCTAGAATATATTACTTTAGACATATTTAAGTTGTATAACTGAATTACTACATAAAAATTTAAAATCATGAAATTCTTAATTGAAAGATAAAATAAGAACAGTTTCCAAGTGCTTTAAAGATGTTTGTGTACATTTTCATATTTATGATGTATATCAGTATACAGTCATATGCACACACATTTAACGAATAATTGGCTGGGCCCAGTGGCTCACATCTGTAATCTCAACATTTTGTGAGGCTGAGGTGGGCAGATTGCTTGAGCCCAGGAGTTTGAGACCAATCTCAGCAACGTGATGAAACCCTGTCTTTACAAAAAAAATAGAAAACAGGTAGCTAGGCCTGGTGACACACACCTAGCTACCCGGGAGGCTGAGTGGGGAGAATCACCTGAGCCTAGGAGGTAGAGGCTGCCTGAAGTGAGGCATGATTGTGCCACTGCACTCCAGCCTGAATGACAGAGTGAGGAGAACCTGTCTCAAAAATAATAATAATAATAAAAAGAATAATATATATAAAACTATATATATATATATATATATATATATATATGAAACAAATATACCACCTAGCTCCAGATTGCTTTTTTTGTTCCTGTCTTTTATGTCTTAGTTGTGGGTCTGTGTTACATCTGAGTATAAATTTATCGTTTATCTATATTGATTTTTCCTTTTTATTGATTTTTCTTTTTTTATTTCATTTCATTTCATTTTTTTTTTTTGGTGGCATGATCTCAGCTCACTGCAACCTCTGCCTCCTGGACTCAAGTGATTATTCCACCTCAGCTTCCTGAGTAGCCAGGACTACAGGCCTGCACCACCATGCCCAGCTAACTTTTGTATTTTTAGTAGAGGCAGGGTTTCACCATGTTGCCCACGCTAGTCTCTTAACTCCTGAGCTCAAGTGATCTGCTGCCTCAGCCTCCCAAAGTGCTGTGATTACAGTCATGAGCCACTGTGCCCGACCTTTTTATCTATATTGATTTTTGACATTGAAACTAAGCTCTCTTGGTTTTAATGTTATTCTGTTATTCAGTCATTCAGTGATATGGTTTGGCTGTGTCCCCACCCAGATCTCACCTTGAATTATGATAATCCCCATGTGTCAAGGATGGGGCCAGGTGGAGATAATTGAATCATAGCAGGTGGTTTCCCCCATACTGTTCTCGTGGTAATGAATAAGTCTCATGAGATCTGATGGTTTTATAAATGGGAGTTCCCCTGCACACGCTCTCTTGCCTGCCCCCAGGTAAGACATGACTTTGCTCCTCATTCACCTTCTGCCATTGTTGTGAGTCCTCCTCAGCCGTGTGGAACTGTGAGTCAATTAAACCTCTTTTTTTTTTTTTTAATAAATTACCCAGTTTCAGGTATCTTTTTATTAGCAGTGCGAGAACAGACAAATACATTCAGCTTTAACACTTTTAGTCCTAGTAAACCAAATGTTTTAGAGTGGCACAAAAAGATTTCTGGAGCAATAAGCCAACTTTCCCAAGTTACAGAAGCATTTACTAATGTATTACTTGTTTCTCTTTTTGTTTTTATTGTCCTTTGCCCTTAGTGAAGCTGTGGTCTACCAATCTAGACAACTCAGTGGCAAGCATTGAGGCAAAGGCTAATGTGTGCTGTGTTAAATTCAGCCCCTCTTCCAGATACCATTTGGCTTTCGGCTGTGCAGGTAAGAAATGAAAGCAGATTTGTCTTCCTTTGATGTTGGTTAAATATCATGGTAAGGATAGGAGAGCATTTTAAAACAAATAACTCTTTTGTAGGTTTAAATGTTGTTTTTATTATTAGGCTCTAAATTAGAAGTATACAGTATGCCATCATTACTCATTTAGTGCTGTACCTTAATTGCACTATTCTGTCACTTATCTTTAATACGTAGATATGAATTTGTTAATTTTTGTCATTTTTCTTAGTGTTTATATGCATGAATTAATGCTTATTACTTATTCACAAACATAAGGTCATAATAACATTTAAACAATTAAGCTATTATTAAGCTATATTGTATAGGCACAGGAACACTTTTTTTAAGGCAAACTATTCTTTCAACAATTATTTATTGAGTCCCTACTATGCACAAAGCACTCATCTAGGGACAGTGAATAAGACATAGTCTTGTATCATGGAGTTCATGCTAACATAGTATTCAAAAAATGTTTGCTATTATTATCATACCAAATAATCATTTGGTAAATTATTTTTCTTAACTAGGGTGACCATATGTCGGTGTTTGCCTGGGACAGTCCTAGTTCACACCGTTTGTACCATTGTATTTATTATTAGTGCCCTCTTTCATTCACAAAAGTGTCATGAGTTGGAAGGAAGATAAATCATATGGTCACCCTACCCTTAATTTT
Organism: Homo sapiens; assembly: GCF_000001405.40. Classification (NCBI taxonomy): domain Eukaryota; kingdom Metazoa; phylum Chordata; class Mammalia; order Primates; family Hominidae; genus Homo; species Homo sapiens. The sequence goes on along the minus strand of NC_000001.11, from coordinate 176,026,883 downwards.
TTTATCTTTCATATTTTCCCCCTTGAATATTTACTAAAATAGTAAATACTTGTAATTTGGCTTCTGAATGGTGAAGTCTTATTTTTTATTAATAATATCAGGGTTTTACAAAAAAAAATACAAGTTAGCACCATATGATGGAGACAGTAGCAACTTTTAAAAAAAGGAAATGCATAATTTAAACCATGTCACTATACTTTTTCCTTTTATTCAACTCACTGTGTCACTGGGCTACTGACATAATTTCATAGTTCAGTTTAAGGAGGACATGGACTAACAAGTAGATGTGGGTAAAATTCTCTTTTTTTTAGCATATAGAATTTATTTTTAATGATTACATGCTGTTTTCATTTGATCCTACTTCTGTCTTGTTTAAATACTTACTTTGTCACAAATTAGAAATGTGACCTTGAGCAAGTTCTTTAACTTTCTCCCAAGTTTTTTATCTGTAACATAGAGGTAGAGCTGTTTGGGGCTGTTATGAGGATTATGGAAAAAAGATTCTTTGTGTAAAGTTCTTATAGTTGTTATTTTTATTATTAATATTATGTATTCAATTAAAATATATACTCTTAGTTTATTGAGTTTGAGTGTATGTTCTGTTTTATAAACATACTGGCCATCATTTATGGATATAATATTTTATCAGTATTTAATTAATTTGTACCAATGCCAGATATGAATATTATCAAATTTTCTCCTTCTTGGAAAATAGGAACCTACTTTAAAAATGCTTCCGCTATCTGCTAGGCAGTTTTCCCCAGTATTATACATTTTCATACATTTCTTAGTTATTTTTCTCATTTAATTTTCCATGTAAGCTTTAAGATTTATAGTTTTCCAATTCTAGAAAAATTCTTTTGGGATTCTTATCAGACTTTCTTGTATTTATTTGCTGATTTTAGAACCATTGGCATTATTGTGATAGTATGTCTTTCCACAGTTACATTAGGTGTCTTTTTTATTTGTTTGGGTTTTCTTTTTTTTTGGTTTTTTTGTTTTTATGAGACAGGGTCACCCAGGTTGAGTACAGTGGCACGATCACAGCTCACTGCAGCCTGGTCCTCCCTGGCTCAAGTGATCCTCCAACCTCAGCCTCCCAAGTAGCTGGGACTACAGGCGTGCACCACCACACCTGGCTAATTTTTGTATTTTTCGTAGAGATGAGGTTTTGCCATGTTGCTCAGGCTGTTCTCAAACTCCTGGGCTCAAGCAGTCTGCCTACCTCAGCTTCCCAAAGTGCTGGGATCACTGCGCCCTGGCTATTGTTTGGGTTGTTTTCTGTCTTTCAATGAGATTTCATAATATACTTACTTTAGGTTCTGGACTTTTCTGGTCAATTTTTTTTCCTATATATGTTACCATTTTTGTTATTTTTAATAAAATTTTATTGTCCACTCTTTTTTTAGGTTTTTTTTTTTTTTGCTAAATGTAGACAAAACTTGTTCATATTTGGATATTTGTTTTGTATCTTGGGACCTTATAAATTTTTTACATTAAGTCTAGTAGCTTTTTAGTAGTGTTTGGGTTTTCTGTTTATACTTGATATCTGCCCAAAGCAGTAATTGCATTTCTTCTTTTCCAATGATTTATCACATTCTCTACCTCTAAGGCAGAGTTATACTAGTGATAGCATCCTCCCCCATCTATTTCATTTAGTTGAATGAGCTTTAGTGTTCTGCTGTTTAGAATATCTACTTTTGAAAAATATTTTATTATTCAAATTGTTTTACTTTACTGTTTCTTAATTAGAAGCAAAACAGTATTTTATCAAGTACCTTTTAGCACCAATTGGTGCTTATGCTTTTTCTAACACTGAATTGTATTTTTCTTGAATGAACCTTGCTTTGGCATAATGTAGAATTATTTTGATAAACTACTATATTTAATTGGTAATTTTAAATCCATATATTAAATTAGCCTATTATTCATTTTATCTTTTTTAACTATCTTTGCCATTTTTATCATCAATAGTTTTGTAATTTTCAGTGTAGAAGTCTTGAACTTCTTTTGTTAAATTTATCCTTATTTTGTTACTTTCATTTCTGTTGTGAATGGAATTGCTTTTAAATTTTATTTTTTGATTGTTTTGTTAATAGTGCACAGAAATACCATTGATTTTTATATATCTCTCTTGTATCTCTAACACTGCTTCTCTTTATTCTTGTTTTATTGTGGATTTCTTGGGGTTTTCTACACGTAGAATCATATCTGCAGTTGAACAATTTATGAATGCCATTTTGCTTTATTGTATTAGCTAGAAGATCAAGTACAATGTTAAATAGAAGTGGTAAAAGTATGAAAAACTTTTTATCATACGTGAAGAGCGTTTAGTCCTTCACAATTAAGTATGGTGTTGGCTGTGAGGTTTTTTGTAGATACTTTTTATCAGTTTGAGTAATTTTTTATCTGTTCCTAGTTTGCTAAGAGTTTTTGTTATGAATAGGTGTTAGATTTTGTCAGATGCTTTTTTTTTGCCTCTGTTGAGGTTGATTGTGAGGTTGATGTCCCATACTATAGTAATATGGGACAGTAATGTTACTATAATATTAAACCAGCTTTTCAAGTACTTTTGTGTCTGTGTTAGTAATGGATATTCATCCGTAGTTTTATACATTTATTTAGAGACAGTCTCACTCTGTCAGAGCCCAGGCTGGAGTGCAGTGGCACGATATTGGCTCACTGCAACCTCTGCCTCCCCGACTCAAGTGATTCTCGTGCCTCACCCTCCTGAGAAGCTGGGACTACGGGCACCAGCCACCACATCTGGCTAATTTTTTGTATTTCTAGTAGAGACAGGGTTTCACCATCTTGGCCAGGCTGGTCTCGAACTCCTGACCTCAAGTGATCTGCCTGCCTCGGCCTCCCAAAGTGCTTGGATTACAGGCATGAGCTACCATGCCCGGCCTGTAGTTTTCTTATGATGATATTTTCTGTCTTTGACAGCAAAGAGCTACTGGGTTTAAAGAGTGAGTTGGAAAGTGTTCATTCTGCGTTCTGAATGAGTTTGTGAAGAATTGGCATTATTTTCTTTAAATATTTGATAGAATTCATTAGAGAAACTGTCTGGGCTTGGATTATTCTTTTGGGGAAGATTTTAAATTCCTAATTCAATGTGTTTACTTTTTCTTTTCTTTTCTTTTCTTTTTTTTTTTTTTTTTTTTTGAGATGGAGTTTCACTCTTGTTGCCCAGGCTGGTGTGCAATGGCACGATCTCAGCTCACTGCAACCTCTACCTCCTGGGTTCAAGCAATTCTCCTGCCTCAGCCTCCCAAGTAGCTGGGATTACAGGCATATGCCACCACTCCCAGCTAATTTTGTATTTTTAGTAGAGATGGGGTTTCACCATGTTGGTCAGGCTGGTCTCAAACTCCTGACCTCAGGTGATCCACCCGCCTCAGCCTCCCAAAGTGCTGGGATTACAGGCGTGAGCCACCACGCCTGGCCTGTTTACTTTTTCTAGGTGAATTCATATTTTCTAAGTTTTCTAATTTATTGGCATAAAGTTGTTAATAACATTCCTTTATAATTCCTGTATTGTCAATAGTAATGTACCTAGTTTCATTCCACTATAATTATGTATTTTCTCATTTCTTTTTGGTAGGTGTAGCTAAACATTTGCTAGTTTCTTCACCGTATAATAGTGTGTGTGGAAAGGCTGTTGTAGTTCTTATTGTTGGAAGGTCTGTAGAATGATTCTGTAGGCTTGGCTTCCTGTAATGACTCTTAGCTCATCATCAGATAGGCCAGGAGAGCTGTTATTTCTCAGCTAGTGGCACTATTGAAATCAAGAACATGATGCCATTACTGTAATCACGGAATCAGGAATCCTTCACTACAACTCCCACAAAGCTAGAAACTAGACACTGGAACACTACAACAGAAAACCCCCACATCTCTACAATGGTGCTTGTAACAGAAACATTCAAAGCACAAGGAGAACGACCATAAAATGTTCACCTTTCAAATCTTAAATAAGTGCATCTGATTGATGGAATCTAATTCATGTCTAGAAGCATAAATGCAAGGGCATCTGAGCAATGTAGTTTTAACCTTGTATCTTGCATAGGTTGTAAACACTTTAAGATGGTGGAAATGGATGCTGAGGGCACATTGAGGTTAGGTATGAGCTAATTTTCCTCGGTCTGAAGCAGGGGATAGTATCAGCAAGGCATCAGTGAGGCCAATAGTGCTTAATTCATTGCCTTTCATTGTACCTTTCACTGACTGAAACATTCCTTTAATACAAGAAAAACTTTACAACTAGAAAACTGACCGATATTCAGTCATCTTCATTTAGAATTGAAACATTTTTTAAAATGTAGCCTGTCATCTAAATGTTTCTCTTTATGAAATAACACTGTTTCTTTAGCTGTATTGTTTAGTTTACCACTGAGAGCGATACAGAATCATACTCATGAAGTTGCTTATTAATAAATATCATTTGTGATGATGAATCTGACATTAGGAATGGGCTGTACTTTTCTTAAACATTGCTTTTGGAGTTTTGAGAGGTAGAAAATTAGTATATGAGCTACCCACCAATTATAGTTTGACTTCCTGTTGCAAGGGCACTGTGGATCCTACCAGGGAAGTGAGGCATCATGCTAATTGTAAGCTTCCCTGTCTGTCTTGCTTAGATCTTATATTTGTGCTTGTTACAATAAGTTTGTTTCTCTTTGTACTTTTATTTTGTTATTTTGTTCTTTCACCTTTTTCATACATATAAAAGACTTTACAAGTCCCAATATAGTTATCAAAGGAATAAATTAGAATGAAAACATATGTCTTCTGAGCTTTGTGTATGTAATAACATTGCCTCAAAATACATTAATTAAAATGAAAATGCTAAGATAATTCAAATTTCAGTATCTTAGGAGATTTTATAGATCTTTCTATGATAGAAAAGCAAAAATTAAAAGATAATAAAGATGTGAACACGAAAGTTAACAAGTATGTATATAGAAGATGGAATCTGTCAGCTAGAGAAATCCACGTTGTTTTCAATCAGACATAGATTATTTACTTAAAATGATTTTTTATGCTTCTCTTTTTCAATAAAGTCAAGCATTCATTCTGATCCCAATATATCAGACTTGGTTCTAAATGATTTTGACAGCTTCCCATAATGAATTTGTCTCTGAGGATATTCAAAGAAAGCAGCAGTAGTAGTGTTAAAGGGTCCCAGCTAGGCCTTTTCAGTTCTTTCCTATCATTGTTAATGTAGACAACCATTTCCCAGATTTTTGAGATAAATCAATTTATTTATTTGCAATATTTACATGCCTACATGGTTTTTTAAAGTTATTTTAATGTATTTTTAATGATTAAAAAATTATGTCCCGTATTTATTAGTCATTCATTACTTACCATTATTTGCATTTAATCCTTAAAGCAGAAGTGTACAAAAAAGAGATTAATGTAAAGCAAATCAATGAGGATTGAAGCAAATTAATTCTCTCAAAATAAATATGTAGTATCTTTAGATAATTTGGCACCTGCTGAGTTTGTACAATCTTAGCAAACTAGGCCATTTAGAGGAAATAATTCTGTACTACTTTTTGAGTGTGTTTTTTAATGCTTTTACTTCTGGTGTGGGCATGCTGGATTTTATATTTCTAAAAACCAATAAAATTTGGAAGGCATTGCCTCTAAATGTTACCTAAAAAATAGAAAACACAACCATAAATATGCCTAGTAATTAGCACATATTTTATTTCATAGAAACTGATTCCTGGCTGGACCTGGTGGCTCACACCTGGTAATCCCAACACTTTGGGAGGTTGAAGCAGGGGGATTGCTTGAGCCTTTGAGTCCAGGAGTTCAAGGTTATAGTGAGCTGTGATTGTGCCACTGCAGTCCATCCTGGGAAACAGAGCAAGACCATGTCTCTTAAAAAAAGAAAGAAGAAAGAAGCTGATTTCTAAGCAGGCAAAATGTAATATCAGTAATTTTTGCCCACAGCTTGTGCTTATTTAGTATTTTATAACTCATTGTAAATACTTTAGATTATGTGATTTATGTTTATTCCTTAGCTCATTACAGTAATATAGTGATAATACTGTGTTTTCTGCAAGTAATTACTTGTATATGATGCCTTTAGATGAATTCAAATAGTAAATCACCAAATTTTAAATTATTTGATACATATTTTCCTACATTTCCCAGTGATAAAGCCCACAATATAATTTCGTTGTTGTTGTTGTTGGGACAGAGTCTTGCTCTGATGCCTAGGCTGGAGTGCAGTGGCACAGTCTTGGATCACTGCAGCCTCCACCGCACAGGTAGAGCGATTCTCCTGCCTCAGCCTCCTGAGCAGCTGGGATTACAGGCATGCACTACCTCGCCTGGCTAATCTTTCTAGTTTTGCAGAGATGGGGTTTCACCATGTTGGCCAGGCTGGACTCGAACTTCTGACCTCAGGTGATCCACCTGCCTTGGCCTCCCAAAGTGCTGGTGTGAGCCACCATGCCCAGCCTTACAGTGTAATTTTTTTAGCCACTAATATCTATGTATAAACCATGTGCTGGGCCCTGTTAGTGAGTATGAAGGTTTTTTTTTTTTTTTTTTTCCGAGATGGAGTCTCACTTTGTCGCCCAGGCTGGAGGGCAATGGCGTGATCTTGGCTCACTGCAACTTCTGCCTCCCAAGTTCAAGCGATTCCCCTGCCTCAGCCTCCTGAGTACCTACAAATACAGGCATGCGCCACCATGCCTGGCTAATTTTTGTATTTTTAGTAGAGATGGGGTTTCGCCATGTTGGCCAGGCTGGTCTTGAACTCCTGACCTTGTGATCTGCCCAAAGTGCTGGGATTATAGACGTGAGCCACCATGCCTGGCCAAGTATGAAGTTTTAAACAGGATCTTTACCTTTGTCAGTCTAGTTTGAGAAATATCACGGAAGAATTAGGGCAACATATTTCTTCCTTCAGATAAAATTAAAATAAACAAATCATGAACATATATAAATAGATCATATTGGAAATAAATGTTTCCTGTAACGCCGTTAGTGATTTTTTTTTTGAGACAGGATTCTCCCTCTGTGGTCCAGGCTGCAATGCAGTGGTGTGGTCTTGGCTCACTGCAGCCTCTGCCTTCCAGGCTCAAGTGACTCTCCCGCCTCAGCCTCCCAAGTAGCTGAGACTACAGGAGCATGCTACGATGCCTGGCTAATGTTCATATTTTTTGGAAAAACGTATTTTCACTATGTTACCCAGGGTGGTCCTGGTTTCCTGGGCTCAGGCAATCTGCCTGCCTATGCTTCCCATGGTCCTGGGATTGCAGGTGTGAGCCACCGTGCCAGGCCCTGTTAGTGATGTTTTGATTTTTTTTTTTGTTATGATTTGGTGGTAGTAGTAGTGATGATGATGATGATGGTTATTATTATTATTATTATTATTATTATTATTATTATTATTATTTGAGATGGAGTCTTGCTCTGTTGCCCAGGCTGGAGTGCAGTGGCATGGTCTCAGCTCACTGCAACCTCCGCCTCCCAGGTTCAAGTGATTCTCCTGCCTCAGCCTCCTGAGTAGCTGGGACTACAAGCGCACACCACCATGCTCAGCTAATTTTTGTATTTTTAGTAGAGACGGGGTTTCACCACATTTGTCAGGCTTATCGCGAACTCCTGACCTCGTGATCCGCCCGCCTCGGCCTCCCAAAGTGCTGGGATTACAGGTGTGAACCACCACACCCGGCCATGATTTATTTTTTTAAAAAGTCTATTCTCGCTCTGTTGCCCAAGCTGGAGTGCAGTGGTGCAATCTCAGCTCACTGCAGCGTCTGCCTCCCAGGTTCAAGCGATTCTCGTGCCTCAGCCTTCCAAGTAGCTGGGACCACAGGTGTGTACCACCATGTCTGGCTAATTTTTTTATTTGTAGTAGGGACAGAGTTTCACCACGTTGGCCAGGCTCGTCTTGAACTCCTGACCTCAAGTGATCCACTTGCCTCGGCCTCCCAAAGTGCTGGGATTACAGGCGTGAACCACCTTGTCTGGCCTGGAATTAAGCATTAAAAATTCTTCACTCTGTGGTCCAGGCTGGAGTGCAGTGGTGTGATCTTGGTTCACTGCAGTCTCTGCCTTCCAGACTCAAGTGATTCTCCCGCCTCAGCCTCCCAAGTAGCTGGGACTACAGGAGCGTGCCACGATGCCTGGCTAATGTTCATATTTAATATGGACATTAATATTAATATACCTTTTTCAGCAAAAAGAGATAAACTTAGTATGGATAAAATAAATGAAATTATTTTTTCCCTATTGATAAACAGAATCAGTTCTTTTCAAATTATGTATTTTTTATGTTCCTCAAGGATTGAGAGTAGGAAAAGATGGCTCAAGCAGACAGGGAGAAAAAAAGAGTAAAAAGGGTTCTGATTCCTACTTGTGCTTTAAGCTGAGCAGCTCTTCTTTAATCTGTTTTATATCATAGGGTTTCAAATAAATTAGGTGAGGGAGGACTGGGTTTTTTAATGTTTCTGCTACTCTTTCTTAACTGAGACTTCTTTTTAATTGTGGGAAAATGTACATAATATAACTGAGACTTCCTTAAAAATTGTATTAAGTTTTTAAAAATTGTCTTAATTATTTTAAATTACTGACAATTGTGGTTTAATCTAATGTGCAGATAAGTAATTGCTACTTCTTTGACTCTAGGAGAATATCACAATTGCTTGTATATCTATTGTGGATTGGTAAGGGTTGGAGAGATTATTCACAAAGTAAAGGGTAAATAATAATAGCTAACATTAGTGCATCTTTAAGGTTTTATTCAGGTTGGAAACCAGGGCCAACTGTATGTGATAGAAAATAGGAAGTGATATCTTCTAATTCCTCCTCAAATCATGAACAAAGATCTGACAACTAAATTGAGAGCAGGCGTTAAGGGGAAATACTTCTAAAGTATTCCATGTGTGTTTGTGTAACGGATACTTAGCTTGCTCTCTCTTTTGTCAAAGAGTAGCTTTCTTTCAGTTCTCTAAAACAGTATAGTGAGATACCATCAAAGGCTTAAAGGAAGTAAAAAATGGTTTAAGTATTGCTATTAAAATTAATAATGAGTCTGGGCACAGTGGCTCACACCTCTAATCCCAGCACTTTGGGAGGCCGAGGTGGGCAGATCACTTGAGGTTAGGAGTTCGAGCCCAGCCTGGCCAACATGGCGAAACTTCATCTCTACTAAAAATATAAAAATTAACCAGGTGTGGTGGCGCATGCCTGTGGTCCCAGCTACTTGGGTGGCTGAGGCATGACAATAGCTTGAACCCAGGAGGCGGAGGTTTTAGTGAGCCATGATCACACCACTGCACTTTAGCCTGGGTGACAGAGCAAGACTTTGTCTCAAAAAAATAAATAAAAATAAAAGTAATGATATCTGTATGAGATAAATATTAGTAACCAGTGGACCTGTGTATGTTTAAATGGTCAAAATTTATTTCCCGCCTAAGAAAAACCTAGCAGGGATTTTCCCGACTTTTCTTCCCACCCCAGTCCTGTCGCAGTATCCAAAAGCTAGGGCATTGAGGACTTTTATAAACTCTCAAGCATCTGAGAAGCCTAAAGAAATTCAGGATTTTTGAAATTGAGTTTGATGTCTGATTGGCCGTATTACATATGAGTCTTCCTTTATGTCTTATTGCTTTTTGGCACACAGTCTAGACTGATTGTGTCCCAATCTGTATTTTAAAACGTTGCCTCATTAATAATAGTCATTTTATGCTTTCTTTACTAAAGGTAGTGAAATATTCATTGAACATTTAATAAGATATTCCTTTATCTATTTCACCTGATCATTTTAACGTATTGATGATTGCCTTATCAATGGTGGAAATGTCTCTGGTTCTGTTTTTTGTTTTTTACAGTAATCCTACAGGAAAATTATTTGTTGTACTAGAAATTATTCTGTAATATTTACAGAAATAAAGAGTTAGTGCATACTTTTGATTAGCTTCAACACTTAAGATGTTAGGAATTGATACACCCCTTAAACATTTACCTAATGTGTTCCTAGACTGGCAGTTTCTTTGTCTGTTTATTTCAGATAAAACAATGAAACAATGAATGCTGATTTAAGTAGATAAATTTTTTTGTTTATTTACCTTTGTTTTATCACCTGGATTGATACTTACCTGTAATTTTTTTTTTTAAAAAAAGAGTCATTCATAAAAATGGACATGTAAACACAATAAAAGTGTATTACAAATTCCATACAAAATAGTTTTTGAATGGAAATAGAATTACATGTACCTGGCATCTCTGTTCCGTCTGCATTTTAAATGTGCAGTTTCCCCTAACTCAGAGAGGGAGGGAAAGAGAGAGAGACAGAGAAGGAGAAGAAAGAGCTCCTCCTTAACTCCAGCTTCTCATTCCTCTGAAGTCTGGTTTCTGCTCCTACCCTTACATAGAAATTCTTCTCACTAAGATCAGTAGCAGCCTCATGTCACTAAATTCAAGCCCTTATTTCATTTGATCTCTCAGTAGTAGTCAACACTGTTGACCACTCACTTCTGGAAAAACTTTCCTCGCTTGGATTCTAAAACAACACCCTCTGGTTTTTTTTCACCTCTCCCATCTATAGTTCTCAGTTGTCTTTTCTTTGAAATGTTGGTATTCTTTGATACTCTGTTCTCTTGTCACTCTCTAAATTCCCCATGGGTTATTTTATCCATTTAGTTATTGTGTTTAAATAGCAGACTCCTGAATAGTTATCTCAATTCCACTCTTAGCTAAAAAAAACTCCAGACATTTCTATTCTACTTACTGGAAATTCCTACCTCAGTATTCATTGCCACCTCAAACTTAACATCCAGAACTCAATTTTTCTTTTGCAAACCCATTACTTTATCTTCTTTTTTGTTAATTTTCCTGTTGATGCAGTGGTCCAAGCCATGTATCTCATTCTTCACGTTAAATTGAAGCATGTGTGTTCTACTTACTAAATGTCATCCTCTTTTTAAAAAAATCATATTACAGAAGAATTTTCCTTTTTCTGGCTCCTTTTCTACCATTCACATTGTAGCCCACTTCACCAAGGCTTCTGCCACCATAATTCCACTTAAAAGTGTTCTTGTCATCATCACCAAATTACCTCCATATTACTAAATTAATTGATCTAGTCTGTTCTTTTTCATTACTATTTAATATAATTGACCACTCCTCTATTTCTTCCATCCTTCTCTTCTCTTTGTTGCTTTCCCTGCAGTCATATCCAGCTTAGGCAGGAATTGAGTTATCTCTAGTTCAAGCCATTACTGTAACCAGGCAGCTTAACTTCAAAATTCATTTTAAAACTTTTTTTTCCTCCTTGGTTATCAAGATATAACCTTGAGGCACACATTGTACTCAGCTCAATTATTGTATGTCTTCCTTATCAAGTTTTCCCTTTTTAAATCCCTGCCTTCCCCTCAAAAATTGAAGTGGTTATTTTGGATAGGAATCTGACCCCTTCCCTTTACTTTTGGTTAATAAAGTGTCTGTCTTTCTACCAGACCTTGTCGTTGTTAATTGGACTCTGCAAACTGCAACGATTCGGACCTGCATTTGGTTACATTACCTTTACCACTGGAGTAACCTCTTGCCTGAATACTCAGCTCTTCTCTACTTGTTTCCCTTCAGTTTGTTCTACAGACAGCAGCAGGGATAATATTCTTTCAGATAAATTTATCCTGCGTTCCTGCTTTGATCTCTTTCAAACTTCTCTAGATTCATCCTACATTATTTCATGCTGCTCTCACTGTGCTGCTTCTCTGCTTTAGACATTCTTCCCCTGGCTCTTACCACAGCCAGTGCACACTCTTCAGTCTCATCTTAAACATCATCTCCTCAAAGAAGCCTATTGAAAACCCTCTGTCAAGGAGACTCACCCAGTCATTACCTTTCCTCTCTGTCTCATTGTTATCACTTGATCTATATTTTATTTATTACATAATTGTTTTTGTCTGACTTTAATACTTGAATGTAAGCACACAGAAAAGCAGGGACTTTTCTTGTTCATTATTGTATCCCCCACAATGTCCCTTACAACTGCGCATAATAGATTTTCAATAAATACATGTATTTAAAATATTAGTACTAACAGACATATATTAGTACTAATATAGTGTGTATATATGTATAGTGTACATATATATGTATGTATACATACACACACATTGGTTTTTGCCTAATTTTTTTGCAAAAGTTTTCGGAATACAAAGCCAACATAGAGTTTTGATTTCAGGTTGTAAGCTTCTTAAATTCAGAGAGTGATAAGTAAGGTGAAGTTTCATTTAGGACCCTTAGATTTTAATTTTTAAAAAAACATGTATTTTATTATGAAACTCAGTCTTTAGCAGATAGTTTTATTTTTTAAATGTCCATATAGCCTTAAAGAAATCGTAATTACAGAATGTAACCACCTGTTTTGAGGGTAATGACTTCTAACAGATAATTAGAATAGTTTTCAAATAAATGAATGACTTCCATTTAATAGAGATAAAGGTTGCAACTAGGCAGCATAACTTGTGCTGTTGAAATAATAAATGATTAAGTAGCTAATTTAGCACCCAGAATCACTTTCTCTGAACTTGCATTGATGAGAGTAGACAGTGCTTGACACACTGATGATTGTGTAGGAATTGGTTGGGTGGGGTCCAGGAGCAGAAGTCTGTAAAGCAGCCTTTCAAATGTAAGCGCAGCTTCCCACTTGATCTCAGTAGTCAGATGTATTCTCTTACTTTCTGTTTTCTTCTGTTCTCTATTTTCACCTCAAATCAAATTCTGCATGCTTTCTGCAAATGAAAGTTCATTGTGCACCCTTTATTCTCCACCAAAAACATGAAGATAAAATACAAATACTTTGTATATTTTGAAGGAATGGAGAAATAGCTTCATATAATTAATCAGTGTTCCCACCCCAAAATTAAAAGAGCACTTATTGGAATGAACTCTTAATCAATGATTATAAAATCGGGCTGAGTAATCTTTCATACAGCTGTAAAACATACATACTTTTGGCAGTGTCTTAACTAAAAAAGCCACAGGTACTTTCCTAGAATAACCTTGATAGTTTTACATGTGCACGTATTTAAATAAGTCTGGAATTTTAATTTTTTCTGCAAGCACTGCTTTCAAAGTAAAACACTGTGTTAGTAATAGTGAGGTTATAAGTATACCAGCTATAAAAGGTCCTTTTGTATAAATAATATATGAAACATTTTCTCATACTTCAGTTAAAATTCTGTGTCTAATTTTGACTTTTCACATATTATATGGTGAGTTGAAATACATTTGTAGTCTTTGTAAACTATTTCAGTCCAAAGAGAATTATAATGAAATAATTTATTTATGATAGTCTAATGTAACAGAAATGAGAAATTATACAAGGAGAAAAACTATAGCAGGAAGGAGAACCAAGTAGGTTTGCTCATTAAATGAAACTTAAATCCTTTATATTCTTTATAATGATTCATTAAGACCAAATAAGATACTACAAAGAGCAAATGGAAAATTTTAAATTACAAGATTATATTCCAGTTATCTCTTATTTTAGAACCCATCATCATCTTGTGTTTTTCCCCCTAGCTAAGTAAATTTCTGAACCGTATTTTCTTTTCTTACTATAATCATATATTTTTGGGATGAGTTACATACTCAGCCCTCTGTACCCTTGGGCATCTGCTGATTTAGCCAACCTTGGATCAAAAACATTTAGAAAAGTATTAATATGACAATAAAAAATAAGATAAATTTTGGAAATACAGTATAACAATTATTTACATACAACATTTATGTTGTATTAGGTGTTATAAGTAATCTGTAGATGATTTAAAGTATATGGGAGGAGGTGTGGAAGTTATAAGCATATACTATGGTCACTTTGTAAAAGAAACATGAACATCCGTGGATTTTGGTATGGAGGGCATGGGGATTTGAAACCAGTTCCCCCGAGGATACCTAGGGACTACATAATGCAATCACGTGTTGCTCAAGGATGGGGATGCATTCTGAGAAATGTGTCATTAGATTTTGTCATTGTGGAAACATCACAGAGTATACTTACACAAACCTACTGCATACCTAAGCTATATAGTATAGCCTAATACTCCTAGGCTACAAACCTGTATAGCTTGCTACTGTACTGAAAGCCGTAGCCAATTATAGCACAATGGTAAGTATTCGTGTATCTAAATGTAGAAAAGCTACAGTAAGAATACAATATAAGGTTAAAAAAAAAATGGTACACCTTTATAGAGCACTTACCATGAATGGTGCTTGCAGAATTGGAAGTTGTTTGTGGTGAGTTAATGAGTGGTGAGTGAATATGAAGACCTAGGTCATTACTGTATACTTAGGCTATACTAAATTTATTTGTTAATAGTTCTTTGTTTAGTAATAAATTAACCTTAGCTTAATGTAATTTTTTTACTTCATTAACTTTAAAACTTAAGCTTTTTGACTCTTTTGTAATAACACTTAGCTTGGCTGGGTGCGGTGGCTTACATCTATAATCCCAGCACTTTGGGAGGTCAAGGTGAGTGGATCACTTGAGCTCAGGAGTTCAAGATCAGCCAAGTCACATGGTGAAACCCCCAGCTCCACAAAAACTTAGTGGAGCATGGTGGTGCACACCTGTAGTCCCAGCTGCCTGGAAGGCTGAGGTGGGAAATTCACCTGAGCCCAGGAAGTCGAGGCTGCAGTGAGCCATTATTGCACCACTGTTCTCCAACCTATGGCTTAGGCTGAAGTACAGTGGCTATTCATAGGCACAGTGTTAACACACTGCAGCTTCAAACTCTTGGGCTCAAGCAGTCCTCCTGCCTCAACCTCCCAAGTTGCTGGGATACAAGCACACACCACTGTGCCCAGCTTCCTGAGGTTGTATTACAGTTTTTTTTTTAATTAATAGAAGGAGTACACTCTAAAATAATGATTAAAAAGTACAGTAAATACATAAGCCAGTAACACAGTTGTTTATCATATATTGTATACAGTATGTAATTGTATGTGCTATACTTTTATTTTATTGTCAATGCAGTAGGTTTGTGTACACCAGAATGACCAAAAACTTAGAATAATGTGTACAAAGTTACTAATAGGCACAAAGTCTCTAGGTGATAGGAACTTGTCAGCTCTATTATAATCTTATGGCACTGCCATCATATATCATCATGAAATGTCATTATCTGGCATGTGACTGTATATAAGTGCATTATAATAAATGTCTATGTGTGTTATATTTCTAAATTCTCTCTAGCCATAAAACAGTTACTATTTTGAAGCTCACATTTTGAGTAATTGGACAATTTGAATCTCACATTGTCTAGAAAGATTGATTTGATTGTTAAGATGGTATGATAAGCATACTCTCTGGTTTATGGAGTACATTAATGAGAAAAAAGTAAGAAAGGGAAGATTAACTCACATAATTAGTGAATGTGAACATAACCATCTTAAGTACTTAGAGTTTATTCTTCTATTTCGGTTACTTTCCTCCCTTTAATAGAAATGGAATTTCTACTTACTACACCATACATATTTGTAGATTATTCATTGGTTTAGTTATTTTCTATCAAAACTGTCAAATAGAACTGCAGTATTAGTTCTAGCTACATTTGGCTGTTGAGCACTTGAAATGTAGCTGGTTCTACTGAGAAAGTAAGTTTTAGTTTAATTTTATATAACTTAAATAACCACATGTGGCTAGTGACTACTGTACTGGACAGCACTATTCTAATTTTATAAAGTACAGGTTTTGAATTACTGCCACCACATTATTTTGTTTTTCACACCAACAAAAACTTTGAGATATCAACTAAAACTGAGATAAACTAAAATCTGTTTTAATTAGAAAGCATGTTTAAAGGGGAATATTAAGAAAGATTAAAGTTCTCTTTTCACTGTTCCTCACAATTAAAAATTAGCCTTAAAAATGTACTTTAATCTGTCCTCAGGCTCCTACCACCACTGAGGAAATGTTAATATAGACAATTTTATTTCTATAAATGGTGATATTTTTGATATCACCTTGTCATTTAGCATTGATTTTCTATGAAGAGTCAAGTATTAATTCATCTTGTTGGCTTAAAGTATTTGTATGGTTTTTGTTACCGACATTTGACATTTAGCTGCATAAAAAATAAGATGTGTTTGTTTTCTTCTTAATGGCTGTGGAGATAGCATCATTTGGCTTAACAACTGAAATAAGAGAGACAGATTCCCTTTATACTGAAAAGGCCAGAAGGTCATTTAAGTAATCAAATTTGGCATCACCATTGGAACAAACATGTGCCTCTTCTTTTGATGTGATAGAAAGGACCATCACCTTTATAGTATTTGTGCCAAAAACATTTAATTTGAACATAATAAGAAAACATTTAGACAAATTCAGATGTGTGGAACAATGTGCAAAACAGCTGTCCTGAATGCTTCAAATATAACAATATTATGAATTGTTTTATATAATAGGCCAGAGACATGGCAACTAAATACAATGAGTGACCCACTAGTAAAAACTTAATAAATATTCAGGCCCTTTTTTAAACAGTTGGGAGATATCTGAATATAGGATGCATTGTATATTATATCAATATTAATTTTCTTGAGTGTGATATAATGATATTGTGTACATAGGAAAGGTTTTGTTTGTAGAAGGTAGAGGCTGAAGTTTTTAAAAGTCAAATATCCTGATGTTTGAAACTTAAAGTGGTTCAGCGGTACAGGGGGCAGAGAGAGAGAGAGACAAGAGGCGGTGTGTGTTTGGGGTGTGGGTAAAGCAAATATGGTGAAACATTTACAGTTGGTGAGTCTAGAACAAGTGGTACAAGGTTATTCATTGTGCTGTTCTTTCAGCTTCTTTGCAGACTGGATATTTTTTTCAAAGCTAAAAGGGAAAAAGGAAAAACAGTAATTGACTGTACCCTAATTCCTCATTATTAAGCATACTTTTTCAGTTATGGCAATGCTTCAGAAATATAAAGACATACCCTCCTTTATAAAGGAAAGAAAATTATTGCGGACCCCCCCCCCCCAAGTAACCTAAACTTATAACTTAACATCATAATGTTATTACAATATATATAAAAATGTAAAGGTGTAGACCATCTTCATATGCCCCTGTCTCCTAAGTAACTATAACTCAGAACAAATTCTAATTATTAATAAATGCAATATATAAAATCAAAATTCAAAATAACAATATGATGGCATAATAATAACAATAATCGGATTAACTGGTATAATTTTGCTGAAAATAAGTCACCACTCAACATACCAAACTGGTTATGAGTACTCCAATACAGTTTCTTTTGAAGTTGTCACATCTATAGAAACATCTGTCATTTGATAACTCACTGTAAAAACCTTCGTGCAGTACGCAATTTTTAGCTACTGTAAAACTTTTGTACAGTACACAAGGACATAATTTAACCTTTACTTATATGCCTTTCACATATTACACCCCTTTTGTATTAACATGAGAATACGTTAGTATATTATTATATGGTACTATGTTATTTTTATAATACCAAATTATTCTCATCTTATGAAATAACTTGAGAAATTATGTATTAAAATGTTTTTGAATTGTGAAATATTAGAATATTGTTACTATTTGACCCAACTCAAAATCTCCATGGGAAAATACCTGTCGATACCCACAGTATTGTTGAAAATAATCAGATGCAGTATCACAGCTGTGTCAGACTCTAGTACCAGTTGGGCAATCAAGGCACAGCTAAAAATTGAAAACAAAGATCTGGACAACAAAACAGCCAAAGGTGGGGGTCAAGAAGCTCTGACGTGTACCTAGCTGTAGAATGCTATGCACATGTGCCAGGTGTAGTGTGCATATCCAGGAAAAACTGCAGAGAGCCCCAGTCTTCACCTCTGGTTGACCATGAGCTCTGTGTAAGCAGGAAGTGAAGGCTAAGGCAGATTTAAGCTCTGAAAGCATTCCACAACATACACACAAATCGTGCAAAGCATTAAGGAAATCTTGTTACTGCTAAGTGTTGCTGACCCAGGAACAACTCCTACTCAGCTGGACTTAAAAATAAAAACAAAAATAAATAAAAAACTCATTAAAGATGTCAGTGGCTCCATGCAGTAGGAATTACAGGCTGAACAGATTTAGTCCCAGGGAAGTCATTAAACCACAAACAGCAACACCGCCAATAGCAAAAAGCTGAGCTGGAAGAAAACCAGGAGGAAGAACCGAGTCCACAGTTGCCACATAGTATTTTCCAAAGTGTCTGCTTTTCAGTAAAAAAAGGTATACACAAACAAGAAAAATTCTTAGTAGAAATTATCCTAGCTATAGGGCTTATATATTTGTAATTAGTTATTACAAATATATTCAAAAAAGGTAATTAAACCACAAAGAGTTAAAGGAAAATATGACAAATATACTTTATCAAATAGAGAATATTAACAAAAAGAAATAAAAACAAATAATTCTGTTGTTGAAAGTATCATAACTAAACATGAAAAATTCATTAGAGAGGTTCATGAGAAAATTTGACCTGTCAAAAGAAAGAATCAGGAGGAGCAAAGATGGCCGAATAGGAACAGCTCCGGTCTACAGCTCCCAGCATGAGCAACGCAGAAGATGGGTGATTTCTGCATTTCCATCTGAGGTACCGGGTTCATCTCACTAGGAAGTGCCAGACAGTGGGTGCAGATCAGTGGGTGCGTGCACCGTGCGCGAGCTGATGCAGGGCGAGGCATTGCCTCACTTGGGAAGCGCAAGGGGTCAGGGAGTTCCCTTTCCGAGTCAAAGAAAGGGGTGACGGACGCACCTGGAAAATCGGGTCACTCCCACCCAAATACTGCGCTTTTCCGACCGGCTTAAAAAACGGCGCACCACGAGATTATATCCCGCACCTGGCTCCGAGGGTCCTACGCCCACGGAGTCTCCCTGATTGCTAGCAGAGCAGTCTGAGATCAAACTGCAAGGCGGCAGCGAGGCTGGGGGAGGGGCGCCCGCCATTACCCAGGCTTGCTTAGGTAAACAAAGCAGCCAGGAAGCTGGAACTGGGTGGAGCCCACCACAGCTGAAGGAGGCCTGCCTGCCTCTGTAGGCTCCACCTCTGGGGACAGGGCACACACAAACAAAAAGACAGCAGTAACCTCTGCAGACTTAAATGTCCCTGTCTGACAGCTTTGAAGAGAGCAGTGGTTCTCCCAGCACGCAGCTGGAGATCTGAGAACAGGCAGACTGCCTCCTCAAGTGGGTCCCTGACCCCTGACCCCTGAGCAGCCTAACTGGGAGACACCCCCCAGCAGGGGCACACTGACATCTCACACGGCAGGGTATTCCAACAGACCTGCAGCTGAGGGTCCTGTCTGTTAGAAGGAAAACTACCAAACAGAAAGGACATCCACACCAAAAACCCATCTGTACATCACCATCATCAAAGACCAAAAGTAGATAAAACCACAAAGATGGGAAAAAAACAGAACAGAAAAACTGGAAACTCTAAAAACCAGAGTGCCTCTCTTCCTCCAAAGGAACGCAGTTCCTCACCAGCAACGGAACAAAGCTGGATGGAGAATGACTTTGACGAGCTGAGAGAAGAAGGCTTCAGACGATCAAATTACTCTGAGCTACGGGAGGACATGCAAACCAAAGGCAAAGAAGTTGAAAACATTGAAAAAAATTTAGAAGAATGTATAACTAGAATAACCAATATAGAGAAGTGCTTAAAGGAGCTGATGGAGCTGAAAACCAAGGCTCGAGAACTACGTGAAGAATGCAGAAGCCTCAGGAGCCGATGCGATCAACTGGAAGAAAGGGTATCAGCGATGGAAGATGAATGAAATGAAGCGAGATGGGAAGTTTAGAGAAAAAAGAATAAAAAGAAATGAGCAAAGCCTCCAAGAAATACGGGACTATGTGAAAAGACCAAATCTACATCTGATTGGTATACCTGAAAGTGATGGGGAGAATGGAACCAAGTTGGAAAACACTCTGCAGGATATTATCCAGTAGAACTTCCCCAATCTAGCAAGGCAGGCCAACGTTCAGATTCAGGAAATACAGAGAACGCCACAAAGATACTCCTCGAGAAGAGCAACTCCAAGACACATAATTGTCAGATTCACCAAAGTTGAAATGAAGGAAAAAATGTTAAGGGCAGCCAGAGAGAAAGGTCGGGTTACCTACAAAGGGAAGACCATCAGACTAACAGCGGATCTCTCGGCAGAAACCCTACAAGCCAGAAGAGAGTGGGTGCCAATATTCAACATTCTTAAAGAAAAGAATTTTCAACCCAGAATTTCATATCAAGCCAAACTAAGCTTCGTAAGCAAAGGAGAAATAAAATACTTTACAGACCAGCAAATGCTGAGGGATTTTGTCACCACCAGGCCTGCCCTAAAAGAGCTCCTGAAGGAAGCACTAAACATGAAAAGGAACAACCCATACCAGCCACTGCAAAATCATGCCAAATTGTAAAGCCCATCGAGGCTAGGAAGAAACTGCATCAACTAACGAGCAAAATAACCAGCTAACATCATAATGACAGGATCAAATTCACACATAACAATATTAACTTTAAATATAAATAGACTAAATGCTCCAATGAAAAGACACAGACTGGCAAATTGGATAAAGAGTCAAGACCCATCAGTGTGCTGTATTCAGGAAACCCATCTCACGTGCAGAGACACACATAGGCTCAAAATAAAAGGATGGAGGAAGATCTACCAAGCAAATGGAAAACAAAAAAAGGCAGGGGTTGCAATCCTAGTCTCTGATAAAACAGACTTTAAACCAACAAAGATCAAAACAGACAAAGAAGGCCATTACATAATGGTAAAGGGATCAAT
The DNA here is from genome assembly GCF_000001405.40 of Homo sapiens. Classification (NCBI taxonomy): domain Eukaryota; kingdom Metazoa; phylum Chordata; class Mammalia; order Primates; family Hominidae; genus Homo; species Homo sapiens. The sequence goes on along the minus strand of NC_000001.11, from coordinate 176,006,078 downwards.
TCAGCAGGAAGAGCTAACTATCCTAAATATATATGCACCCAATACAAGGGCACCCAGACTCATAAAGCAAGTCCTGAGTGACCTACAAAGAGACTTAGACTCCCACACATTAATAATGGGAGATTTAACACCCCACTGTCAACATTAGACAGATCAACGAGACAGAAAGTCAACAAGGATACCCAGGAATTGAACTCAGCTCTGCACCAAGCGGACCTAATAGACATCTACAGAACTCTCCACCCCAAATCAACAGAATATGCATGTTTTTCAGCACCACACCACACCTATTCCAAAATTGACCACATAGTTGGAAGTAAAGCTCTCAGCAAATGTAAAAGAACAGAGATTATAACAAACTATCTCTCATACCACAGTGCAATCAAACTAGAACTCAGGATTAAGAATCTCACTCAAAACCGCTCAACTTCATGGAAACTGAACAACCTGCTCCTGAATGACTACTGGGTACATAACGAAATGAAGGCAGAAATAAAGATGTTCTTTGAAAACAACAAGAACAAAGACACAACATACCAGAATCTCTGGGACACATTCAAAGCAGTGTGTAGAGGGAAATTTATAGCACTAAATGCCCACAAGAGAAAGCAGGAAAGATCCAAAATTGACACCCTAACATCACAATTAAAAGAACTAGAAAAGCAAGACCAAACACATTCAAAAGCTAGCAGAAGGCAAAAAATAACTAAAATCAGAGCAGAACTGAAGGAAATAGAGACACAAAAAACCCTACAAAAATTAAGGAATCCAGGAGCTGGTTTTTTGAAAGGATCAACAAAATTGATAGACCACTAGCAAGACTAATAAAGAAGAAAAGAGAGAAGAATCAAATAGATGCAATAAAAAATGATAAACGGGATATCACCACCGATCCCACAGAAATACAAACTACCATCAGAGAATACTACAAACACCTCTACACAAATAAACTAGAAAATCTAGAAATAAAGGATAAATTCCTCGACACATACACCCTCCCAAGACTAAACCAGGAAGAAATTGAATCTCTGAGTAGACCAATAACAGGCTCTGAAATTGTGGCAAGAATCAATAGCTTACCAACCAAAAAGAGTCCAGGACCAGATGGATTCACAGCTGAATTCTACCAGAGGTACAAGGAGGAACTGGTACCATTCCTTCTGAAACTATTCCAATCAATAGAAAAAGAGGGAATCCTCCCTAACTCATTTTATGAGGCCAGCATCATGCTGACACCAAAGCCGGGCAGAGACACAACCAAAAAAGAGAATTTTAGACCAATATCCTTGATGAACATTGATGCAAAAATCCTCAATAAAATACTGGCAAAACGAATCCCGCAGCACATCAAAAAGCTTATCCACCATGATCAAGTGGGCTTCATCCCTGGGATGCAAGGCTGGTTCAATACACACAAATCAATAAATGTAATCCAGCATATAAACAGAGCCAAAGACAAAAACCACATGATTATCTCAATAGATGCAGAAAAAGCCTTCAACAAAATGCAACAACCCTTCATGCTAAAAACTCTCAATAAATTAGGTATTGATGGGACGTATTTCAAAATAATAAGAACTATCTATGACAAACCCACAGCCATTATCATACTGAATGGGCAAAAACTGGAAGCATTCCCTTTGAAAACTGGCACAAGACAGGGATGCCCTCTCTCACCATTCCTCTTCAACATAGTGTTGGAAGTTCTGGCCAGGGCAATTAGGCAGGAGAAGGAAATAAAGGGTATTCAATTAGGAAAAGAGGAAGTCAAATTGTCCCTGTTTGCAGATGACATGATTGTATATCTAGAAAACCCCATCGTCTCAGCCCAAAATCTCCTTAAGCTGATAAGCAACTTCAGCAAAGTCTCAGGATACAAAATCAATGTACAAAAATCACAAGCATTCTTACACACCAACAACAGACAAACAGAGAGCCGAATCATGAGTGAACTCCCATTCACAATTGCTTCAAAGAGAATAAAATACCTAGGAATCCAACTTACAAGGGATGTGAAGGACCTCTTCAAGGAGAACTACAAACCACTGCTCAAGGAAATAAAAGAGGATACAAACAAATGGAAGAACATTCCATGCTCATGGGTTGGAAGAATCAATATCCTGAAAATGGCCATACTGCCCAGGGTAATTTACAGATTCAATGCCATCCCCATCAAGCTACCAACGCCTTTCTTCACAGAATTGGAAAAAACTACTTTCAAGTTCATATGGAACCAAAAAAGAGCCCACATCGCCAAGTCAATCCTAAGCCAAAAGAACAAAGCTGGAGGCATCACACTACCTGACTTCAAACTATACTACAAGGCTACAGTAACCAAAACAGCATGGTACTGGTACCAAAACAGAAATATAGATCAATGGAACAGAACAGAGCCCTCAGAAATAACGCCACGTATCTACAACTATCTGATCTCTGACAAACCTGAGAAAAACAAGCAATGGGGAAAGGATTCCCTATTTAATAAATGGTGCTGGGAAAACTGGCTAGCCATATGTAGAAAGCTGAAACTGGATCCCTTCCTTACACCTTATACAAAAATCAATTCAAGATGGATTAAAGACTTACATGTTAGACCTAAAACCATAAAAACCCTAGAAGAAAACCTAGGCAATACCATTCAGGACATAGGCATGGGCAAGGACTTCATGTCTAAAACACCAAAAGCAATGGCAACAAAAGCCAAAATTGACAAATGGGATCTAATTAAACTAAAGAGCTTCTGCACAGCGAAAGAAACTACCATCAGAGTGAACAGGCAACCTACAGAATGGGAGAAAATTTTTGCAACCTACTCATCTGACAAAGGGCTAATATCCAGAATCTAGAATGAACTCAAACAAATTTACAAGAAAACAACCCCATCAAAAAGTGGGCAAAGGACATGAACAGACACTTCTCAAAAGAAGACATTTATGCAGCCAAAAAACACATGAAAAAATGCTCATCATCACTGGCCATCAGAAAAATGCAAATCAAAACCACAATGAGATACCATCTCACACCAGTTAGAATGGCAATCATTAAAAACTCAGGAAACAACAGGTGCTGGAGAGGATGTGGAGAAATAGGAACACTTTTACACTGTTGGTGGGACTGTAAACTAGTTCAACCATTGTGGAAGTCAGTGTGGCGATTCCTCAGGGATCTAGAACTAGAAATACCATTTGACCCAGCCATCCCATTACTGAGTATATACCCAAAGGACTATAAATCATGCTGCTATAAAGACACATGCACACGTATGTTTATTGTGGCATTATTCACAATAGCAAAGACTTGGAACCAACCCAAATGTCCAACAATGATAGACTGGATTAAGAAAATGTGGCACATATACACCATGGAATACTATGCAGCCATAAAAAATGATGAGTTCATGTCCTTTGTAGGGACATAGATGAAATTGGAAATCATCATTCTCAGTAAACTATCACAAGAACAAAAAACCAAACACTGCATATTCTCACTCATAGGTGGGAATTGAACAATGAGATCACATGGACACAGGAAGGGGAATATCACGCTCTGGGGACTGTTGTGGGGTGGGGGGGAAGGGGAAGGGATAGCATTGGGAGATATACCTAATGCTAGGTGACGAGTTAGTGGGTGCAGTACACCAGCATGGCACATGTATACATATGTAACTAACCTGCACTATGTGCACATGTACCCTAAAACTTAAAGTATAATAAAAATAAATAAATAAATAAAAACTAAAAAAGAAAGAATCAGTAAACTTGGAGATAGGTCAGTTGTGATTATCCATTGTAAAGAATACAAAGAAAAAAGAATAAAAGAAAAAATGAACTTCACAAACCTGGAGACACCATCAAGCATGCCAACATTTGTAGATTTCCAAAAGATGAGGAGAGAGAAAGAGGTAGAAAATATTTGTAGAAATGATGGCCAGTATTTTTGCAAATTGGATGGAAAACATCAATCCACACATCCAAAAAGCTCAATAAACCCCAAGTAGATAAGATGTACACCTAAACTCATCATATTGAAACTCTTGAAAGGCGGGAAGAGAATCTTGGAAATGGCAATCAAAAAGTTGCTCAGCAAGTACCAGGGATCCTCATTAAGATTAATGTTAATATTTCTGATGACTTCTCGTCAGAAATCATTACTGCCAGCAGGCAGTAGGATATGTTTAAAGTATTGAAAGGAAAAGATTGTCAATAAAGAATTTTATATTCAGCAAAACTATTCATCAAAAATGAAGGGGGAATTAAGATATTCCCAGATAAACCGAGTGAGTTCTTTGTCAGGAGACCTACCCCATAAGAAATACCAGAGAGAGTTCTGCAGGCCGAAATAAAGGGATACTAGACTGTAATGTAAGTCCACAAAGTAGTAAAGAGAACTGGTTAAGATAATCATATCGGTATATAAAAAGATAGTTTAGATGAATTTTTTTGTAAAGAATTTTTATTCTGATTTTACCCTTTACTCATTTGCCCTGAGAATACTTGCTGGTGGCACTTGCGGCTGCAGTTGTTTACCCTGAGATAACTTTGCCACGAAATATCTCGCTTTTATTATTATTTTTACATCACTGTAGTATATCAACTTTGGAAACAAAAGACATCATTCTGTCCATAGCATTCTGTTTTTAGTAGTGGTATTTCCATTTACACAAACAAAAATCGAGAAAATTTGACAGAGAATTACTATACTCAATCGCTGAAAATGTCAGATCCTTAGAAAACATAGCATTCTTATGCATGATGTTAACATCGTACTCAAATACTTGATGCCTAGAGGTTCATTCGATGAATCCAGGTTTTTTGAAATAGATGTTTCTGATGATTCAGACAATTCTGATGTTAATTCTCTTTAGAAATAACTCCCAAGAAGAGTTTTATATTTTATTTTCACAGTAAAAATCAGTCAGATTTGCAGTAGCCTTGAAGAGAGTGTTCATGTAAAATTAAATGCGCTTTGGTAGTGAGCTGCACTTCCTTTTTTCTAAACTGGAAAGGGTTTGAAAGACAATTGACTAAAATAGTAATTCTAAAATTGTTGATGAACATGTAACATAGAAAGATGTAATATGTATGGCCATAATGTTTCAAAGGTTGGGGAGGAAAGGAGATGGAGCTATATTGCAGCAGAATTTTGACATAGTATTGAAATTAAATTAGTGATCATCTGAACTAGGTTATTTTAATTTAACATGCCAATTATAATCCCCAGAAAAAACACTCTGAAAAATAACTTTTAAAATATACTCAAACTAAAATGATACACTAGAAAATATCTGTATAACACAAAGTAAGGTAATAATGGAGGCATAAAAGAGCAAATGACATAACAAAAAAAAAAGCAACATTGCATGTAAAAATTCTACCATATACAGGTTGAGAACCCTTTTTCCAAAATGCTGAGAACCAGATGTGTTTTGGATTTCATTTTTTTAAAAATATTTACATTGTAGAGTCATGCAGTGTATAATGACATTTCAATCAGTGAGAGACCACATATATGACAGTGGTCCCATAAGATTAAAATGGAGGTAAAAAATTTTAAACTTCTAATGTTGTCATAGCCATTATAACTTCATAGTGCAGACATTACTCACATGTTTACAGTGATACTAGTGTAAACAATTCTATGCTCCCAGTTAAATAAAAGTATAGCACACCTACAGTGAACTCATTTTTGACAAACTTGCCAAGAACATACACTGGAGAAAAGACAGTCTTTTCAATAAATGCCAGTGGGAAAACTGGATATCCGTTTGCAGAAGAATGGAACTAGACCTCTGTCTGTCACCATATATGAAAATCAAGTCACAATGGATTAAAGACTTTAAGACTTCAAACTACAAAACTACTACAAGAAAACACTGGGGGAAATCTCCAGTACTTTGGTCTAAGCAAAAATTTCTTTAGTAATATCCCACAAGCAGCCAAAGCAAAAATGGACAAATGGGATCATATCAAGTTAAAAAGCTTCTGCACAGCGAAGGCAACAGTCAACAAAGTGCAGAGACAACCCACAGAATGGGAGAAAATATTTGCAAACTACTCATCTGACAAGTGATTAATAACCAGAATATATAAGGAGCTCAGACAATTTTGTAGGGAAAAAAATCTAATAATCCATTTTAAAATGGGTAAAAGGTTTGAATAGACATTTCTCAAAAGAAGACATATAAATGGCAAACTGGTATATGTAAAAGTGCTCAACATCATTGATCATCAGAAATGCAAATCATGGCTACAATGAGATATTATCTCACCCCAGTTAAAATGACTTATCCAAAAGTTAGGCAGTAAACAAATGCTGGTGAGGATGTGGAGAAAAGGGAACCCTTGTACAGTGGTGGTGGGAATGTAAATTGGTACAACCACTATGAAGATTGGTTTGGAGATTCCTAAAAAATTAAAACTAGAGCTACCATATTACCCAGCAGTCCCACTGCTGGGTATATACCCAACAGAAAGGCAACTTCTATATGAAAGAGCTATCTGCATTCCCATGTTTTTTGCGGCACTGTTCGCAGTAGCCAAGATTTGGAAGCAAACTTTGTATCCATCAACAGATGAATGAATAAGGGAAATGTGGTACATATACAAAATGGAGTACTATTCAGCCATTAAAAAAAAGAATGAGATTCTGTCATTTGCAACAACATGGATGGAACTGGAGATCATTATGTAAAGTGAAATAAGCCTGGCATAGAAAGACAAACGTCACGGATTCTCACTTATTTGTGGGATCTAAAAATGAAAACAATTGAACTCATGGACATAGAGAGTAGAAGGATGGTTACCAGAGTCTGAGAAGGGTACTTGGGCTGTTGGGGGAAGTAGAGGTGGTTAATGGCTACAAAAAATACACAGAATGAGTAAGACCTAGTATTTGGTAGCATAACGAGGTGACTATAGTCAATAATAATTTAATTGTACATTTTTATTTTTAATTTTTTATTTGCTATTAGATGCTACATTTACTTTCTCATACCATCATGGGTTGAAAACTGTCCACAATGCTCAGTTAAGTCGCTGATGTGTTTTAAAATGGAAAGACATAAAACAAAATAGAGAGTCATAGAAACCCATCAGTTGTGCTCTGCTTTGCAAGTACTGGAGCATATCTTTATCATTAACATGAGTGGAATTGAGTGTGCCATGTAATCTGATAAATCAGTACCACTCAATGAAGTTCCATTCCATTATTGCTTAACAGGCACTGAAATGAACACAAAATATTTCCAAATGATTACCTAGGCTTTACCTTATCCTACCTAGGATTACCTTATGTTTTTTGAATACACCAAAAATGTGTATGAGGGAAGAGAAATGAGTTCCTTCCAAATTTTAATTAACTTACACCAGAAAGGTAAAATCATCTCTGGACTATTGTACATTATGAACTATCTGTGAGTATCCTAAATGGATGTAATAACCCTGGTACTAGATGAAAGATTTCATAATTTGCAGAAGTCCTGAAATGCTATATACAGATTTAGTTTTTAAATATATTTCCATTCACAGAAGATAATTATTTTTTAACATTTTCTGAATGCCTGTTAATCCATGGTTCTATTTTTTTTTCTTTTTTTTCTCTTTTTTTAATTTTATTATTATTATACTTTAAGTTTTAGGGTACATGTGCACAATGTGCAGGTTAGTTACATATGTATACATGTGCCATGCTGGTGTGCTGCATCCATTAATTCGTCATTTAGCATTAGGTATATCTCCTAAAGCTATCCCTCCCCTCTCCCCCCACCCCACAACAGTCCCCAGAGTGTGATGTTCCCCTTCCTGTGTCCATGTGTTCTCATTGTTCAATTCCCACCTATGAGTGAGAATATGTGGTGTTTGGTTTTTTGTTCTTGTGATAGTTTACTGAGAATGATGATTTCCAATTTCATCCATGTCCCTACAAAGGACATGAACTCATCATTTTTTATGGCTGCATAGTATTCCATGGTGTATATGTGCCACATTTTCTTTTTTTTTTTTTTTTTTTTTTTTTTTAATTATACTCTAAGTTTTAGGGTACATGTGCACATTGTGCAGGTTAGTTACATATGGACTTTTGGGTTGGCTCCAAGTCTTTGCTATTGTAAGTAGTGCCGCAATAAACATAATGTGTGCATGTGTCTTTATAGCAGCATTATTTATAGTCCTTTGGGTATATACCCAGTAATGGGATGGCTGGGTCAAATGGTATTTCTAGTTCTAGATCCCTGAGGAATTGCCACGCTGACTTTCACAATGGTTGAACTAGTTTACAGTCCCACCAACAGTGTAAAAGTGTTCCTATTTCTCCACATCCTCTCCAGCACCTGTTGTTTCCTGAGTTTTTAATGATTGCCATTCTAACTGGTGTGAGATGGTATCTCATTGTGGTTTTGATTTACATTTCTCTGATAGCCAGTGATGATGAGCATTTTTTCATGTGTTTTTTGGCTGCATAAATGTCTTCTTTTGAGAAGTGTCTGTTCATTCCCTTCGCCCACTTTTTCATGGGGTTGTTTGTTTTTTTCTTGTAAATTTGTTTGAGTTCATTGTAGATTCTGGATATTAGCCCTTTGTCAGATGAGTAGGTTGTGAAAATTTTCTCCCATTTTGTAGGTTGCCTATTCACTCTGATGGTAGTTTCTTTTGCTGTGCAGAAGCTCTTTAGTTTAATTAGATCCCATTTGTCAATTTTGGCTTTTGTTGCCATTGCTTTTGGTGTTTTAGACATGAAGTCCTTGCCCATGCCTATGTCCTGAATGGTATTGCCTAGGTTTTCTTCTAGGGTTTTTTGGTTTTAGGTCTAACATTTAAGTCTTTAATCCATCTTGAATTGATTTTTGTATAAGGTGTAAGGAAGGGATCCAGTTTCAGCTTTCTACATATGGCTAGCCAGTTTTCCCAGCACCATTTATTAAATAGGGAATCCTTTCCCCATTGCTTGTTTTTGTCAGGTTTGTCAAAGATCAGATAGTTGTAGGTACGCGGCATTATTTCTGAGGACTGTGTTCTGTTCCATTGATCTATATCTCTGTTTTGGTACCAGTACCATGCTGTTTTGGTTACTGTAGCCTTGTAGTATAGTTTGAAGTCAGGTAGTGTGATGCCTCCAGCTTTGTTCTTTTGGCTTAGGATTGACTTGGCGATGTGGGCTCTTTTTTGGTTCCATATGAACTTGAAAGTAGTTTTTTCCAATTCTGTGAAGAAAGTCATTGGTAGCTTGATGGGGATGGCATTGAATCTATAAATTACCTTGGGCAGTATGGCCATTTTCAGGATATTGATTCTTCCTACCCATGAGCATGGAATGTTCTTCCATTTGTTTGTATCCTCTTTTATTTCACTGAGCAGTGGTTTGTAGTTCTCCTTGAAGAGGTCCTTCATGTCCCTTGTAAGTTGGATTCCTAGATATTTTATTCTCTTTGAAGCAGTTGTGAATGGGAGTTCACTCATGATTTGGCTCTCTGTTTGTCTGTTATTGGTGTATAAGAATGCTTGTGATTTTTGTACATTGATTTTGTATCCTGAGACTTTGCTGAAGTTGCTTATCAGCTTAAGGAGATTTTGGGCTGAGACGATGGGGTTTTCTAGATATACAATCATGTCATCTGCAAACAGGGACAATTTGACTTCCTCTTTTCCTAATTGAATACCCTTTATTTCCTTCTCCTGCCTAATTGCCCTGGCCAGAACTTCCAACACTATGTTGAAGAGGAGTGGTGAGAGAGGGCATCCCTGTCTTGTGCCAGTTTTCAAAGGGAATGCTTCCAGTTTTTGCCCATTCAGTATGATATTGGCTGCGGGTTGGTCATAGATAGCTCTTATTATTTTGAGATATATCCCATCAAAACCTAATTTATTGAGAGTTTTTAGCACAAAGGGTTGTTGAATTTTGTCAAAGGCCTTTTCTGCATCTATTGAGGTAACCATGTGGATTTTGTCTTTGGTTCTGTTTATATGCTGGATTACATTTATTGATTTGCCTGTTTTGAACCAGCCTTGCATCCCAGGGATGAAGCCCACTTGATCATGGTGGATAAGCTTTTTGATGTGCTGCTGGATTCGTTTTGCCAGTATTTTATTGAGGATTTTTGCATCAATGTTCATCAAGGATATTGGTCTAAAATTCTCTTTTTTGGTTGTGTCTCTGCCAGGCTTTGGTATCAGGATGATGCTGGCCTCATAAAATGAGTTAGGGAGGATTCTCTCTTTTTCTGTTGATTGGAATAGTTTCAGAAGGAATGATACCAGTTCCTCCTTGTACCTCTGGTAGAATTCGGCTGTGAATCCATCTGGTCCTGGACTCTTTTTGGTTGGTAAGCTATTGATTCTTGCCACAATTTCAGAGCCTGTTATTGGTCTATTCAGAGATTCAATTTCTTCCTGGTTTAGTCTTGGGAGGGTGTATGTGTCGAGGAATTTATCCATTTGTTCTAGATTTTCAAGTTTATTTGTGTAGAGGTGTTTGTAGTATTCTCTGATGGTAGTTTGTATTTCTGTGGGATCGGTGGTGATATCCCGTTTATCATTTTTTATTGCATCTATTTGATTCTTCTCTCTTTTCTTCTTTATTAGTCTTGCTAGTGGTCTATCAATTTTGTTGATCCTTTCAAAAAACCAGCTCCTGGATTCATTAATTTTTTTGAAGGGTTTTTTGTGTCTGTATTTCCTTCAGTTCTGCTCTGATTTTAATTATTTTTTGCCTTCTGCTAGCTTTTGAATGTGTTTGGTCTTGCTTTTCTAGTTCTTTTAATTGTGATGTTAGGGTGTCAATTTTGGATCTTTCCTGCTTTGTCTTGTGAGCATTTAGTGCTATAAATTTCCCTCTACAGACTGCTTTGAATGTGTCCCAGAGATTCTGGTATGTTGTGTCTTTGTTCTTGTTGTTTTCAAAGAACATCTTTATTTCTGCCTTCATTTCGTTATGTACCCGGTAGTCATTCAGGAGCAAGTTGTTCACTTTCCATGTAGTTGAGCGGTTTTTAGTGAGTTTCTTAATCCTGAGTTCTAGTTTGATTGCGCTGTGGTCTGAGAGACAGTTTGTTATAATTTCTGATCTTTTGCATTTGCTGAGGAGAGCTTTACTTCCAACTATGTGGTCAATTTTGGAATAGGTGTTGTGTGGTGCTGAAAAAAATGTATATTCTATTGATTTGGGGTGGAGAGTTCTGTAGATGTCCATTAAGTCTGCTTGGTGCAGAGCTGAGTTCAATTCCTGGATATCCTTGTTGACTTTCTGTCTCATTGATCTGTCTAATGTTGACAGTGGCGTGTTAAAGTCTCCCATTATTATTGTGTGGGAGTCTAAGTCTCTTTGTAGGTCACTCAGGACTTGCTTTATGAATCTGGGTGCTCCTGTATTGGGTGCATATATATTTAGCATAGTTAGCTCTTCTTGTTGAATTGATTTCTTTACCATTATGTAATGGCCTTCTTTGTCTGTTTTGATCTTTGTTGGTTTAAAGTCTGTTTTATCAGAGACTAGGATTGCAACCCCTGCCTTTTTTTGTTTTCCATTTGCTTGGTAGATCTTCCTCCATCCTTTTATTTTGAGCCTATGTGTGTCTCTGCACGTGAGACGGGTTTCCTGAATACAGCACACTGATGGGTCTTGACTCTTTATCCAGTTTGCCAGTCTGTGTCTTTTCATTGGAGCATTTAGTCCATTTACCTTTAAAGTTAATATTGTTATGTGTGAATTTGATCCTGTCATTATGATGTTAACTGGTTATTTTGCTCGTTAGTTGATGCAGTTTCTTCCTAGCCTCGATGGGCTTTACAATTTGGCATGATTTTGCAGTGGCTGGTATGGGTTGTTCCTTTCCATGTTTAGTGCTTCCTTCAGGAGCTCTTTTAGGGCAGGCCTGGTGGTGACAGATTCTCTCAGCATTTGTTTGTCTGTAAAGTATTTTATTTCTCCTTCACTTATGAAGCTTAGTTTGGCTGGATATGAAATTCTGGGTTGAAAATTCTTTTCTTTAGGAATGTTGAATATTGGCCCCCACTCTCTTCTGGCTTGTAGAGTTTCTGCCCAGAGATCCCCTCTTAGTCTGATGGGCTTCCCTTTGTGGTTAACCCGACCTTTCTCTCTGGCTGCCCTTAACATTTTTTCCTTCATTTCAACTTTGGTGAATCTGACAATTATGTGTCTTGGAGTTGCTCTTCTCGAGGAGTATCTTTGTGGCGTTCTCTATATTTCCTGAATCTGAAAGTTGGCCTGCCTTGCTAGATTGGGGAAGTTCTCCTGGATAATATCCTGCAGAGTGTTTTCCAACTTGGTTCCATTCTCCCCATCACTTTCAGGTACACCAATCAGACGTAGATTTGGTCTTTTCACATAGTCGCATATTTCTTGGAGGCTTTGCTCATTTCTTTTTATTCTTTTTTCTCTAAACTTCCCTTCTCGCTTCATTTCATTCATTTCATCTTCCATCACTGATACCCTTTCTTCCAGTTCATCTCATCGGCTCCTGAGGGTTCTGCATTCTTCACGTAGTTCTCGAGCCTTGGCTTTCAGCTCCATCAGCTCCTTTAAGCACTTCTCTGTATTGGTTATTCTAGTTATACATTCGTCTAAATTTTTTTCAAAGTTTTCAACTTCTTTGCCTTTGGTTTAAGTTTCCTCCTGTAGCTCAGAGTAGTTTGATCATCTGAAACCTTCTTCTCTCAACTCGTCAAAGCCATTCTCCATCCAGCTTTGTTCCGTTGCTGGTGAGGAGCTGCGTTCCTTTGGAGGAGGAGAGGCACTCTGCTTTTTAGAGTTTCCAGTTTTTCTGCTTTGTTTTTTCCCCATCTTTGTGGTTTTATCTACTTTTGGTCTTTGATGGTGGTGATATACAGATGGGTTTTTGGTGTGGATGTCCTTTCTGTTTGTTAGTTTTCCTTCTAACAGACAGGACCCTCAGCTGCAGGTCTGTTGTAGTTTGCTAGAGGTCCACTCCAGACCCTGTTTGCCTGGGTCCCAGCAGCGGTGGCTGCAGAACAGCGGCTTTTCGTGAACCGCAAGTCCTGTTCTCTGATCGTTCCTCTGGAAGTTTTGTCTCAGAGGAGTACCCGGCGGTGTGAGGTGTCAGTTTGCCCCTACTGGGTGGTGCCTCCTAGTTAGGCTGCTTGGGGGTCAGGGGTCAGGGACCCACTTGAGGAGGCAGTCTGCCCGTTCTCAGATCTCCAGCTGCATGCTGGGAGAACCACTGCTCTCTTCAAAGCTGTCAGACAGGGACATTTAAGTCTGCAGAGGTTACTGCTGTCTTTTTGTCTGTGCCTGCCCCCAGAGGTGGAGCCTACAGAGGCAGGCAGGCCTCCTTGAGCTGTGGTGGGCTCCATCCAGTTCGAGCTTCCCAGCTGCTTTGTTTACCTAAGCAAGCCTGGGCAATGGCAGGTGCCCCTCCCCCAGCCTCGCTGCCGCCTTGCAGTTTGATCTCAGACTGCTGTGCTTGCAGTCAGCGAGACTCCGTGGGCGTAGGACCCTCCGAGCCAGGTGCGGGATATAATCTCCTGGTCCGCCATTTTTTAAGCCTGTCGGTAAAGCGCAGTATTAGGGTGGGAGTGACCCAATTTTCCAGGTGCCGTCTGTCACTCCTTTCTTTGACTAGGAAAGGGAACTCCCTGACCCCTTGCGCTTCCCGAGTGAGGCAATGCCTCACCCTGCTTTGGCTCGCGCACGGTGCGCTGCACCCACTCTCCTGCACCCACTGTCTGGCACTCCCTAGTGAGATGAACCTGGTACCTCAGATGGAAATGCAAAATCACCCGTCTTCTGCGTCGCTCACTCTGGGAGCTGTAGACTGGAGCTGTTCCTATTTGGCCATCTTGCCTCCACCTCCCATTGTACATTTTTAAATAACTGAAAATGTATAATTAGATTGTAACACAAAGGATAAATGCTTGAGGTAGGTGCGCCATTCTCCATGATGTGATTATTATGCATTGCATGCCTGTATCAAAACATCTCATATTCCACATAAGTGTATATACCAACTATAATACTCAAAAAAAATTAAAAATGTTCAAAAAGTCTAGCACATACGATTACGTATACTACACAATACTTGATAAAGATAATAAATAACTATATACTTGTTTATTATTTACTTTTTACCATTATTATAGACTGTACTTCTTACACTTGTTTTTTTAAGTTACTATACAACAGCCTCAGGCAGGCCCTTCAGGAGACATTCCAGAAAAAGGTACTGTTATCAGAGAAGATGACATCTCTATGCATATCATTACCCTTGAAGACTTTTCAGTGAGACAAAACGTGGAGGTGAAAACAGTGATATTGATTATCCTGACCCTGTGTAGACCTAGGCTAACTTTCTGTTTCTTAGTTTTTAACAAAAAAGTTTAAAAAGCTTTTTCCTATTTTAATTTTTTAACTTATAAGGAAATGTAAAAAGGAAATACTTTTGTCCAGCTGTACAATGTATGTGTTTTAAGCTAAGTGTTATTACAAGAGTCAAAAAGCTTTAAAAATTTTTTAAGTTTATAAAGTCAGAAAATCACTGTAAGGTAAGGTTGATTTATTTCTGAAGGGAGAACACTTTTTTACAGTAAATTTAGTGTAGCCTAGGTATACTGTTAACGTCTTAGGCCTTCATGTTCATTTACCACTCACTAACTCACCCAAAACAATTTTCAGTCCTGCAAACTCCATTCATCATAAGTCCCCTGTATGGGTGTGTACCATTTTTTACCTTTTATATCTTATTTTTACTGTAGCTTTTCTATATTTAGATACGTAAATATTTACCATTGTTACAGTTTCCTACAGCATTCAGTACAGTAACATGATACATAGGTTTGTAGCATAGGAGCACAATAGGCTATTCCACATAACCTAAGTGTGTAGTAGTCTATACCATCTAGGTTTGTGAAAGTACACTGTATGCTCACACAGTGATGAAATTGCTGAATGATACATTTCTCAGAATGTATCTCCATTGTTAAGTATGTATTATTGTACTTACTGTTCAGCATCTCAAATCCAAAATCTGAAATGCTCCAATGAAGAAGCATTTGGAGCTTTGATTGAAATGTTGGCACTCCAAAAGCAAGGATTTGGGATTTTTTGATTTCAGATGTGCAACCTATTAATAATTATATTAAATGTAAGTATGTTGAATGTTGTAACATTCAGGGATTGGCAGAATGGGTTTACAAAAAAAAAAAAATTAGAATCCAGCTTTATGCTGTCTACAAGAGATAGACTTTAGATTCACAGACACAAATAGGTTAAAGTAACAGGATGGAAAAAGATATACCATGTAAGTAGTAGTCAAGAAAAATGGTAGAATGGCTATATTTAGGTCGAACAGAATATACTTAGAGTAGAAATCAGTACTAGAAACAAAGACATTTTATAATGGTAAAAGAATCAATAGTGAAAAGATACATCAATTATCAACACACCTCAAAACAAACTTTTTGTAGATATATGAAAAGAAAATCTGTGATATTTAAGGGAAAAACAGATATTTTGACTGAAGTTGTTGAAAAATACTCCACTTTTGATATTTCATAGAAAAACTGGACAGAAAATTGGCAGAGTTTTAGAAGACTTGAATAACATTGTCAATCTGACATAACAGACATCCAAAGACCACTTCAGCCAACAGTAGAAGCATGCACATTCTTCTCAAGCAAGTGTTAGTAACAGTCTCCAGGGGACACCATATTTAAGACTAAAAATAAGTCAATAAATTTAAAATGCTTGAAGACATACAAAACAGTTTTCTGTCAATAAATTTAAAATGATTGAAGACATACAAAACAGTTTTCTGACCAAAATGGAATTAAATTAAAAATCAACAATAGTTACTTTGAGACATCTGCAAGTATTTGGAAATTACATGACACATTACTAAATAACCATTAGTCAAAGAAGAAATAACAAAGGAAATGTAAAAGGATTTTAAACTGAATGAAAATGGAAACACATCATATCACAATTTGTGGTATCAGCCAAAGCAGTGTTGATAGAGAATTGTGTATCCTTAAGTGTCTGTCTTTAAAAAGAATAACAAAGCTAACTGAAGACAAGCAGAAGGAAGGAAATAATAAAGGTTAGAGTAGAAATTAGTGATAGAGACAGACAGGAATAGAGACTGCCTGTGATGGTGGATGCCAAATGAGTGATCTTATCGGAGTGCAGAAATACTCTAAAACTGATTTATGGTAATAGTTGAACTGCTGGTTAAATTTAGTAAAGATCGTTGAATTGCATACAATATTTTTAGTGTGTGTATTTTATTATATGCAAAATATATCTAAATAATGGTTTTTTAAAACAAATATGGGAAATAAGATTATATAGCATTATGTTTATCCAGATGTCCCATAATGTTTATATTAACATTTTTTTCATGACATCATTAAAACAAAGATTGATTTTTAAGTTTCCAGTTATTTTGACCCCTTAATACTCTCTTTCTAGAGCCAATCTTATATTTGAAAAGGATTCCTTTTCCTTTGTTTTCTGGCTGTTAGAGATTAGACATCATATGTGAAACTTTTAATGAAAAAACCAAAAACCAGTTAAAATTAACTTTGCTTTCCATTTCTGCATTTACTACATTTATCTAATTTTGTTTTGTTTTAGATCACTGTGTCCACTACTATGATCTTCGTAACACTAAACAGCCAATCATGGTATTCAAAGGACACCGTAAAGCAGTCTCTTATGCAAAGTTTGTGAGTGGTGAGGAAATTGTCTCTGCGTGAGTATTACTCTCCTCAGAGGTTGAGCTTAATACAGAGCTCTGTACTTACCTACCAGCTTGTAATGTCACTGAGGGTGTATGTAAACTATAATATTGGAGTATATGTACTTTTTCTTAAATAGTAGATTTTTTTTTTAATCTTGTCCAATTAAAGTAGTGTGGTTTCTGGTCTGTATTGTGCACTTTTATATGTGAATTGTGGGTAAAATCCTGAAGATACTAGTTTTTTATATACCCTCCCCCCTTATCTCATCCTCCTATGTTTAATTGCATTTGAACTTCAGATTAGATTTTAGCTATTGCTTCTAAAGAAGAGATAAACAACATAGTTGATGCAATAGAATGAGAAGTATTTTATTTATTAAAGTCAACTCATGTGTTACTGTGTATTTTATCTACTTGCAGTATAGTAGTAGAATTATTTTTGGTTTTAAATATTACTTGGTTGGCTTTTACACTGACATGGTCATTTATCTGTGATTTCATGGTGACTTTAAATATGTTGAAAAGAAAACTTTTTTTTTTTGGCACAGAGTCTCGCTCTGTCACCCAGGCTGGAGTGCAGTGGTGTGATCTCCGCTCACTGCAGCATCTGCCCCCCAGGTTCAAGTGATTCTCCTGCCTCAGCCTCCCAAGTAGCTGGGACTACAGGCACGTGCTACCACGCCCGACTAATTTTTGTATTTTTAGTAGAGACGGTGTTTTGCTATGTTGGCCAGGCTGGTCTCGAACTCCAGACCTCAGGTGGTCCACCTGCCTCGGCCTACCAAATTGCTTGGAATACAAGCGTGAGCCACCACGCCTGGCCGACAGATGAACGTGCTAACTCAGTCTGGCTCCAGAGCCTGCATTCTTAACCAGCAAACTGCATTGCCTCTAATTAGTAGTGATGAGTTTCGTGCCAAGAAATTTTAAGTAAGTTCTTACTCTTTGTACTTTTCCTCAGCTCAACAGACAGTCAGCTAAAACTGTGGAATGTAGGGAAACCATACTGCCTACGTTCCTTCAAGGGTCATATCAATGAAAAAAACTTTGTAGGCCTGGCTTCCAATGGAGATTATATAGCTTGTGGTAAGTGAAACCATCGTTTCCAGGAACTTTTTAACAGGTGTTTGTTATTGAAATTGAACTCAGTGGAAATAGAATAAATACTAAGTCAAGAAATGGTCTGTGCACTCAGAAGATAGTATAATAGACATGATGCCCCAGCACTACTGATTTTCCTTGTGTTGTACTAGAAGAGCATTAGTCCTTCCCTTTTTTATTGTGTAGAAACCCTGAACACCTCAAATACCTGAACACCTGATTTTTAACTGTTTTATAGTTGTTCTCCATTATAACATAATTCTTTAGATATTGTGTAGAAGACAGAAAAGGTTAAGTTCTGTTAGTAATATTTCCAATTTTGGAGACATTATGTGTCTTCTTAAGCTTGATATTCATTTTCCCCTATCTGCTGTTCTCTTCATGAAGTAATCTGTTTGCATAGCATTGATCTGTTATTCTATGGCTTTTATTGTTGATAATTTATACAAATTTAAATAAGAAATAGAAAAATCAAATTTGATATTATTCAAATGCTCTGATACATCTAATGCCTGAATAGATGAGCTTTGATCATACTTTTAAATGACTTGGCCTTTGTTCAGCAAAGTTGACTTTCTCCACATATGTATGAGACTGCCAAAGCAAATATCTGGAACAATTATTCTATCTTTAATAGATGGCTCAAAAATAAAAATACAGTTCATAGACCATTAATAGAATAATTCCTATACTGAGAAATGGAAATAAATTATGTAGGCTATGAAAATCTGCCTGTGTAAGTGTTGCCACTTTCTTTTACCTCTCTAAATGGAAATCTTCCTAAATGTAATTTAAGATTCTTATAATATATTTCTGGTTCTACTATAGACTTATTAGGCTGGTGCAAAAGTAATTAAAAGTAATGACAAAACCCACAATTACTTTTGTACCAACCTCTATAAATGATTTTATAGGGTAATTTTAGCCTTAGAATTATCAGTATTGTTGTATCATTTAACACTGATTGTTTCTTTAGATTAGTAAAGTATAGCTTTTGTCCAAGAATCCTTTTCTTACATGATTTCTAATTAGTCCTGTGATCTAGCCTTTCAAATTTGCCCATAAAAGATCTTTGAACTATAACTTTGGCTGATAATTACTATTAGACTGTGATGTCCTAATTCCGAGTTTTTCTATTCTAAAATACTATTATTATTATTTGTTTTCAGGAAGTGAAAATAACTCTCTCTACCTGTACTATAAAGGACTTTCTAAGACTTTGCTAACTTTTAAGTTTGATACAGTCAAAAGTGTTCTCGACAAAGACCGAAAAGAAGATGATACAAATGAATTTGTTAGTGCTGTGTGCTGGAGGGCACTACCAGATGGGGTAAGTTTTCATATCAGTTTTTTCACCTTGGGATCTCATATTATGCATTATGTATACACAGGGTTTGATTAAATTTTAAAATATAAATTGGTATGTGGTATGTACTTTTTAAAAAACTTTGTAATGTGTCACCAAAGACAATAGGCATTTTAGGTAGTGATTGAAATGCATAGTAATAGAGCAATGTCATGGTGTCATAATGTCCCTCTGTGACCCATAGCATTTAGTGCATATCTCAGTTATAACCATTATCATATTGTCTGTTCATATCTCTTCTATAAGACTGGAAATTCCTCCAAAATATGCATTCTGTCTCATTTTCTTTATTGATTATGTGCAGTATAAGCTTGATAAACATTAAGCTGAGCTGGTATTTTAATAGGGAGGGAGAAAAAGAATTGGTACAGGTAAAGGATAGTGGCCTATATGGTCCTCTAATTAAGTACTATTTCAAAGTAGAATTGCTGTCTACAAAATACATTTATATATGAATATTTAAGCATATTTAGTATATTGATGAGACAGTTATGCTACTGGGTTTTATAAAGTGGAGTTGCCTCAAACTTTTCACTTATGTTTTAAAGTATAAGGTTTTTCATAAGTTATATGAAAAAATAATTCTTAGGCTAGGTTCGGTGGCTCACACCTGTAATCCCAGCACTTTGGGAGGCCGAGGCGGGCAAATCACGAGGTCAGGAGATCAAGACCATCCTGGCTAACACGGTGAAACCCTGTCTCTACTAAAAATACAAAAAATTAGCCAGGCGTGGTGGCGGGTGACTGTAGTCCCAGCTACTCGGGAGGCTGAGTCAGGAGAATGGCATCAACCCGCGAGGCAGAGCTTGCAGTGAGCCAAGATCGCGCCACTGCAGTCCAGCCTGGGCGACAGAGTGAGACTCTGTCTCAGAAAATAATAATTCTTGTTACTATCTTGATTTATATAAACATGAGTTATTAGTATCATATTTTTAAAATAGCTTTTTAGGTGATTAGTTGGGTTTTTGACAAAAAAAATTCTGACTTGATATGTAATTTAAAAATCCAAGTTTCAGGTATAGTTTCACTTTAATTTGATATATTCTATTGCTGTCTTATTTAAAGTTCTGTGGCTCCATTTCCAGTTTTGCTAATTGACAGACTAGGTAATTTGGACCAACCCTTCCTCCAAGTAAAATTAGAAAAAAAGGACCAAATGTATGTATTTTTAAAAAAAGAACCTATTTGAAAGCATTGGAAAGCAAACAAGACAGGAAAGAATTACCAGATTTGGATTGTGACCCTGGCTTTTGAATCTACTTTTCCCCTGTGAGCATTTGTCAGTTCTGGTGGGGTGGGTGAAAGTGCTTATACTAGCTTCACAGGGTTGCAGGGATTGGAGCTCAGTGCCTGACGTTGTATGGGTGATTACTTTGTTTTAAGTCCCCACAGGGGTATATTATAGGGGAAACCAGAAGATAAGTCTTCATAGCGATTGCATCTGAACTTCATATCAATCTCTGAAATTGAATTGAGGTGACCCTTGATTGCTAATATCCACAGGATGCAAACTTAAATCCTCTGAAAAAAGATAAGATCATCTAAGTGCTTTATTTTTTTTAGTTTTGTAACTACAATAACTAGGGCACAATAAAAAATAAACAGACATAGTAAAAGAGAAGACAGCATGAATTAAACCAGCCTAAGCAACAGACTGTAGAAACAGTCACAGCAGCTCTAAATATTGAAATTATCAGACAGCTTGAAAGTAGCTATGCTTACAAGATGAAAGACAAGATTGAAAATTTTAACTGAGAACTGGAAACTATTTTTAGAATGAAAATATCATTCTGCTTCTGGCCCCTCCCAAATTTCATGTCCTCACATTTCAAAACTGATCATGCCTTCCCAGCAGTCTCCCAAAGTCTTAACTCATTTAAGCATTAACTCAGAAGTCCAAAGTCCAACGTTTCATCTGAGATAAGCCAAGTCCCTTCTGCCTATGAGTCTGTAAAATCATCAGCAAATCAGTTAATTCCTAGATATGAAGAGAATATAGGCATTGGGTAAATAGAGCTATTCAAAATGGGAGAAATTGGCCAAAACAAAACTACAGGCCCCATGTAAGTCCAAAATCCAACAGGGCAGTCAAATCTTAAAGTTCCAAAATGATCTCCTTTGACTCCATGTCTCACACCCAGGTCACACTGATGCAAGAGGTGGGTTCCCGTAGTCTTGGAGACCTCCACCACTGTGGCGTTGCAGGGTACAGCTTCCCTCCTGGCTGCTTTAACGAGCTGGCATTGTCTGTGGCTTTTCCAGGTGAACGGTGCAAGCTGTCAGTGGATCTACCATTTTGGGGTCTGGCGGATGGTGGCCCTCTTCTCACAGCCCCATAGGTGGTGCCCCAGTAGGGACTCTGTGTGAGGGCTCCCACCCCACATTTCCCTTCTGTACTGCCGTGGCAGAGGTTCTCCATGAGGGGCCCACCCTTGCAGCAAACTTCTGCCTGGATAGCCAGGCGTTTCCATACATCCTCTGAAATCTAGGCAAAGGTTTCCAAACCTCAGTTCTTTATTTCTGTGCACACGCAGGCTCAACACCACATGGAAGCTGCCAAGGCTTTGGGCTTGCACCCTCTGAAGCCATGGCTCGAGTTCTCTGTTGGCCCCTTTTAGTCATGGCTGGAGCGGCAGGGACACAGGACACCAAGTCCCTAGGCTGCACGCAGCATGCCAACCCTGGACCTGGCCCAGGAAACAACTTTTTCCTCTGGGGTCTCCAGGCCTGTGATGGGAGGGGTTGCTCTGAAGACCTCTTGACATATCCTGGAGACATTTTCCCCGTGGTCTTGGGGATTAACATTCAGCTCCATGTTACTTATGCAAATTTCTGCAGCCAGCTTGAATTTCTTCCCAGAAAATGGGATTTTCTTTTCTATTGCATTGTCAGGCTGCAAATTTTTTGAACTTTGATGCTCTGTTTCCCTTATTAAACTGAATGCCTTTAACAGCATTCAGGTCACCTCTTGTATGCTTTGCTGCTTAGAAATTTATTCTACCAGATACCCTAACTCATCTCTCTCAAGGACAGAGTTCCACAGATCTCTAGGGCAGGGGCAAAATGCCGCCAGTCTCTTTGCTAAAACATAACAAGAGTCTTCTTTGCTCTATTTCCCAGCAAGTTCCTCATCTCCATCTGAGACCACCTCAGCCTTAGATTTCATGTCCATCATTATCAGCATTTTGGTCAAAGCCATTGAACAAGTCTCTAGGGAGTTCCAAATTTTCCCACATTTTCCTGTCTTCTGAACCCTCTAAACTGTTCCAACCTCTGCCTGTTAACCAGTTCCAAAGTCAGTTCCACATTTTGGGGTATCTTTTCAGCAGCACCCCACTTCTGGTACCAATTTTCTGTATTAGTCCATTTTCACACTGCTGATAAAGATATACTCAAGACTGGGTAATTTACAAAAGAAAGAGGTTTATTGGACTCGCAGTTCCACATGGCTAGGGAGGCTTCACAATCATGGCGGAAGGTGAAAGGCATGTCTCACATGACAGCAGAAAAGAGAAGAAAACTTGTACAGGGAATCTCCCCTTTTTAAAACCATCAGATATCATGAGACTTATTCACTGTCACGAGAACAGTTCGGGAAAGACTTGCCCCCATGAGTCATTTACCTCCCACTGGGTCCCTTCCACAACATATGGGAATTCAAGTTGAGATTTGGATGGGGACACACCCAAACCATATCAGAGGAGTCTTTTTCATTCCTTTAAGCCATCAGTTTCTTTTCTTTTCGACAAATAATAATTGTAAGTATTTATGGGGTACAATGTGGTATTTTCATATACATGTACATTATGGAATGATTAAATCAAACTAATGAGCATATCGGTCATCTCACATGCTTTTTTTGTAGTGGGAACATTTAAAATCTTATTCTCTTAACAATATTGAAATATCCACTACATTATTATTAACTACAGTCACTCTGCTATGCAATACATCTCAAAAACTTACTCTTTTTGTCTAATTAGCTGAAACTTTGTAGCCTTGGACCAACATCTTGGCATCCTCCCACTCCCATCCCCCACCTCTGGTAACTACCATTCTATTCTCTATTTCTCTGAGTTCAATTTTTTAAGATTACACGTATAAATGAGATCATGCAGTATTTCTTTCTGTGTGTGATTTATTTTACTTAGCATAATGTCCTCCAAGTTCATGTAAAGCTGAATGGTATTCCATTATATACAGTTTAACCTTGACAACGTGGGGGCAAGAGGCACTGACCCTCCACTCAGTTGAAAATTCGGGTATAATTTGATTCCCTGACTCAAAAGCTTAACTACTAATAGCCTACTGTTGACTGAAAATCTTACCAATAACATAAACAATTAACCCACATAAGCTAGACAAAAGAAAATATTATTAAGAAAATCATAAAAGAAAATATATTTACTGTTTATTAAATGAAGTGAATCATAAAGGTCTTCATCCTCATCTTCACATGGAGTAGGCTGAGAAGGAGGAGAAAGAAGTGGGGTTGGTCTTTCTCTGGAGTGGTAGAAGAGGAAGAAAATTTGCATATAAGTGGTTCCTCACAGTTCAAACCTGTGTTTTCCAAGGGTCAGCTGTATACCATGTTTTCTTATCCATTTATTTGTTGATGGGCACTTAGGTTGATTTCATATCTTTGCTGTTGTGAATAATGCAATGAATAAAAGAGTGTGCATGTTTTTTTCTGTAACCTAATTTTAACTCTTTTGAAATTGAAGTGGGATTCAATGCTCAGAAGTGTAATTGCTAGGTCATATTGCCATTCTGTATTTAGTATTTGAGGACCTCCATATTATTTTCCATAAAAGCTGTACTGATTTACATTCCCACCAACGTTACAAGAGTTCTCTTTTCTCCACATTCTTGCCAACGCTTGTTATCTTTCATCTTTTTTTAACACACCCCACTTCACAGATGTCATTTGTCTTTTTGATGATAGAAATTCTAGCAGTTGTGAGGCGATACCTCATTGTGGTTTTAATTTAAACTTCCCTGATGATTAATGATATTGAGCATTTTTTCATATACCTGTTTGTTATTTGTATGTCTTTTTTTGAGAAATGTTTATTCAGGTTCTTTGCTTGTTTTTTAAGTGGGTTATTTGTTTTCTTGCTGTTTAGGTGTTGGAGTTCCTTATAACCCCCTAACTGATAAATAGTTTGCAAATATTTTCTCCCAATCCACATGTTGTCTTTTCACTCTGTTGTTTCCTTTGTTGTGAGGAAGCTTTATATTGATAGTTTGATGCATTCATGCTTGTCTGTTTTTGCTTTTGCAGTTTTAGCCAAAAAATTTTTCAGACCATTATGGAGCTTTTACCTTATGTTTTCTAGTAGTTTTACAGTTTTCAGTCTTATGTTTAAGCCTCTAATCATTTTGAGTTGAGTGTTGTATATGGTGTGAGATACTCAACTTCATTCTTCTGCATATGGATATCCAGTTTTCCCAACACCATTTATTGAAGAGACTATCTTTTCCCCCAGAGAGATTCTTTTTTCTTCCTCCCTGGCTTCCCCAGAGAGATTCTTGAAAGAAGGCAGAGAGAAAATATTGTCAGTTAGACTGACAGCCAACTTCTCAATGAAATAGTGGAAGCCAACAGACAGTGAAACCAGATAGTGTGGGAAGGAAAACATTTGCAAACCATGAATTCTACATCCAGTGAAAATCTCTAGACAGTGGTAAAATAAAGACATTTTAAAATAAATAAACCTGAAAAATTTTCAATCAGCAAACCTACACTAAAGAAAACCTTAGAGGATATGCTTAGGGCAGAAAGAAAAAGATTCCAGATGAAAGTCTTATCTTTTTTATTAACATTGATTTATCTAGAGACTGGAGTTAGGTAAGGGAACGTATATATATTCTGTATCTGTGGATCTGTGATATGACTCTTATCTGAAACTATTGGAATGAAATATGAAGTGTTTTAAGTATACAAATGAATATATTTGTTCCTATGTGATGATGCCTGTGTAAAGGGACACAATATTTTTGTTAGGGGTAGACCCTGAGTCCATAGTAACTTCTTTTGAGGCTGCAGATACCCTATTATTGTTTTGTCAGCTCTGAACCGTAACATACGTACTTAGCTACTCACCAATCCTAAGTGGATAGCTAATAGTAAAAGGCAGTACTTGTAAAGGACACTTATTACTCCTTTAGCTCTTCAGAAGTGACCCCAAAAAGTACACTCTATCCTCAGGCAAAAAAAAAAGCAGTGGTCATTAGGGTGGACATTTTCTGTTGTGGCTTGAGACATCAGGAATCATATTAAAAGTTTCTGTAGCTTTAGGGTTAGGGGAGGCAGGGATCAGGATAACAGATTTCCAAATTTCCCCTCTCTGAAACCAAGTGCAGCAAAACTTGGCTTGGGAACCTATCAACTATGCTGTAATACTTTCTATGCAGTTATAACTGTGCACCTTTGTTTTCAGTTACATCATTAAATTTTATTCTCTCTAATTTCTAACAAAACTTTTTTGTTATATGATGAAATACTATTCTGAAACATTGAACTAAACTGTGTTCTTAAGCAGATGTTTTGCTTACCTAAGTTTCTTCTGATTCTTGGCCTTTAAAAATACTTGCTGAATGAATTAATATACTGTCTTGTATTGTATTTGTGTTCATGTAACCTCCAGACTCCTCAAAAAAAGACATCATAGTATTTTGAGTAAGAGCAGAGCCAGGCTACCTAGGTTGAAATCTCTCAGATTCCCCACTGATCAGCTGTGTGACCTTGCTGAATTTCCTTAACCACACGGTGCTTCAGTGTCCTCATCTCTAAAGTGCCCATAATAATAGCCACTTATCTTCTAGGGTTGTTATAATGTTAAAATGTGGTGATGCACATAAAGTGTTTGGAACAGTTCCTGATACACAGCAAAAGCGATACATGTTTGCTATTAGTATTATATTTTTAATTACCCCTAGCATTACACAGCGTGTTTGTACATAATGCATAATTAATATATAATTTTTGTAATGAACGATACAACACTTCAAGCTTGGCCTTTATCTTTTCTGTTGCATAATTAAATGGTAATTAATTGGAATCAAAGAAATGCTGAAGTGGAGTTGGGAGATACTTCTAATATCTAATAGGCTCACTTGAAACTAAATGGTAATAATCAATTACCATTTAAGAAAAGCAGTTTTGCTGACATGAACCATTCATATGTACATATAATTACTTCAAAAATACCATTTTGCCCCTTGGGATATAATCTCCAGCCCATTTTGTCTATTTTCAAAAGCAACAAAAATTTTTAAATGTGTGCAGCTACAAGAAAGTAGGCGTTTATTATTGGCTTAATATTTTTATTACATTTATATTATGTTCTCCCTTCCCTTCTCCATCACGTTATGACATTTCACAACTCAGTCTTTTTTTTTTTTAAAGGCATATCTACTTTCCAAATTTATGTGAGTTTTATCTAAGGAATCCCTTGCTTCTTAGTAACATTTTCTTGGGGTATGTAAAACATCAGATTTCAGTAAACTAGAAAAGTAAAGCACATTTGAGAAGCCATGCAATACTGTATTCCAGTCTGCTTTCATTAAAGTATAAAAGATGTCTATAATAAAATTTATTTATACCAGTGGTTCTCAAAACTGACTGATAATCAGAAAACCCTGGGGCTCTTTCAAAAACAATTAACAAAACAATTCTATTTTTAGACCCATGAATACATATTTTGGGGGAGGAAGGAGGAGGGTATAGATCTGTATTTTGAAAAGTTCCCCAGGTCTCCTTGGGAAATTATATGAACAATCATGTTTGGGAACAAATGAATCATGTTACCACTGGGAAGAAGTTTGTTATACATCCTAACCAAGAAACCTAAATGGTTCTTAAGCATCTGCTAGCAGAAACAGTTATAATTATGAATACCTAATGTCTGTTAGATTTTGCTGATCCCTCACCTACCTCAGGAAGAAACAAATCCAAAAAAGTAAGATACGGTCTTTTTTATTTGTGTTAATTAAAAAATGCTACTCCTAAAAATATACTAACTTTCCACACTTATAAAGGTGTTTCTTATTTTAAATTCCTCAATGAGTGCGGAGAAGACAACATAGAAGCTTCTTCTCTTTCTTTCTGTCTTCCTTCAACTCTGTTTCTCTTCTTCCTTTTATCTTTCCTTTCTTTTCTTCTTTCCTCTGACTGGATTGTTTATAACACTTTAGAAAATTTCCCTGACTGGAAGAGGGCCAATCTGAATGAGCTTTTGTCTGTCTTGGGAGTAGAATGAAAGCAGATTCTGAGCATGGACCCTGACTTCCAGAAAGACTCCCATCTCCTCCTCAGTGCCTCACTCTTCCCTCAGTATCCAGAATAGAGTGGGGTGGGGAAGTAGAAAAGGAAGGAAATAAGAAGGTGGTAGAAAACTGAGGCAACCCTAGTAATTTGTTTTTCTCTAAGTAAATTACAGGAAGTATACATTTTCTTTAACCTTAATGTCCACTACTGTGTGGACAGCCTCTGGGAAAACATCTGTTGCATTAGATACTTTATGGTGAATATTATAATAAAATCAACAAAATATGATTTATGAGGTCTGCTAGTTGACATTTTAAATTTTTCATTATTATCATTTTTATATTTCTGTAATAGAGTTTGACCTACATTAGAATGATTCTTAACTTTTCTTCCTCATTAAATCCTTTTTTAAAAAGAGTGTTCTGTGTATGCCAATCTTGAAGCATAGAATTGATGCCAATTTTTAAGCTACTTGCTGTTTTTGGTTTTAGTCCTGCCTTTTTTAAGGGAAGAAAAGAAATAATATTAATTTGAGAGTGTATTATGAATTATGCCATTATCCTAACAGTAACTTTTATTGTAATCTCACCATGCTAAAAAGTATCCAAAATATTTTGAGATGGGAAGGGATTTGAGTTTGGTTTCTAATGTTTATCTTTTGGTAATCCCTACCAAATTTTCATAGTAATAGTAGAAAGAAGGAAAGTGAATATTGGATATTATTTCCTTTACTTAAAAGCTTTTGATGGATACTATTTGAATTGGTGTAATATGCTGAAGTGTATGTAATGGAAAAACATTATTATTTTCTAAATTGAATAAAATGGATTTAATAAATACTGAAAGCAGAATTAACTAAGCAAAAATAAGTATGTTTTGCTTAGAAAATGGATGGCAGTTGCTTAAGAAAAAAGGTTTTTTTACTAATTTAAGAATATACAGATTGTCTGGGGAAAAGAAACTTTTTTTTGTATTTTACTTGTACAGTCTCACATATAACCACTGTTGTTCTCATGACACTCTCCTATATTGATGTGATCTTTATATGATTTGTACCTTTTTTATCTCTTATTCCATTATTTCTTAAATTCTATTTTATTCACCAGTTTCCCAAATAAAGCTATCAGGGTTGACATCAGCTATTTCCAGGAAAATAAAAAGGTTATTACTGCTGAACACTGGAATAATTTGATTATGTAGATTGAAGAAAAGTCAATCTGTTATAATTGCTGTAAAGAAGCCATTTAATTTTGTGCCTGTTTGCATTAGTCTTTTTTTAACTAGATATGCAGATTAGTGGGATGAAAATATATATTCTTTATTTGAATTGTGATTGCCAACTGAAAGATGAATATGAGGGCAGAAAATGAATCTAAATCTTTGGTTTAAATGATAAAGTCTTTACACATTGTAGAGAATTAAATAAGCAGTTGGTCATACTTTTATTTATCTTCAGGATCTTTTGCTCTCTGATAAAAGTAGAAAGCTTTAGGGAATAGATTGTGTAGAAAGTAAATCCGACTTCAAGATTCAGTTCCTTTTTGATAATTTATTGTTTTAAATCCTAAATATCTGAAGCAGTAATGCCATGACTCACCAAACATATCTTTGTGAAATGATTTCCAGAGATTGGGAGAAAAAAATACTAATAGTTGATTTTGCTTTAAGTGTTTTTTATTTCTCACAACATTCCAAATGTTTGTTTTAGGAGATACAAGAGTTTATCATTTTTTCTTTTAATTGCTAAGAAGACTTGTTACAACTTTCAAAAAAAGTCCTCATGGAACCTGATAAATAAGAAGTTCAATGTCTTATTTCATTACGAGCTATCTAAATATTTTTGTCAGATTCAGAATATGTAACTGAATGTATGTAATTCTTTTTTGTAGCAGCCAAGAATAATTTAAGTTTCACAACTAATACTGATATGCCTTTATC
Source organism: Homo sapiens (assembly GCF_000001405.40). Classification (NCBI taxonomy): domain Eukaryota; kingdom Metazoa; phylum Chordata; class Mammalia; order Primates; family Hominidae; genus Homo; species Homo sapiens. The sequence continues at coordinate 175,976,696 of NC_000001.11, read as the reverse complement.
ATATTTTTGCTAACCAGCCAAATCTGTATTCCCATGATCATCCTTAATGTTTGTACTAGTAGAGGACTATAGTGGTGCAAACTGAACCAAAATAGCAACTAATAAGAAGGAATAAATGAGGCCGGGCACAGTGGCTCAAGCCTGTAATTCCAGCACTTTGGGAAACTGAGGTGGGAGGATCACTTGAGGCCAGGAGTTTGAGACCAGCCTGCCCAACATGTTGAAACCCCGTCTACACTAAAAATACAATAATTAGGCAGGCATGGTGTTGCACACCTGTAATCCCAGCTGCTTAAGAGGCTGAGGCAGGAGAATCACTTGAACCCGGGAGGTGTAGGTTGCAGTGAGCAGAGATTGCACCACCACATTCCAGCCTGGGCAACAGAGCAAGACTCTGTCTAAAAAAAAAAAAAAAAAAAAAAAAAAGAATGACTAATTGATATAGAGACTTATATGGGTATTTGCATTTAAAAATAGTTTTATATTCTGAACAGAATAAAATAGTTATACCTTTCCCAATTAACAAATTAGCCTTGCAACTTCAGAGTTCAATAAGAGTCCCTGTTTATTACCAATATTCTTATTTTCTCAAAGTTTTTTGTTTTGTAAAGGATTGAGACCTTTGAGACCTTCTAATTCTACATCTTTTACATATTACTGGATTTTTGAGATCTGACAACTGATTTTCCCTTTACTAATAGAAAGCATGAAATGTCATTGATAGCAAAACAAATTCTAAGATCCCTTATGGAGATCTCACTGTTCTTACTGGTAGGGAAAGCCCAATTATCATGTAGACTTTACATTCTCCATCAGAGTATCTACTGTGTTAAAACAGGTTCCTAATCATCTTAGAATAGAGAAAACCATTTATTTTATCCAGTACATGATTGTCCTTTATGCATTAAATTCATGTTTTTACATACTTGTGTTTCCTTTTCATTTTGTCCTTCCAAATCATTATTTTAGGAATATAGAGAAAAGGGTTGGCCAGGTGCAGTGACTCACACCTGTAATCCCAGCACTTTGGGAGGTCGAGGTGGGTGGATCACTTGAGGCTAGGATTTCAAGACCAGCCTAACCAACATGCAACACCCTGTCTCTACTAAAAATACAAAAAGTAGCCTGGCATATTGGCGCATGCTTATAATCCCAGCTACTGAGATGGCTGAGACATGAGAATCGCTTGAACCCAGGAGGCAGAGATTGCAGTGAGCCGAGATCGTGGCACTGCACTCCAGCCTGGGTGACAAAGTGTGAAACCCTGTCTCAAAAAAAAGAGAAAAGGATCATTTTTCAAGAGTAATAACTTCGGGATGGTTGTGGGTTCTGGCTTTTGGTTTTTTGTTAGTCTTTGTTTAAATGCCATATTAACTCCAAACTCACACATCTAATGTAACTAATGGTGGTGGGAGTGGGGAAGGTTTTGGGGTGGGGGATAATATTAGTAAATTGTTTAAAGGTATATTTATCCTATCAAATGAAATCTATCAAAAGCATAGGTAACTTAGAAGCTTTTATATATCCTATGTATTTTAGATACAGAGATTTGCATCAACCAGAGTTACTAAGAATGAAACTGTTGGCTCTGAATAGGTGTGAATAAATCCTTAGGAAGAGATTTCCTACCTGCCCTTTAGGTGCCATGTTTCTTACTGACAGCTGTCAATATTTTTTAAAAATGAGCATGAGATTTTGGTTCTTTGCATGAATTGCATTTGAATTATGCAATTTTGGGGGGTTTTCTTTGTGGGTTTTTTTTTTTTTTTTTTTTGAGACAGGGTCTTGGTCTGTCACCTAGGCTGTAGTGCAGTGCAGCCATGGCTCATTGCAGCCTTGACCACCCATATTGGTCAGACTGGTCTCAAACTCCTGACCTCAGGTGATCCACCTGCCTCAGCCTTCCAAAGTGCTGAGATTACAGGCCTGAGCCACCATGCCTGGCCCACGTATTCTTTCCTTAACTGTTTGAAGACTGCTGATCATAGCATCAAAAGCGTTTTTTATTTCTGTTACTATGTTTGTATATTTCTAGGATTTCTCTTTGATTCTTTCTCATAATCTCTTCACTGAAATTACCTATTCGATCTTAAACGTTTTATATCTTTTCCATCAACCCCTTTAACCATATTAATCATTGTTATTTTATTTCATACAGTTTTAACATTTGAACTGAGTGTCGTACCTGAGTCTGGTTTAATGATTGCTTTGTCTCCTCAGATTCTGTTTTTCCCTGAATGCCTGTAATTTTTGGAGTTGCTATAGAAATTCAAACAATGTAGTCTATTGCATTGACTTACTATCACATGAAAAATATTGGATTAAATTTCTAAAATTTTAAGCACAGTCCTATCCTTTGGCATTTCATAAATTTAAAGACTTTGGATCTTACAAATGCAAAACCAGTATGTATGTATCTAACCAGTGGTATGTGTCTAAGCACAAACTTAATCTTGTTTTTCCTTTAATATATATTGAATCCATCCTTATTTCCAACCCTGTGACTCTACCACCTGCCTTTAGTTCAAGCTCCTGCCATTTAGTTTAGTTTATGTCCTGCCATTACTTCTTAATAGTTCTAGACTTGTTTATCTCACTGTTTAAAATCTGTTAGTGTTTCCCCAATGGTTACAGAATAAGATCTAAACTTTATGTGACATCTAACAACCTTCTTTATCAGGCCCCCACCTCCCTCTCCAGCTCAATCTCTTACCACTTGCATAAGCACATTTTACACTCCAGCAACATGAACTGCCTGTAGGATCCTCAAACACCGAATGCTGGGTTTTTTGTTTGCTTGTTTTCATCTTTGTGCTGTAGATCTTGCTGCTCACTGTTCCCAAATACCCTTTCCTGCACTTCTGTTTGTTACATATGATAATGCCATTATACTGGAACTTTGCACAATGCTGAGTTTTGTAGCCACAAAAATATTAGAGTGTTCATTGGGTAGATAAATACCATTAGATTGATCTAGACTTACTTTTTTCCATTGTAGAAATTATGTATATCACATCTCTAATGGGGGTGTTTTTCAAAGTTATTTGAACATTTCCAGTGGTAGGGAGCTCCTGCTTTACAAGGCAACCATTATATTTTTCAAAAACTCTTAAGTCTTACAAAGTTATCTCATAAGAACAGCCCTAATTTCTTCTTTCCACCACTTTGTAAACAGTAATATACTTTAAAATGTGTAACATTTAGCAACTTGTAGCTCTGCATGCAGTAAAATTCAACATTTTCTGAATTAATTTTTACTGTGTTATGCTGACTTCATGTATTTTATTTTCATGGGCTGGTTTAAAAATACGAGAATGGAAAGATGAAAGAAAAGATTAGTACATGCAAACTATAGAAGTTTAGGTAGCAACCCAGTCCTGAGTTTCCCATTTCATCTTCTTTTATTTTAAATTCTCAATGTATTTCCATTTGCAAAGTTAACTCTTTTACTAAACTGTCATGAGACATTTGTGTAATTCAGACTCCAGTACTGATTATAGTATCTTTTAACCAAATACATTTCACTAAAAATTAGACTTGTAAAAGTGTTAAAAAAATAAGGCTTGGCCAGATGGGGTGGTTCACGCCTGTAATCTCAGCACTTTGGAAGGCTGAGGCGGGCAGATCCCCTGAGTTTGGGAGTTTGAGACCAGCCTGACCAACATGGAGAAACCCCATCTCTACTGAAAATACAAAATTACCCGGGTGTGGTGGCGCATGCCTGTAATCTCAGCTACTCGGGAGGCTGAGGCAAAAGAATTGCTTGAATCTGGGAGGCGGAGGTTGTGGTGAGCCAAGATCGTGCCATTGCACTCCAGCCTGGGCAACAAGAGCGAAACTCCGTCTCAAAAAATTAAATAAATAAGGCTTATGTGCAGTTATTCTCAATGAGCTAAAAAGCTTCCTGAGGCTAGAAATTCTTGTCATTTTTGGCTGGGAGCAGTGGCTTACACCTGTAGTTTCAGCATTTTGGGAGGTCGAGGCGGGCAGATCACCTGAGGTCAGGGATTTGAGACCAGCCTGGCCAACATGGTGAAACCCCGTCTCTACTAAAAAATACAAAAATTAGCCGGGCATGGCCGTGGGCGCCTGTAATCCCAGCTACTCGGGAAGCTGAGGCAGGAGAATCGCTTGAACCCGGGAGGTGGCAGTTGCAGTGAGCCGAGATCACACCACTGCACTCCATTCTGGCAACACAGCCAGACTCTGTCTCAAAAAAAAAAAAAAAAAAAAAATTCTTGTATTTTGTATATTGCTGCTCTCTGGGCCTCAGATGGTATGTGTTAAGTAGGTATTCGGTAAATTCTTTCCTCCTCACTTCCCTCTCACTAGCCACCTGACCAAAAGCAGAAAAATACGTCTTGGTTTTCCCTCTGAGTTCAATATTTGTAGATAGTTTCAACATGTGTATTAGTATTTTTCAAAGTATGGTCTGTTGATCACCTGCTTTAGAATTATTAGTTACTTGGGATAGGAATTAAAATTTTAAATATCTAAACCCTATACTTGTTATATTTAGACTTTCTGAAGGTGAGGACCAAGAACCACCTTTTGTATTTGTTGTTGTTGTTGTTGTTGTTATGGGTTACATAATTCTCTCCTTTTGTTTTGTTAAGTATCCTAGAATTGCATGGGAGAAGCAAAGATCCCATCTCTGTCACATCCAATCTTGGAGCCACCGGTGGAAATTTAGAAGTGCCAAAGTGTTTCCAACAGTCGCTGCCGCAAACCTATTCTTTCTTTACAGGAGTGATTAGGTACTGTCTCAAACCCTCCTGAGTGCCACATCAGGAGGCTCTCTATGGTCTGTTGGTCACTTTGGAAGATGTAGAGACTAAATCCAAGGGAGACATTAGATAATAAGCCAGGGTTCTCATCAGTCTCCTCAGTAGCAAAAGCAAAGGCTAGAACATTCTGGTAGTGCTCATTATTAATTGGAACATTACAGCTGGAGTCAAAGATCTGCCTCCTGAAAGGTACTGTGTTCTGATGTTTACAGCCAAATTCCATTAAACATTGACTGATTTATTACAATGGATACAACTCAGAAATAGCTCATGGGAAGAGATGCATAGGGCAAGGTATTGGAGAGTGGCGGGTGGAGTACACAGAATAGGTCTGTGCTGGTGACTCTTGGAAACACTTTGGCATTTTCTTCCCAGATGGGTACCCTCCTAGTACCTCAATGTTTTCACCAACCTGGAGGCCCTGGAACCTCCATTTTCAACAAACTCCCTTTGGGATTTATATATAATAAAATGCTATAAAATATCAGTTTTTGAGCTCTTTTCTGTTTGTATATTTGCTTAATAAGAATTTGCTAAATGAATAAATTTTATCTGATTAAGTTTTCAAGGACCCAAATGACCAAAATAAGAACTTACTGTAAGACTCAAAATATAACAAATGAGGTTAATTTAAATCAGGCAGTGAGTTTTTGGAGAATATGTTCTGTACAACAAAAAAAAAGTTACTACAAAATACCCTTCCAACTTTGACATATTAACATCCTTATTTCCTTCTGGCTTTATCAGTCTTTCTAAGTCATTTAAGTCTAAAACCCCAGAATCATTATTGTTGCATCTCTTTATTTTCCATCTAATTATTCATCAAATAGCAGTAATGCTTTCTTTGAAATGTCTTCTATATATCTTTGTTTTCGTTTCTGCTTTTCATCTCCTCATTTCTGTTCCTTCCCCTTCCCCTTCTCTCGATTTACTTCTAACAGCTTTATGTCCCTTTCAGTCGGCCTTTATGCACTACCAAATATTCATCTTTATACAGAGATAATCAATCAAACATTGCTTGTTACCTTTAGTTGACCCAGGTCTTTCAGAAAAGTTTTTTTCAAATTCAGCATTTGCATGTACCTCTATCTGGTATATTTTGGCCAACACTAAAAATAAGGGGAAATTTTGATAAATATATTACCTGAACTTGTTAGTTATTTAATCTATTTCACTTCAGATATCTGTATCTAATTTTAAAATTATATTTACCCTTACTATTAAATATGATCCTTAAGAAAATTATAGGAAAAAGTACAATAGAAAAAAATACTCAAAGGTAACTCAGATTTCAAAATTTACTAGTATTTAGAAAATTAGCCTTTATAATAAGTATAGAACAATGTCGTTCCTATATCTACTTCTTAACTGCTCTATTTCCTGATCTCATGTGTTTGCACTTAGACTATCGTATCTAAACTATTACATTCAAGATTTTCAATAATCTAATATAATGCTATCCATCTAACTTTATTTCTGTTTTCTAACACAGTTCACCTACTTCATTAAGAAAGTTTCTTCATTGTCCCATACTATTCCCATTCCGGCTTCTAAACTCGTATTCATGTTGTTCTTCATATTGCCTTATCCTCTTATTTCTGCTTAACTAAGTTCTCATCATTTTTTAGCCCAATCACTGCTTCTCTTTCCCTCTTTTAACCATTTTATCTCCTTGGTTTCTGGTTTCTCACAGCTATTGATGAACCTATAGAATGCAGTCTACCAACTGATGTTCACATTCATCTTGAATTGTTTGTTATGCTTCATTAGTGTTGCCCCAGGTACATTCCTTGCTTCAACTTGGAGAGCAAAAAAATACAAACACCAGCAGCTACCAGAGTAAGAGCTACTTAGTTTTCTAGGAAAGAGGAGTTAAAGATTGAGTGAGAATAAAATTTAAGTCTGCCTAACCCAGAGAGCCTACTTTTATCAATTTCATAAGATCATAAATATACTGACTAGAATAATACACTAGTATTATTACTACTAGTACACTGTGATACTGACAGTACTAATATGATACTAATAGTACTATCATTGCTTGAGATAACTACCCTTTAACTGTAAAGAAATTAAGGTTATATAGTATTTTAGTAAAAGCAACTACCATTCATTTGTTTAGTGCCTATAGTGTGCCAGTTACTCTTTGGTTACATGCTGTAAGGGAGAAAAGATTTTTCTCACCTGTTGGCTTGATTCATGACGGAGACCTCTGTAAGTTTTACATGACATAGAAGTTTTACGTGACACAGAAGGCTTCAGAAATGAAGACCCAAAGAATGGGTAAACTTGTATATGTTTATGCTTAGGTTTGATGAAGAAATGAATAGTCTCATGGAGAAGTATGATTGGAGGACAAAGGGGTATGATCTAATGGTAATAAACTGGGGGCAACTTAGCAAGACCTGTTTGTTGAGCTTCTTCTCTGTGTCTCTGTCTCCAGAGATAAGGGCATTCCTTTCCTCAGGTAAGGATAGGCAACTCTGGAATGAGAGTCTTATGACCTGCTTCAGTGGAAGGGCAGAGAATTCTTTTATGACCTGCTTCAGAGGAGAAGTGTGGGAGAAGGTCTTCCTGCTTCTGCTGTTTTTTCAAATACCAAGGTGACTATTTGGAGGTAGTGTGTTCTGGTCCCTAACAATGCTCTACTGTGTTTTCCTTGAATCTTCATACAGATTCTACCTAAGAGTATCTGCTTTATATTTGGAGAAATTGAATGTCTAAAAGGATTAAGCAGAACCAAAATTCAGATCCAGGTTTCCATGCCTTGAATGTATTGCTTTTTCTGTTAACATGGTATTCCCCAAATAGTACTGAATTCTAGAATCAGCTTTACCAGAGTAGTCTGGAGGAAATTTGCGAATAGCTCTCTTAAATATGCACGGTTCTATGCTCAGAGGAGCTCTTCTCAGTATTAATCAGCAATCCAGTCATTTTTTTCCCCTCATACTTGTCATTGTAAGCACATTTTTCTCAAGCTTTACTCAGAAGATCATCCAGAGATATTAACTGTTAACATGTGCTGCAAGTTGAAAGTGTTTAGAGAGAATATTTGAGTGCAGTGTGACAAGGATAATCAAGTTGTTTAGGGCCAGTTGGCGAGAAGACTTTGGAAAGCATTGAGAAAGGAATGATGAATGTATGTGTTGTTTTGTATCTAAATCCTTCTTCCCTTGTGTATGTTCTTCACAGCCTTTTCTCCCTGAATAAGGATCACTTTGACTTTGTATGCTAAGTGTGCCTTCTTAATGGTTCTTTTCCTGTTATCTGAATCCTGAAGTATATTTAAATGAGAATTTGATGCAGTTAGTTAATTGGAATATAAAAGACTGGTTAACAAAAGTCTTCTTAATAATGAAGCACACCAGAAATGGAAGCTGCTGGAACCAGCCATGTGGACAAATGAAAAAATGCCTTTTGTCTACAGATTGCAGCGATCCTACATAAATATATGGAGGTCTCTGTCTGGCTTAGGACAGCTGGCTAAGTCTGATCGTTCCCCTCCGTACAGCCTTTAAAACTGCCACTCTAAATACTTGGTTTCCTTGCCATTTTATTCAGTATCTGCTGGTTATGAGTACTGTATTATTTTTTAAATGGGCAACCAAGTAAAGTTACCTCTGTATCCGTCTGAACTGGTTTTTGAGGTATCTTACGAGTTTTGAAAATAGGTGTTATTTGCTTATTTAAGGAACCTACAACCAGGAAGTAGAATGAATGTGGAAATATTATTCTTCTCTTGCCGAGCATGGTGGCTCACACCTGTAATCCCAGCACTTTGGGAGGTTGAGGCAGATGGATCACTGAATGTCAGGAGTTCAAGACCAGCCTGGCACCAACATAGTGAAATCCTGTCTCTACTGAAAACACAAAAATTAGCCAGGTGTGTTGGCAGGCGCCTGTAATCCCAGCTACTTGAGAGGCTGAGACAGGAGAATCACATGAACCTGGGAGGCGAAGGTTGCAGTGAGCTGCGATTGTGCCATTGCACTCTAGGCTAGGTGACGGTGCGAGACTCCATCTCAAAAAAAAAAGAAAAAAGAAATATTATTCTTCTAAGGGGCCACATTGGCTTAACGAATTCAGGGTTACCAGTGAAGGTCAATACTTTAGATATGAAGGAGCTAATCAGAGATAGCTTCCGTGAAGATTTTCTCATTAAGAAAGTGATTTCTCCAAAATCCAGTTTATGTAATTTTTTAAGGCTGTAACCAAAGTTCAGAAATAACCATTTGCAGAGGAAAGCTGCTGCTAAGTATTAACCTTCTTAGTACTGAATTCAAAATCTTGGTTTTTCCTGTTGTGTGTTTTGCTGTTAAGTTGTGGGGAGAGGTTGCTCCCACCTACCTCCCCTAACTTCTACAACTTACAGCAGCCACAGCTGGGTTTGTTTGTTTGTTTGTTTGTTTGTTTGTTTGTTTTTTGAGACTGAGTCTCACTGTGTCACCCAGGTTGGAGTGCAGTGGCATAATCTCAGCTCACTGCAACCCCTGCCTCCTGGGTTCAAGCAATTCTCATGCCTCAGCCTCCTGAGTAGCTGGAATTACAGGGGACCACCATGCCTGGCTAATTTTTGTATTTTTAGTAGAGATGAGCTTTCAACGGCGCGGTGGCTCACGCCAGTAGTCCCATCACTTTGGGAGGCTGAGGCGGGTGGATCACCTGAGGTCAGGAGTTTAATACCAGCCTGGGTTTATTTATAACTAATTGTATGAGGATCCTTGTTTGTGGTTCTGAAATCCCATATTTCTTACCCTGAGCAGTTTTTGCATTAGACAGTTGTCAAATGAGTAGCCATACTTTTCTAGGCCCTTTAGAAATCCACTGTTCTGTTCATTCTAATGAACGATTTTAAGATTTTGTAAGGAAGGATACTAGTGGAGAAGAAAGAAGAGATTTGGGATTAACTGATTTTGAAAGTGTTCCTTTGTGATGAAGAAATCCCAATTCCCCAGATCTCAAATTGGGATTTTGTGTATGGGGGGTGGAAGATTGGAAGGAGAGTGGGAATTTGGCCTGTCAATGCCATGTATGTTGACTTTGGAACACTCTTTACCACTTTGGTTCTGTGGCCAAGCCTTTTCCTCTGTTGATATTACTTGAAATAATACTTATAGGGAGATATATAAAAGACCAAATTTTCCATGTAACAAGGCTTTTAGGAGCCTAGGTTTATGACATTTGAAATGTAATGTATATTTATAATGTATGAGAACTGAGGCTCTCTTGTACATAGTCAGTGACCACCCAAGACACCTTTCTTCTTTCTTCCATTTTGCTTTAATAAATTCAGGATGAAGCCCAGACATGTGATAAGCTTACTGGGTCAATATGATACAGATCAGCATTGGTATATTTCTCAGTTTTCACAAGTTGATTCCTGGCTTTGCTCTTTCTTAGCTGTGTGTATGAATTTGGACAAGTTATTAAGTCTAAGACTATGTTTACTCTTTGTAAATTGATGATAAAAATAGTACCTTCCTCATTGGGTTGCCATGCAGATTAAGTGAAGTAATCCATATAAAATTCTTAACTAAGTCACTGACCTATAGTGCTCAATAAATATGTGATAATGAAACAGGTTTTTAAGTGTTTGTGTGTGTGTGTGTGTGTGTGTGTGTGTGTGTGTATTGCAAACACAATTCAGACAGCTAATTCACTCAACCCCCTTGGATTTTTTATAGAATGCAGGGAAGGCTAACTAACATTTTAGTTTAAAGACCAAGACCTTTTATTGATAGATTGTAGTTTTGTGTTCATTCTTTCTTAGACATATTTATATATATTTTTACCAAGTCAACTCTGAAAGACCACATACTGAAAGAAAAGTCAGGGACAAAAAGAAACTATTAGGCTTACAAATGGCATTTAAAAACCTTTGAAGATGATATTGGAACCTATGTTTGAATGTCTTTGTATGGACTCTCACTTGGTTTCAAAATGCAGCGTAGATTTATGTCTAGGATAAAGTAAAGAAACACTCCGGTCAAATAAGGGGATTCTTATGATGAATCAAACCCAGATAAGTGGCTGGGTGCGGTGGCTCACGCTTGTAATCCCAACACTTTAGGAGGCTGAGGCGGGTGGGTCACGAGGTCAGGAGTTCGAGACCAGCCTGACCAACATGATGAAACCCCGTCTCCAAATACAAAAATTAGCTGGGTTTGGTGGCACGCACATGTAATCCCAGCTACTCAGGAGGCTGAAGCAGGAGGATCACTTGAACCCGGGAAGCGGAGGTTGCAGTGAGCCGAGACTGCACCACTGCAGTCCAGCCTGAGCGACAGAGCGAGACTCCATCTCAAAAACAAACAAACAAACAAAAACAAAACAAAAAAAAAACCCAGATAAGTGAAATGAATTTCTCTGAGCTCCAAAAACAAAAGAAATTTGAATTTTAAAAGATGTACTAGAAAGTGCTTTAAATAAAAGAATGATTCTGCGTGTCAGGAAATCAACAGTGGCCCAATAGGATGAAGTAACAAAATGTCAGCACGAGTGATGAAATTGGACAATTGAATAGTATCACTTAACAAGGCGTTGAACAAAGAAAAATTTAAGAATCCCTATATCTTATATCTGTATTTCTTCTCAAGGGCAAGGGAGAGGATGTTCATAAGGCAACTATAGATCATGCATCAAAAGAAGGGCAAATTTATTTGAAATTGTTCTGTGGCTGTAGGATCCTGAGTGAAAATCAGATTTGACTATACACAGAGTCCATGACCTCCTACATGAGGAGAGAAGCTATTTTAGTTTTCAGGATGCAATTGCAGTACAAATAGTAACAGCCCACCCTGAAGACAGAAAAAAAAAATGGAGCAAAAGCCCATTCTTTTATGTTTATAATCTTGGTATGAAAAAGAGCTTAAGGCAGGTATGGTCTTTTATTTTCAGTGACATGAAATCATCTTTGTATGAGTGCAAATTAACACTCTCTTTTCTGGCAATGAGAAAACAAGACATTTGTGTTCATAAAGAGAATGCCTTTGTCCAAATAAGACAAGAGGCTCTTATGGAGAGAATATTAAGGAATTAACAGATATAGTATAGATTGTGAGTTTTTTTGTGTGAAGCCTAGTTACCTCAAATTTTTATTCTTTATATTTACTTAAGGAAGGATATTTAAATTCAGCCATGTTTCTCACTGTTCTGTGCCCTCCAGGGAGCTGTATTTGCAGATACTGTATGTTGTTCATAGTGATTTACCATTTCCATTTAATCAAATGCTTGTTAAAGGACTTAAATGGACATACAATTTAAACTTAGTGGGCACACTTTAAGAAGAAAATTCAGTGATTATAGGACAAATTGTTTAAGGCAGAACTGCTTATAACTTTGCTAGCCATCTCAGCTGCAGTTTCTGCTTTTAGAGGACAAATGTAAATAGTATTTCAGTGTACTTTACATTTTCTGTGTCACTAATAGTGTTCTACCACTTGAAAGGGGAACTAAAATTAAAAATCATCTTCTGGGCTTTTTTTCCCCAGTAAAATTTTCAAGGAACTTACCTTCCTTTGTCATGAAGTTGTTTTAGGGGAGAAAACATTTCTGATTTTTGTTGGCTTTTTTTTGTTTTTGTTTTGTTTTTAGATCCTTATTTAGCAAGGTTATGCTTTTAAACATCTAAGGGTAGAGGGTGGGATATGTGTCATTTATTACCTTCTGTCTTGGGGTAATGTTCTGATTGAGAGTGCTGGAGCCAAGTTGCCAGGTTTGCCTCCTATCACCATTAAGTATTAGCTGTAAGACTTTGGGAAAGTTATTTAACCTTTCTGTGCCTCAGTTTCCTCTTCTGTGAAATTAGATTAATAGTATCTTGCATGTAATATTCTGAAATAAAATTAGAAAATACATGGAAAGTACTAAGAAAATAGTTGGCACAAGATAAATGATCAATCAGTAAATGTTGCTGTCATCTTTAACATTTTATATACGAATCCACATAACTGGACAACTGTACTTGTTTTTAGTTCATCAAATATTGTGCAATATGAAAATATATTCTCTGCATTTAAGTGATTTACAACCTAGTAAATAGAAATATTCATAAATAACTATAGTATGAACCCAAATGAAAGAAATCTTTATAAGATCATTACCCCTGAAATTATTGACCCTAGAGGGAAGACGTTACTTCTAACTTGGAGAATGATGGAATACTTTATGAAGATAGGGGCTTTTGAGCTGGGCTTCATAAAGATATAAAGGGTTTCAGAAGTCTAAAGACAAAGGGAAAGGAAGGTACCTGGACAAAAGACCATAAACAAACACATCTATTAAGTACCAACCAGGCAGTATACTAAGTGCTATCTTAATTTAAAATCATCATCATCAATCTTTTAAGGCATATATGCTTGAGTTCCTTTAAAAGTGAAATTGACGCTCAGATTTGCCCAAGATTACACAGCTAAATAAGGGATACAGTTGGAATTAGAACCCAGGTCGGGCTGGCTGTAAAACGTACACCCTTTCTGCTATACTGCAGAAAGCTAGAGAACAGTGTAAACAAAGGCGCAGATGAGGGAAAGTGCAATAGATGTTTAAGAAACTTCTAATAAAGTGTCTAAGTAGGATGGTGGAGTAGGGACTTTATTGAGAGATGAGGCCAGAGAGTGTGCTAGATATTATAGTCTTGAATGCCATACTGAGAGAAAAAAAAAAAGTTTAGACCTTCTTCTGTAGGCATTAAATGCCTAAAGCCCACTGTGAAGATAATCCCATGAGAGTATTATCATAGCAGTGGGTATAGTGCATTGTAATGAGAGATTAAAAGTAGAGAGTCTACTCAGGTAGGTTATTAAATAATTTAATTATTCAGGGTTTTTTTTTTCTGTGTTCAGTTTCCTTCTGGGGAATAAGAATAACAGAAAACACCCACATGTAACATTCATGTTTTTCAAGATGTTAAGTTTGCCCTCACATATTAAAAAAAATGTTTATTTGACGATGTTTCATTATATTCACTTCAAACAATAAATCTTGAACTATGTTTGCGGATATAATCATTAACTTCTACCTTCTAGTACACAACTTAATTTTTTTTCTGCTTTTCCAAGAATTCACTTATTTAACTTAACACATGTGAATTGAAGAGTTTTGTTAAGAGATAGGATTAAAGGAGATGACTCTAGGTGCCCAGGGAGGGGGAGGTGCGGTGAGAGATGGCTGAAGGAATAGAACACTGGTGGGAAGCAAAGTTCTTTTCTACCCTCTTAGGTTCTCTGGCTAGGTCTGTGAAATAAACTGACAACTGATGGATTAACAGAAAAGGCATACAAATTTATTTGATATTCAAAGTTTTACATGAATCAGCTGCCAGGGGTGGGTTGGAATAGTGGGGGATATCTCGTAGAAAGAAAACCCCCAATGAAAAGGCTCGGTTTGGAGGTTTTTATACCATTTAGACAAGAAGACAAATTTAAAGGGAAGCGACAAGACAAAGGAAAGGGACTTTGAGCTTCTAGGAGTGATGAACAATAGGAAGGCAAATATTAATATATAAGAAACTAATGGTAGATAAGGGCTAGTTAGTGAGGTTTGTGCAGATTTTTTCTCAGTACCATCTCATCTTTGGTAATAATAATAAGGTTGTTATCCCTTTCCTGGTACAGGAAGTAACTGGGGTACAGGGAATTCCTCTCTTTCACAAGAGGAATTTATTGTCTGTTTTCAGGCAGATAGAAGGAGAGCAGAAAGCTCTCCTCAGTTGCTTTCAGCTCAAAATAATCTTTCCACCAGAGTAGCATATTTTGGGATGGCATATTCTGATCTACAACACCAAAGAAAAACTGCTCCTATCTATTTTTTGCATAAAGGCAGTCACTGACTTTTGTTATCCATAAATAAAATTCACAGATAAATTAATCTTACTTATTTTCTAACCCTGGTATGCTACAGTTTACATGCTTACCCCACCTCATATTTTCATCTCGTTAACTAATACATAAGCTGCTTTCTCCACACAATTTGTCATCATTCCAAAACCATTTTTTTTTTTCAAATTTATTCCATGTGCATGACCGTGTCCCTTTGCCTAACATATCCATCTTTTCTCCTGTGAAATTTCAAGTTTTATTCTTCCATTGTTCCATTTGTGACCTAATCTGTGAAGCCTTTCTTATCTTTTCCAAGTAAAGGATCACTCTCTTCTTACTTCTTCAGTTGCCCCTTTGAGCTCTATAATATATTCTTTTTTTTTTTTTTTTTTTTTTGAGACAGGGTCTCACTCTGTTACCCAGGCTGGAATGCAGTGGCCCAATTCAGGCCCATTGCAGCCTTGACCTCCCAGGCTCAGGTGATCCTCCCGCCTCAGCCTCCCAAAGTGCTGGGATTACAGGCATGAGCCACCACACCCAGCCTATTTCTTTCTGTTAAAAGTCCATTTCCCCTGTTGGCCTATGGTCTTAAGATCAGACATCATGTCTTATTCTCCTTTGAAATTCCAGGACCCAGCACAATTATCTGGCATGTGATATCTACCCTAATGGACGGATAATGATGGATGAATAAAGTGGCATGAAATTAATAAACTTCATGCCAAAGTCACTACTGTATAATGAAACGACTGTGATGATTGAAAGTTATTCTCTCTGTGAATCAATTTGGGAGCGTTTCTTTATGTCTTAGTCAGGGTTCTCCAAAGGGACAGAAGTAATAGGACATGTATAGTTAGATCTATGACAGGGTTTTTATTTGGGGTATTAGCTCACATGATTACAGAGGGTGAGACATACCATGATATGCCAGGGAGGCCAGTAGCATGGCAGAATCTTAGGCTAAAGGCCTGAGAATTTGAGGGCCCATTGATGCAAGTCCCAGAGTCCAAAAGCTGGAGAATCTGGACTTCTGATGGCCAAGGCCAGGAGAAGAGTGTCCCAGCTCCAGGAGAGAGGAAGCAAATTCACCTTTCTGCTCCCTTTTTGTCTATCCAGGCCCCCAGCTGATTGGATGGTGCCTATCCACATTGAGGGCTGAACTTCCCCACTCAGTCAACCGACTCACACACCAGTCTCTTCTGGAAACACCCTCACAGACTTACCCAGAAGTAGTGCTTTGCCAGTTCTCTAAGTATCCCTTTATCCAGTCAAGTTGAAACCTAAAATTACCCATCACACTGTTACCTTGGACATCAGGAGTAGCTTTCTGGCGAAGCCTCTGTCAAAGCCAGTTTCTAATGGCTAAGTTAGCCAGGGACTTATAAAGGCCCTTTATAATGCAAACTTGACCATTTGGTGGAGTTGCTTTTGATGTTACCAGTACCATCTAATGTCCAAATCCAATAACATATTATTACTAAACAGTCTTCATTTCCTCATGATTTTTGACAATTTTGACTTGCTTCTCTTTCTTAAACTCTTCTTTTAGCCTCCATAATAGTCTTCTGTTTTGCTTCCTGCCCCTTTGTTCATTTTGGGCTCCTTTGCTTGCCTTCCTTGAACTGCTAAGCCAGAAGCAATTTTCCCTCACTTAAAGATCACTTATAAGATACATACTTTATGCCAGGCACTTATGTATGTGTCTGTTTGATCATAAAAATGGTTCTGTTAGCTTAGTTTTATTAGCATTGTTTTATAGTTATGGAGACTGAGATTCAGAGAGGTCAAGTAACTTGCCCATAATGAAAAGTCTAGAAGCGTTAGAGCTTTGAATTGAAATCTTTCAGACTCCAAAGACATTTAATCTACTCTGTCACTCTGTCTATGTTTTGTCCACCTGTTAATTTGATTTTAGGAATACAGATTGTCGTATATAAATTCTGGTCCATTTCCTCCTGAAAACCAGTTACTGGCATTTCCATGAATATAGAAAACTCTGTAAAATTGTTTTTTCTATAAGAGAAGCCTACAGACCTCTCTTAGGTGATGAAGAGGCTTAGAATTGAATATCAAATTTGGCTTGCCACTTAAAACAGAATGGAGTCTCAAGTTGCAAGTAGGGTTGTTTGTTAAACCTGAAACACAAAACAAGATAAAGGGAGGATATAACCACCAAATAGAAAACTTTTGACTCTGTACATTTTGAGAAAGCCCTGAAGATGTATTTGATCTATTATACAATTCAGGTTTACATTAATGATGGTAATTTACCTAGAAAGATTTCACACCTGATAATAGTAGTTGACTCTCTAGGGAGATGAGAGACACTCAGTTTTCCCCTACTCTTTTGTACTGTGTGAATTTTTACCACATGTGTATATTATCTATTCAAGTTAACCAATAAACATATTTTTCTAAATAAGAGAAAGGTATCTAGGTAGTCCTTAAGGGATCCATTATTTATTATCCCCATTTTTAATCCAACCATCTTGCTAAACTCTCTTATTAATTTTAATTATTCATTTCTACGTTCCTTGGATTTTTTTATGCACACAATTAATTCATCCACAAATAATTAAAGTTTAGTGTCTGCTTTTCCAGTACTTATACCTTTATATCTTTATTCATTTGCCGTATTTTGATGGCCAGAACATCTAATGTAATGTTAAATAAAAGTAATGGTATCTGGCATCGTTGACTTGTTCCTCACCAAAGGGAAAGCTTTTAAAGATGTTATCATTAAGTATGTCTGCTGTAAGAGTTTTGTAGATACATACCCTTACAAAGAAGTTTCCTTCAGTTCTCAATGTGCTGAGAGTTCTTACCATAAATGAATGCTAAAGTATATTACTGCTTTTTTGTACCTATTTAACATGATATAATATTTTTCTTTCAAATATTGATCTAGTAGGTGAAATTTTTTTTTAACCTAATATTAAACCAACTTTACATTCGCTGGAATAAGCCCAACTTGGTCAAGATTTATTCTCCTTATATATTGTTAAAATCAACTTGCTACTATTTTGTTTAGGATTTTTTCATTTGTCTTTATGAATAACATTGGCCTATAATCTTTTCCTTTTTTGCATTGTCCATGTCAGGTTTTGATTTCATGGGTATATTAACTTCATAAAGCAAATTAAGGAGTTCTTTCCTCCTTTGATGTGGAAAAATTTGTGTAATACGAAATTATTTCTTTCTTGAATATTGGCTGAACTCGTAGATGAAGTCATGTAAGCCTGAGGTAGAAATATTTTTGACTGTCGATTTATGAATTTAATACCTGTAGGATGATTCTTGCTTTCTATTTCTTCTTGATTAGTTGGGTAAGTTTTTATAGGAATTTTTCCACTTGGCTTAAATATTAAAATTTATTAACATAAAGTCTTTTCAGTTTCTTTTTTCTATAACATTATTTATTCTCATTCTGAGGGAAGTCATCAATTTAACGTAATGCTTAACATTTGGAGAAATAAATTTTAAAGAAGGGTTATATTCTGATTTTGTTTAATAGTTATCTTCTGGTTAATAAAAGGAGGAGAAATGTAGGGTGGAAATGCTTATCATAGTAAATAGCAAGGTTTATATATAAAACCATCTATATTGAACAGGGAGAGAGGAATGACAAAAATATTTACCTTTCTTTTTGATAATTCAGTGCCTTATTTTGGGGGAAATATTTAGCTTCATAGCTGAAATGGCTTTGATATTATACCTGAATGGTTACAGAGATCTCATAAATATAGTAGTGATAAGGGGTTTATATATTATGTTGGGAAATCAGAAAATATTTAAATCATGAATAATGACTTTTAATTGTTAAAGACCAATATTGAGTTTAAAGTTAACTTATAAAATACGTATTTGTTCTTGTGTGTTTGTTCCCAGCTTTTTAAAATTGATATTATTGAAATATAATTTACATAAATATAAACTACATACATTTTAAGAGTATTCAGTGAATTTTTACAAGTGTATACATCAGTATAACTACTACCTTAATTCAGTTATAACAACATTTTCATCACCCAAAAAGTTACCTTGTGTCACTTTGTAATCAGTCCCCTCCCTTCTCCACTACAAGCTACTGCTAATCCACTTTATGTTATCATAAGTTAAGTTTTGCTTATTCTAGGATTTCATATAACAGGAATGATACAGTATGTAATTTTTTGCACCTGGCTCCTTTTATTTAGCATGATACTTTGAAATGCTTGTGTTATTGCCTGTATCTGTAGTTCCTTCTTATTAGTAATCCATTTTATAACTATGCAACAAATTTTGTATCTATTCACCAATCTTTAATATTGCCCTTGTTTCCAGTTTTGAACTATTTTTAATAAAGCCGCTGTAAACATTCATAAATAAGTGTTTATGTGACTATATACCATCATTTCTTTTGGATAAATACCTAGGAGTGGCATTATGAGATTGTAGAGTAGTTGTAAGTTTAGCCTTATAAGAAACTGTCAAACCTTTTTCCATAGTTGTTGTATTACATTCATTGGTCACTTAACAATGGGGATACGTTTTGAGAAATGCCATTAGGTGATTTGATTTCATCATTGCACAAACATCATAGAGTGTACTTCCCAAACCTGGATGGTATAGCCTAGTACATACCTTAGCTATGTGGTATAGCCTGTTGCTCCTAGGCTACAAATTTGTACAGCATGTTACTACACTGAATAGTGTAGGCAGTTGTAACACAATGGGATTTGTGTATCTAAACACAGAAAAGCTATAGTAAAAATACAATATAAAAGGTAAAAAATGGTACACCTGCCTAGGGCATTACCATGAATGGAGCTTGGTGGAGTAGAAGCTGCTCTCGGTGAGTCAGGGAGTGAGTGGTGAGTGAACGTGAAGACCCAGACATTATTGTACATTACTGTAGACTTTATCAACACTGTATACCTAAGCTACACTAATTTATTTTAAAATGTTTTCTTTCTTCAATAATAAATTAACTATAGTTTACTGTAACTTTTTACTTTATAATTTTAATTTTTTTCACTTTTTGACTCTTTTGTAATAACTTTTAGCTTAAAACACAAACACATTGTACAGCTGTACAGATTTTTCCTTATTCTGTAAGCTTTCTTCCATTTTTAAATGTATTTATTTATTTTTACTTTTTAAACATTTTTTGTTAAGCTCATCAACATCACTGTCTTCTACATCTTGTCCCATCGGAATGTCTTCAGGGACAATAACACACATAGAGCTGTCATCTCCTATGGTAACAATGCTTTCTTCTGGAGTATCTCCTGAAGGACCTGCCTGAGCCTATTTTACAGTAACTTTTTTTGTTAATAAGTAGAAGGAGTATAATCTAAATTAATGATTAAGAAGTATAGTACAATAATCTTATTGGACCACCATCATATATGTGACCCATCGTTGACCAAAATGTCATTGTGCAGTGCATGACTATATTTTGCACTCCTGCCAGCATCCTAAAATCATTCCATTTGTTACATATTTTTGCCAACACTTGATATTGTCACTTTAAGAAAAAGATTTAGTTGTTCTAGTAAGTGTGGATGGTATTTTAAAATTTTTGATGAAGTCCAATTTATCAGGGTTTTTTTTTTCCTTTATTGTACATGTTTTTTGCATCCTAAAAAATAGTTGCCAACCCAAAGATTTTCTCTGATTTTTTTTCTTGAAGTTTTATTGTTTCAGCTTTTACATGTATGTCTTAGATCTATTTAGAATTAATTTTGGGAATGGTATGATAGAAGGATTGAAGTTTACTTTTTTCTGTATATACAGTTGTTTTAGCACACATATGGTTGTTTCACATACCTGCAGTTGTTTCAACAGCATTTGTAAAAATTACTCTATTTTTTTTTTAACTTGCCAAGTTGTTTTGAAATTCAGTTGATTATGGATGGATCTGTTTCTGGAATTTCTTTTCTGTGCCTTTGATTTATATGTCTATCCTAATAATACTACACTGTATTGATTCCTAATGCTTTTATTAACAGTAGAACTTCAAATCATGTTGTGTAAGTCCCTAGTTTTATTTTTTCTTTTTCAAAATTATTTTAACTATTATAATGTCTTTGCTTTTTCATTTAAATTTTTGAATCACTTTGCCAGTTTCTACTAGAAAAGTTTGTATGATTTTAATTGGAATTGCATTGAGCCTATAGATAATGTAAGAAGAATTGGCATTGTGACACTATTGAGTCTCTGGTCTATGAACATGGTATAACTGTCAATTTATTTAGGTATTCTTTAACATCTCTAAGCATTGTTTGGTAATTTTTAGTATGTAGGCCGTGTGTGTGTGTGTGTGTGTGTGTGTGTGTGTGTGGTTTGTCTCTAAATGATTCATGCTTTTTATGGTACTATAAATGGTATTTTTTAAATTCTATTTGCTTATCATTTATTGTTAGTTTATGGAAGTGAACTGATTTTGGTATAATTGACTTTGTGTCTGACAATCTTGCTGAAGACAATTTATTTATTCTAGTGGCTTATTTTTAAGGTACATTAGGATTTTCCACATAGGCCATCATCTCTTTTGCAAATGAAGACAGTTTTCTTTTTTCAGATCCATATGCTTTTTCCTTTTCTTGACTGTCGCACTGGGTTGTACCTCTAATACAGTGTTGAATACAAATGGTGAGAGAAAGCATGTTCACCTTGTTCCTAGTCTGAGAGAGAAAGGGTTCAGTATTTCACCACTAAGTATGATGTTAGTTGTAAGTTTTTCATAGGTATTCCTTATCACCTTGAAGAAGTTCCTTTCTATTCTTAGTTTGCTGAAGGGATGATGAATGCTCTCAAGTGCATTTTCTGTGTTGTGATTACATTACTTTTTCTTTTTTTTGTTTTGAGGCAGGGTCTCACTCCTGTCACCCAGGCGAGAGTACAGTGACACAATCACAGCTCACTACAGCCTTCCCAGGCTCAGGTGATTCTCCCACCTCAACCTTCTGGGTAGCTGGGACTACAGGTGCATGCCACCACACCCATCTAATTTTTTGTGTTTTTGATAGAGAGGGTTTCGCCATATTGCCCAGGCTGGTCTCACACTCCTGGACTCAAGCAATCCACCTGCCTTAGCTTCCCAGAGTGCTATCACAGGCATGAGCCACCCTACCTGGCCTTTTCTATTCTCTTTACATAGTGAATTATATATATATATTTTTTAATGTTGAAAACCAATTTTAATATCTGGATGAATTCCATTTAGACATGATGCATTATTCTTTTTGTATATGACTGAATTATCTTTACTTGTATTTTGTTAAGGTTTTTTACATCTGTTTATAAAAGTAGTTGGTAATTTTATTTGTTTTTGTAATGTCTTTCTCTGGTTTTGTTTGATTTACAAGCTGAGTTTGGAAATGTTCCTTAGTCTTCATTTTTAACAACTTTTTCTTTCTTCTGTCATAATTGGGAATTTGTATCTTTCATAGAATTTGTTCATTTCATTACCTGTCAGTTTTATTGACATACAATTGTTCATGTTTATTTTCTAATTATTCTTTTAATATCTATAGAATATCTAGTGATATCCCATAATTTATTACTGATATTGTTAACTTACATTTTCTTTTTGTTAAGGCGTATCAATTTTATTGATTTTTTTCAATGAATTAACTTTTCATTTCAATACTTTTTTACCTTTTTCTGGTTTTATTTTGATTTCTGCTCTTCATGACTGTCATTCTTGTACTTACGTCATGTGTAACTTGCTCTTTTCCTAGCTTCTTAAGGTGCAAGTTACTATATCATTAATGTTCAACCTTCCTGCTTTACTAATAAGTATTGGAAGCTATAACTTTCTAGGCATTGTTTTAGGTGCATTACACAAATTTTGATATGTTGCATTTTTATTATCTTTTAGTTCAAAATGGTTTCTCATTTCCATCCCTGGGTTATTTGGGAGTATATTTTTAAATTTGCAAATACTTGTGGATTTTTCCAGATTTCTTTTTGTTATTCTTTTCTACTTTAGTTCTGTTTCTTCAGAGAACATACTTGTATGATTTTAGCCCTTTAAATTTACTGTGATTTGTTTTATGGTCTGACACATCTTTGTTGGGGACTAGTACGCATGCATTTGAAAAGAATGTGTATTCTGTCATTTAAATAAAACTTTCTGTAAATGTCAGTTAGTTCAGTTTGGTTTTTATGCTATTGTTTAAGTCTTTTATATGGTTATTGATTTTCTCTCTACTTAGTCTTTGAATTATTGAAAGGTGACTGTTAAAAGTTCCAAACATGAGTCAATTTATTCTATTTAGTTTTGTCAGTTTTGGCTTTGTTTTAGATATATATGTATATAGGAGTTTTTTTTTTTTTTTATAAGTTGACCCTTATTTAATTATGAAATACCTGTCTTTATCGCTGGTCAAATTTCTTGTCCTGAAGTCTACTTTTTCTGATATAGCCATTCCAGCTTTCTTACGATTAATGTTTGCGTGGTGTATCTTATCTGTATTTTTATGTTTAAAGTGTTTCCTTTTTTTATTTTTTTAAGACAGGGTCTCACTTTGTTGCTCAAGCTGATCTCAAACCCCTAGTCTCAAGCAATCCTCCCACCTCAGCCTCCCAAAGTGCTGGAATTACAGGCATGAGCCACCGCGCCCAGCCTAAAGTGTATTTCTTAGGGACAGCATAGAGTTGAATCTTGCTGTTTTATCCAGTCTTATAATCTCTGCCTTTTAATTATAATATTTAGACCCCTTATACTTAATTATCAATACAGTTGGTTTTATGTCTGTCATATTTTTTGTCTTCTCTAAGTTCCTATGTTCCTCATTTCCTTTCTTTTTTTTGAGTATTTTTATAATATTTTTTCTCCTTTACTAGCTTATTAGGTATATACTGTTTCTTGTATTTTTTAATGGTTTCTCTAAAGTTTATAATATGTTTAACTTTTTACAGTCTGTCTTCAGATTATATGATACCACTTTATAATGGAAGAATCTTATAACATTATACTTCTATTCTCCCCTTTTATTATTTGTGCTTTTGTTGTCATGTATATTTACTTGTGTTTGTGTTATAATCACCTTAAAGCACTGTTATTATTTTTCCTTAAAATAGGAAATTATCTTTTAAAAAAACTTAAAAACAAGAAATCAAATATCTTTTATATTTATCTACCTAGTCACCATTTCTCACAATATTCATCCCTTATTTATTTATTGAGACAGAGTCTTGCTTTGTTTCCCAAGCTGGAGTGCAGTGGTGCAACCATAGCTCACTGCAGCCTCAAACTCCTAGGCTCAAGAGATCCTCCCGCTTCAGCCTC
This sequence comes from Homo sapiens, assembly GCF_000001405.40. NCBI lineage: Eukaryota > Metazoa > Chordata > Mammalia > Primates > Hominidae > Homo > Homo sapiens. Next base: position 175,952,811 of record NC_000001.11, on the reverse strand, counting down.
CGGAGTAGCTGGGACTAGAGGCATGCATGCATCACCATGCCTGGTTAATGTTTTTTTTTATTTTTAGTAGCAACAAGGTATTACTCTGTTGCCCAGACTGGTCTCAAACTCCTGAGCTCAGATGATCCTTCTACCTCAGCCTCCCAAAGTGCTGGCATTGCAGGTGTGAGCTACCATGCCCACCTTATCCCTTTTTTAGATCAGAGTTTTCATGTAGTATAATATTCCTTCATCCTGAAGAACTTCCTTTAACAATTTCTTACAGCGCAGGTCTGTTTGTGAAAAATTATCTCAGCTTTATTTTATCTGAAAATATCTTTATTTTGACTTTAATTTTGTGTATCTCAATGGATGGCTTTCTTGTTTATCATCTTTTTTTTTTTTTTTTTGAGATGAAGTCTTGCTCTTGTCGCCCAGGATGGAGTGCAATGGTGCCATCTTGGCTCACTGCAACCTCTGCCTCGCAGGTTCAAGCGATTCTCCCACCTCAGCCTCCCGAGTAGCTGGGATTACAGGCTCCTGCCACCACGCCCAGCTAATTTTTGTATTTTTAGTAGAGATGGGGTTTCACCATGTTGGCCAGGCTGCTCTCAAACTCCTGACCTCAGGCGATCCGCCTGCCATGGCCTCCCAAAGTGCTGGGATTACAGGCGTGAGCCACTGCGCCTGGCCTCTTGTTTGTCATCTTAAAGATGCTGTCCTATTGTCTTCTGGCTTGCATTCTTGCTGATGGGAAATTGGCGATCTTTCTCTTTATGTAATGTGTCTTTGTTTCTTTGGCATTTCTACAGATTTTCTCTGTTTCTTGTCTTCAGCAGTGTAACTGTGGTGTGCCTTGATGTGGTGTTGTGCTTCTTTCTGCCAGAAATTGTTAAGCTTCTTAGATTTGTGGGTTTATAGTTTACAAATTTGAAACATTTTAGTCTTAACGTTTTCATATATTTTTTTCTCTTCCTTCTTTGGGACTCCAATTATACATTTATTAGGTTGCATATTGCCCAATAGGTCACTGAGATGCTAATCTCTTTTTCCTCTCATGCTTTTTTCCTGTCTGCTTCAGTTGTAATTTTGGAGGTGTTACCAAATTTTTTGATGTTTTATTCCTCACTTGTCTCATCTGTTGTTATGTCCATCTCCTTACCTGCTTTGTGGTCCAGAAATTGCCTCTCAGTAGAAAACCAGGGTGATTATAGGACTCACTTCATTTGTTTCTTTTCTCTCAAAGATCACAGTCCTGTACTGCCTGTGGTCCAGTGGTATCTTACATATTTTTTTCAGTTTTCCAGTTGTATATGGTAGGAAAACAAATTTAGTCTGTTTACTCTGTTATGGCCAAAAATGGAAGTTTTTATATATATATATATATATATATATTCACGTATCTTATATTTAAATACATTGTATATACTTATACCTATACTAAAATTAATTTACATTTAAAATCAGTTACATCTATCTCTATGAATAAATCCACCAGTTGCTGAGTGAATAACTGTTCATTTCTCAACTTGTCAGGATTTTATTTTATTATATTTTATATATTTATTTATTTATTTATTTTTGAGATGGAGTTTTGCTCTTGTTGGCCAGGCTGTAGTGCAGTGGCATGATCTTGGCTCACCATAGCCTCCACCTCCCGGGTTCAGGCGATTCTCCTGTCTCAGCCTCCCAAGTAGCTGGGATTACAGGCATGTGCCACCACGCCTGGCTAATTTTTTTTGTATTTTTAGTAGAGATGGGGTTTCTCCATGTTGGTCAGGCTGGTCTCAAACTCCCGACCTCAGGTGATCCGCCTGCCTTGGCCTCCCAAAGTGCTGGGATTACAGGTGTGACCCACAGCGCCATCCAGATTTTTAATGTATTGTCTATAATGACCCTTTTTAAGCAAGTCAATAAAGATAAAACTATTTTAGTAGATGCAGGTTTTCTTCACTAGCCTACGTGTGCTACTAAAAATGTTTTGGTATAAGTTAGTGTAGTATCACTGACTTAAGCAAGTTGGTGCATGTTTATATGTCTTCTGTTTTTATAAAAGACTTGCTAATTTTTCTGTTGTCTTTTCTTAGTCTCTTCATAGTCAGAAAAAAATATTGGGTATTTTATTAGCTTAGCCTTGAGGAGAGTTCTGCAGTAAAACTGCCGGTTTCCAAAAAAGAGGGAGAAAATAATAAGAATTACTGACTCACACTTTTATTTTATTTAGCAAGTAAAAAATAACCTGTTGAGCTAGAACTTATTTATAGTAGGCCCTAGCAGACCACAGCTACAACTAGGAATTACCAGTCATCCAAAATACAATCAAGAACCATTAAAAACTTACATTAATAACCTTGTACGTACCACTTCCACATCTCTATGCTAGAAGTAAAATATCTGGTCTTATTTTTCTGTTGCATGCAAAAAAAAAATAATTTATCTTAAGCCAATATCTAGCTATCTGATAGTTTAATTCTAAATAACTTTTTTTGTAATCATACTACCTTTGGGGAGAGAGGATGTACTGAGATATGAAGCCATTATTTTTCTTTCATTAAATTTCAGTCCTAAAAGACCATTCAAACTGGCATTCAATTCGTATGTTGACTTTTTTTTTTTTTAACACATAAAGTATTTATCTGTTTCTGCAGGAAATAGTGTTAAGAGTTAACCCTTGGATAGCATCTAATATGACATCATATATTAATGCCATAGTAATCCTGAGGTTACAGTAAGACAGTGTTTATTCATGTTGGATAGTTATCAGATGTCCTTCTTGGGTTTAGAGTGGTAATTGTACATATTTTAAACTCCTCTTGTGTGGTAATCCAACTAGATTATCTTATTTATATTGGGGCTAATTTTTCATACTGTAAGATAATATACTACAATTTTCCTAGTTTTGCTCCCATCAGAAGTCAGAAGTTTCAATTATGTAATTTATAATCCCTGTAACTGCCAGAAGTAGACTCCCTGCTTATCCCCAAGTGAATCCTCATCTTCACCAGGTCTCTGCATTCCTTCTCTATATTAAAAGGTGACTAGACCCAAAATGGCAGAAGGAGATGGAGCTTTCGGCTTTAAATTTTTCATTGTCCTGTCATTATTTGTTCTCATAGCAAAGGGAGCAGTTCATGATGGCTGCAGCATTTAGTGGTGGTGGCTCTTGGCAGTAGCTTTCTTGCAGACCAGAGTCTGTCCCCTCCTTGAATGGCAACTAGGTTGATCAGTGAGATTTTCAACTGCTTTTCTGGATGATGTTTACAGGAGAATTATTTGTGGGTCACCAGTGGCAGTTCTGATACCATACAACTTGTTTAAAATTCCTGCTAGAAAGAAATCCATATTGCACCACACAGTGCCTCTTTCTGCTGTTTTCTGAGGCCAGCATAGAAATGCTGTCTCTTAACCAACTCAGGGTAAGTTATTATATTCCTAAAGGACATCCAGAACCTACTCCAACCACTTTCTACATTCAGGTCACTAAAAGAGTAAATAAATCCCAAATTCATCTTCCTTTCCCCTCACCCCAGCCCCCCACCCCGAATATGGAAGTGTTGATTCTGTATACCTCAAGTCCCAGAAATAGCCCATAATATTCCAAAGTTAATTCTAATAGTGAGTATTGTATTACCCATGTTCATTTTTTTTTTTTTTTTTTTTTTTTGAGACGGAGCCTTGCTGGAGTCTCTCCAGCCAGGCTGGAGTGCAGTGGTGCAATCTTTGCTCACTGCAACCTGTGCCTCCCAGGTTCAAGCACTTCCCCTGCCTCAGCCTCCTGCCTAGCTGGGACTACGGGCACACGCCACCACGCCAAGCTAATTTTTTGTATTTTAGTAGAGACAGGATTACACCATATTAGCCAGGATGGTCTCGATCTTCTGACCTCATGATCTGCCCACCTCTGCCTCCCAAAGTGCTGGGATTACAGGTGTGAGCCACTGCGCCCAGCCCCCATGTTACTATTTTTAAGAACATTTGCTAATTTAAGGAAAATCCTCAGCTAGGAAAAGATCAACAATTCCCATGCCCACATGTCTTTATTTCTTCTTGATACACCTATAATCTTTGATGCTGCTGACTAATTCCAAAGAGTATTCTGATTCCATTAAAAATTCTGGAATAGTGGAAGACATTATTATTTTCTTGTATGCCATTAGTAACAAGATGCACATTTCTGAAGAGCAGCTTTATTAGAAATGAAAGGGAAAATTTAAAAATGGAAATGTATGAGTTTGTAAAGCGCAACTTGCATATGTCAAAGAAACTAAAGTTTAACTCAGCTTAGCTGAAGTAACTTTTCTAACATACAAGCCAAGAGTTTTCTTTGTTCTTATTATTGCTTTGTCATGAAGCCTGAAGGATATTTAGGTAGATCCTATCCTACATTCAAATTAGACCACTTTATCTGTTTCTCATAGCTGTTATTTGGACTTCGTTTTTCTCTCTGCCACCTGGCCTGACCTCTATGACATTTTAAGTCTGTTTACCACCTCTTAGCTGCCTACCATGGAAAGCAAAAGACTCCAACACATCCAAGTTCCAGAGCCCTTTAGATGCCCAGTTTCCTACAGGAGGCATGTCTCCATTCTTCCTACTTTCTGAGATTCTCTCTAGTAAACTCAGTCATGTCCATTTCTTTTCCCACTCTTCCTACTTTCCAGAGAAATGTTTTTTCCTTGGCTTAGAATAGAAAAATACTTCACCACATATATTCTCATCCAAGTAATTACCAAGGTTATTAAAAATGCATGTGCTGAATGATAGAATAATTAAAAAGAAAGATAGTCCTTTTTCCCAAATGAATATTCACATTTTCTTGTTTTCCTAATACCAAATGTCCATCCATAGAGATTTGTGCCAAGGATGTTGGCAGGTTTTACATCAATTACTGGTATTTTATGAGAGAAAATGAATGAAGAAGGAGTGTGCTGGGAAAGCAATTATTCACTTTGTTTTTCTCAACTTACTCTTTTTTTCATTTTATTTCAGTCTTTGTTTCTTTTGGCTTTTCTTCCATTGACAATCTTTTTCCCTTTTATTTTTGTTTACATTCAAAAGTGTCCTACTCTGCTTCTAACTTTATTCTTTTATTAAAACTTACACTTCAAAATATGGGATCTTAAGTTTAAAATACAGTTAAAAACATGTTAAAATTGTCTCTTCGACTGGGCACAGTGGCTCACGCCTGTAATCCCAGCACTTTGGGAGGCCGAGGTGGGCAGATCACCTGAGGTTGGGAGTTCGAGACCAGCCTGACCAACATGGAGAATCCCCGTCTCTACTAAAAATACAAAAATTACCTGGGCTGGTGGCGCATGCCTGTAATCCCAGCTACTCGGGAGGCTGAGGCAGGAGAATCGCTTGAACCCAGGAAGTGGAGGTTGTGGTGAGCCAAGATCGCGCCATTGCACTCCAGCCTGGGCAACAGAGCAAGACTCCGTCTCAAAAAAAAAAAAAAAAAATTGTATCTTCATATTAGATTCAATTGTCTTAGGAATTGAAGTGAAGAAAGAAGGATGAAGAGGAAATTATCTCTTGGATTGCTCTCCAGGAAATCCTTCTCTATACTTTAAAAGCTCTTGTTCTTTTCTAGGAGTCCAATGTGCTGATTGCTGCTAACAGTCAGGGTACAATTAAGGTAAGCTATTTACTATATCTCCATTTTAAACTCAGGCCCATTTTTAGACTGAAACAGGATTATAGAAATACACCATTGTACTGAGCCTTAGAGATCATCCCAAATCATGGGTCTGTGTCTCCTTACAAATGGCTTGATTTAAGGGAAAAGAATAGGTAGCTTGCATCTGTGGAGAAGATGATAGTGCTTATTGAGGTTGTATGGATGCTGGATGGATTAATAGATGGTCAGTTTGAAAAACAGATAAAGACTAGTGAACATTCACTGTGGGCTAAGCACAGTTTAGCTTCTGTTATGCCAGTACAACTCTCCCACAGGGCTTTCAGTAGATAGAGCCCAAAATATAGCAGGAGATGCAAGATATAGCAGAAGATGCTTAGACATCACCAGATTTAAACATATCTTGGTCATATTTTATTCTCTTCCTCATGGTTCTCTTTCTTCTGTCCCCTAAGAAGTAGGTTTTTCCTCAGTTGTCAAAGGGGAGAAAAAGTTATTTTAGTGTTCAGTTGAAAATTGATAGATGTGATTCAAGGAAGCCTAGCCATAAAAAAAGGAAAGAAAATTGATTGATGCATATATAGCACTTGTACATGATACATTGGATAAATAAATCCTGAGATAAGCAGTGAACTTTCTAAACAAAACACCCTTTTGGTGGAGTACGTGTTTCTGAGAGTACCTGTTTTTTCCACATATTCTCTGCTGATTTGGTAGAAATATTGAAAGTTTTTTAACATAACGTGTGTGTTTCTCCTGCCACTTAGCATTAATTTTGCCATAGCTTCCTTAGACTCATCATAAGTGGAGAATAATCCATCAGCCAAGGCAGCAAATCCTAGCCTAAACATTCTACAGAGGTGAAATGAGCAAACTTAACGCAGAAGAACTGCACTAATTTACATGGTAGTCTCCTTTTTTAGGCAGCCAGTTTCTCTGTTTGAAAAGCCTCTTTAGAGAACCACTGAGAGCTTAAATGAAAACGAGGTTTTTTAACTGATCAGTGTTTGTTATGTTCTGGAAGCCTCAAGCAAGATGGTAGAAGGTCTTGGAATATCTGATTTAAGTGGCTTTCTATACTCTCTCAGTCTCTCTCTTACTCTCATGTCAAGTCATGAATTGAAAAGCTACACCTTACTCTTCAAAAAGTTTATCCTTTACACCAATTGGGATTGCCAGCATACCTACAAGAGCTCAAAACTACATAGGTTCTCATAGGATCCCACTGACAAATCTAAGATTTTGTTCAGCATCATTGACTTCTTATGTTAAGTAGCCTAGTTACCTAATATAAAGACAAAAGCATTATGGAAGCACATATATTAGTCAAGCCTTAGCTGAGCAGCAGGGGAAAGGTTGCACGTTTAAATATTTGCTACTTAGTGAGTGTTGTAGTGTCCATCTAATGTAATTCTTTTTGACAGTGTCTCATAACTATCCTCCTGTTCCGTGATCTTTCTTAGCCATTTGCTTCCTCTTAGTTTTAGCAATATCACAACTTACTTTTTTATGACAGTATACTACTTTAATTCTAAAAATACAAAGTATCTGGACGCTAGATGATTGGCTAGAAATGGATGAAGCAGCAGGAAAGAGCAAGACTTTAGGTCCTGTAACCTTGATCATTATAAACAGTGTTTATTGATGAAAGAAGAAAACAGATTAAAATCCTAAACAAGGATACTTAAAACTTTCATAAGAATGTGGAAAGATTCCAACATATATTCCAAAAATGTATTTGTGCTATGCATTAGCCAATTTATTTTTCCATGTGTTTTATGTAGTTTACCTTGAAGGCTTCCAAGTTAACTGTGGAGATAGCTCATCTGAAAGAGTTCATGCAGCTGTTAAGCTGCAGGTCAAAAAGGATTAATGTCCAATCCATTCAAATTCTTTGGCATTTTCCCAGTTGGGAAACGTTTTTTAAATTTGCTTTTCTATTGGTAAATATAGTAAAGAGTCATTAAATTCCTTTTATATCTTAAATGATTTTATTAAATGGATCCTTTTTTCCCCCCAATTAGGTGCTAGAATTGGTATGAAGGGTTAACTCAAGTCAAATTGTACTTGATCCTGCTGAAATACATCTGCAGCTGACAATGAGAGAAGAAACAGAAAATGTCATGTGATGTCTCTCCCCAAAGTCATCATGGGTTTTGGATTTGTTTTGAATATTTTTTTCTTTTTTTCTTTTCCCTCCTTTATGACCTTTGGGACATTGGGAATACCCAGCCAACTCTCCACCATCAATGTAACTCCATGGACATTGCTGCTCTTGGTGGTGTTATCTAATTTTTGTGATAGGGAAACAAATTCTTTTGAATAAAAATAAATAACAAAACAATAAAAGTTTATTGAGCCACAGTTGAGCTTGGAAAGTTTTTGTCAAATGCAGCAAGAGATAACTCTTTTTAAGAAGTAGCATATGTGAACTATAATGTAACAGTGAATAATTTGTAAAGTTCGTATTTCCCAACCTCTTTGGGAATTACACATATCAATGTAAACAAAATATAAAGTACATAGATTTCTGCCAGTGAATTTACTGTTTACGGTAGATAGAAAGATTACTTTATAAAATTCTTTCTTCATTCTCTGACCAGATTTATATCATCAGCAAGTACCATGTTGTCCAGTCTCTCTGAATCTGGCTAAGATCTAAAATTTTGATCTATTGAGACCACATTTAAACAGAAAGAGAATGTTAGTCTCTGACAGCTAGCTCTGTCTTTGCCTTTGAAATGTTACAAAAACATACCATAAGCCCTAAATGTATACCAAACCAACTAGTCCATTGCTTTTAGTACCATCCTAGGCTGAGTAATGTCTTGGAGCAGGAGTCAGCAAACTTTTTCTGTAAAGGGCCGGATATATTTTCGGTTTTGCAGGTTATATGGTCAGTGGCACAACTATTCAGTTTGGCCAGTATAGCAGGAAAGCAGCCACAGACACATGTGAACAAATGTGCATGGCTGGGAAGTAGGCAGAGGGTCAGATTTGGCCCACAGACTATAGTTCAACAGCCCTTAACTTAGAGGAAAAGGATTTAAAGCCCTGTTATCCAAATTTCTAAGCCATATGGTCACTTAGATTATCTAGTTGGTTTTTATAAATTATTTTCAAATTGTAAAAGGAAAGAAGACCAGCAAGCCAAGCAAAAGTAATGTAAAGAGTTGCTTTAAAAGTTATAAACAAGGCCAGGCGCGGTGGCTCACGCCTGTAATCCCAACACTTTGGGAGGCCGAGGCAGGCAGATCACGAGGTAGGAGATCGAGACCATCCTGGCTAACATGGTGAAACCCTGTCCTTACTAAAAATACAAAAAAAAAAAAAATTAGCCAGGCGTGGTGGCGGCACCTGTAGTCCCAGCTACTCGGGAGGGTGAGGCAGGAGAGTGGTGTGAACCTGGGAGGCAGAGCTTGCAGTGAGCCGAGATAATGCCACTGCACTCCAGCCTGGGCAACAGAGCAAGACTCTGTCTCAAAAAAAAAAAAAAGTTATAAACATACTTATACACCACACATTTTATAAAAATAAACACTTGAATAATAATAATAATAATACAATAATAAACACTTGGTTGAATAAAGATAATGCACGATGAAGGTAATCAGAATATCCCAATGTATTCTTCCACTCAAGATTACTGAAACCTGTTACAGGTTCACATCTTCTTATCTGAAATACTTGGGGCCAAATGTATCATAGAACTTAGAAATTTTCAAGTATGGCCAGGCACGGTGGCTCATGCCTGTTAATCCCAGTGCTTTGGGAGGCCAAGGCAGGTGGATCACTTGAGGTCAGGAGTTTGAGACCAGCCTGGCCAACATAGTGAAACCCCATCTCTACTAAATATACAAAAATTAGCCAGGCATGGTGGCGGGCGCCTGTAATCCCAGCTACTTGGGAGGCCAAGATGGGAGAATCACTTGTGCCCAGGAAGCAGAGGTTTCAGTGAGCCAAGATTGCACCACTGTACTCCAGCCTGGGCAACAAAGACTACACAAGTATTAGAAAACTAATAGAGTATATATACTGAATATTATGTAACAACCTCTAACAGAGTCTAGAGCAGTAGTCCCTAATCAAACACATTAATACTTCTGTAGCAGAATGCATAAATGTTCACATTACATGGGGTTAATTAACCAAAAACAGTTTTGTATCAGTGCAAGATCTGGTTTTACCACCAAACCAGTTCCTCAAAGTCAGGTGAATTTTTTTTTTTTTTTTTTTAGTTTTTTTTAGTTTTTTTTTCATTTTCAGATCAAGAGCAGTGTATCTTGATTCTGTGAGTTAAGACCTGATAAACTTTTAGACTCAATTCTGAGAGGAAAAGCTAGTATCGTTCAAAAATTACAGGTCACCCACCAGAACAATATTAGTTGAACATTGTTTCCAAGATTAATAAAGGACCTTTTGCAAAGATGTAGAAAGAATATTCAAATGTAGAAAATCTTCCAAATACGAAGCAGAGAGTTAATGCCTCCTGAATGCATTTAAGTAGAAGCATATTATTGTGCTTATTTTATTTGGTCTTTTTTAATGTTTATTTCTAACCGTCTACATTGTGGGGCCATTTAATTTCTACATGTTTGTAAGAATACAATAAGGTACATGTAGTTATCAAAGCAATTTCGTTTTTAAAGAAGGCAGTGCTTCAAGTTTTTTTCTAATTTTTTCTTATAAATACCATTTTTAAATTTGAGATCATGTCTGTGAGATTTCAAGATCAAACTAATATTACTGTTCCTTGCAAAAATAACATACTATTAAATAACTTAAAGGTAATATACATTTTAACACCAAAAACTCCTCACTCAACAGTATGGCTTGTCAAAATGTTCCAATTTAATCTTTACTTAAGTGGACTTGTAGGGGTTTCTCAGACATTAAGATGGAACACTTTTTTTCTTTTTTAAATAGAGATGGGATCTCTCTCTGTTGCCCGGGCTGATCTTGAACTCCTGTCCTCAAGCAGTCCTCCTGCCTCAGCCTCCCAAAGTGGTGGGATTACAGGTGCAAACCACCATGCCAGCCCAAGCTTGAAGAATTTTTTTTGAGACAGGTTCTCGCACTGTTACGTGGGCTGCAGTGCAGTGGTAACAGTCATAGCTCCCTGCTCATAAACTCCTTGGGGCTCAAGCAGTCCTTCTGCCTTACCCTTCCAAGTACCTGAGACCACAGTTTATTTTTGTAGAGACAGGGTCTCGCTATGTTGCCTATGCTGGTCTGCAACTCCTTGGCCTCCGTAAGTACTGTACTTGCACCCAGCCAAGATTGGAGAATTTTATACAGTTCTTACAAGAAGACTGAACTATTAAATATCAAAAAACATATGGGACTGTGCTACAACTTCAGAAAGATTAGCCTGAACAATGAAGAGAGAAGTATAGGCTGAATTGAAAGAAATGGAGGAGCCTAGTACAATGAGCCTTCTAGAACGTAACTGAGAATTTGAATTTGGTCATAAAAGCATTAAAGGGAGGGGCTAAAGGGGATGGCATAATCTGATTTATGGTGAATGGATAGATGGGGGCAAGAGTGCAGTTAGGAAGGTGATCAGTCAAGAGTTTATGGAGACTTGGAGTGAGGTTGCAGCATTATCCAACCTAAAAGCTTGTTTCAGCTATAGAGTTCACCACAATCTTAATTCTTAATCTTGGAAGATTCTGAATTTTTAAAGTCATTGTCTTATAAGTTGTGAACAACAAAGAGTGTAACTCAGCAAATTTATTTCTTCGGTGGTTATACAATCTTCAGCCAGCAGTAAGTCACTTGGGAAACTCATGACCAAAATGTTCATGAGCTATTTTGGGGGACCAGTTCTCTAAGTCAGCAGACCTAGAAACTCTCCAGCCCTGGTCCTAAATATAAGAGTAATTAGTCATTGCCTTTAATACAATTATGCAGATAAAACTGGGGTTATTAGAAGTCTGCATACTTAGAAATGAAACATTAGGAGGTGCTACCTCAGATCTTGAGCCTATTATGTTACATGGCTAACATTAAAACTTTACCGACAGTAGAAATTTGTTGTTCCTCTCAGAGCAGTTAGCTAACAAATCCACATGTGGCTTCTGGTTAATGTATTAGGCATTTCTGGACTGTTGGACTGAAGAGAAAATCATAGTGATATTCTAGACATATTTGTTGAGCTCCCCCTTTGTGCAGGGAACTATGTACTGTGTACTAAGAATAGATATAAATAAGATTTGATCCCTACCCTCAAGAAGCTTATTGTTCAGTGGGAGAAGCAGATAAGTATACTGGGTGTAAGTACCATAATACACAAAATCTTTAGGTATATGCAGGAAAAACATAGAGTAGTGGGAGATTAAGGACTAGTAGAGGCAGTTTTCAGGATTTTTTTTTTGTGTGAGAATTAAGCTATAAGAGGCAAAGGAACATCTAAGCCCAATGGAAGCAGATTTTTAAAGTATGAGTAGCTCCCATGGCCAAAACTGGAACAATTTGAACAACGAAATGAAGTAACATGGAATTATAACCCAAAGTATAAAATAAATATGTGAATCCATGTTGATATAAACAAATGATTGAATAAATATATAGAGAAGAGACAAATTTTCCATGAAGAATTCCAAATAATTTATGTAGGTAAATCAAAGAGATGGAGCATAACTTTCCACTCCAGTATGGTCTCTGCTTATTGACTTCCCTCCCAAAGAGTACAATATGGAAGAGGAGAAAAAAAGAGTCAATTTAAAATTGAGAAGCCTTACAAAGACTACCTTGGCCAGGTGATCAAGGTCAACATCCAAAGTGGTAAGTCATGTTGATAGTATATACTCTTGATAAGATGCAATGAAAAATGGCATTTTAACTCTGATCTTTCTTCCAAAAATAACCACATAACCCCAGCCTGAGAAAAACACCAGATGAATCCCTGTTGAGAGACAACCTGCTATAGCAGGGGTCTCCAACCCCCAGGCTGCAGACTGGTACCAGTCCGTGGCCTGTTAGGAACCAGGCCGAACAGCAGGAGGTGAGTGGTGGGTAAGTGAGCATCACTGCCTGAGCTCCGCCGCCTGTCAGATCAGTGGCGGCATTAGATTCTCATAGGAGTATAGTCCCTATTGTGAACTGCACATGTGAGGGATCTAGGTTGCATGCTTTTTATGAGTATCTAATGCCTGATGAACTGACATGGAACAGTTTCATTCCCAAACCACTACCCCACCTCTGATTGTTTCAGCTAATAGAGTTCTCCACAGTTAATCTTGGAAGATTCTTAATTTTTAAAGTCATTATTGAGTTTCCATAGACGTCTGGTCTATGGAAAAACTGTCTTCCACGAAACTGGTCCCTGGTGCTAAAAAGGTTGGGGACCACTATACTATAGTACCTGATACTAAATACCACAAATTAGTTCTTCAATACCTCATCAGTGCTCAGTGACAGTTTTGTCAAAAGTCATCAGAAACAAAGTCTGGGCATCTGTCATAGCCATGAAGAGCCTAAGGAGACTTTACTGTGCTATAACTGGATGGGATTTTAAAGCAGAAAAAGACATTACATAAAAACAAATCTGAATCAAGTATGGACTTGATATTATTGTGTCCACATTGGTTCATTGATTGTAACACACATACCATACCAACATAAGATGTTAACAGAAGAAGTGGAGTGTGAGTATATGGGAACTCTCCTACCTTTGCAATGTTTCTGTACATCTAAACCTTGTTCCAAAATTAAAAGTTTATCAAAAATTTTTTAAATTTTAAAGTATGAGGATTATTATACTCAAAGTGGAAGACAAAGTAATGGGAGTGAAAGCTGGAGAAGTATAGATTATAAATCAGTGATCTGTTCCAGTTGTCAACTTAAAATAGGGACAAAGAATAGGGAGTTTAGAGATTTACATTTCAATCCCAACTTTGTCATTAAGAAATTGTGTCGTTTTGAAGAAGATGGTAAACCTCTTCACTCCATATTTATCTCTAAGATTATGCTGTACAAAGTCCATAGTCATTCTTGGTGATTTAGTCTCAGATATCTGAGTGCTGGTAGTTATTTATTTATTCTTTTTCCCAGAGATCATTACAGCTTCTCAATATGAGAATCAAGAACTTTTTCCATTCATGTATGATTTTAATTTGTTACTTCAAAGAACAAATCACAAATTTGTTCAGTTTTAGAGTCAAACTTCCTAGTGCCTAAATTCTGAAAGAGGTCTCAGGCTGGAAGTAGGTAGAATTTCTCATGAATTTTAAGTTCAAGTTCCCGAACATGGTAGCAGTTGACGTTAATTATTGTGTGAAATAATCACCTTTGGTAAACAGCTGAAAGAATTTTTTTTTTTTGAGACAGAGTCTTACTCTCTTGCCCAGGCTGGAGTGCAGTGGTGCAGTCACAGCTCACTGCAGCCTCAACTTCCCTTGCTCAAGCAATCTTCCTTTCATAGCCTCCTGAGTAGCTGGGACTACTGGCACACACCATCATGCCCAGCTAATTCTTTTAATTTTTTGTGGAGATGAGCTCTCCCTATATTGCCCAGGCTGGTCTCAAACTCCTCCCACCTTGGCCTCCCAAAGTGTTGGGATTACAGGCATGAGCCACCACACCTGGCCCTGAAAGAATGATTTATCCTAGAAAATTGTTTGTGTGAGCTTCATTGGAAAAGCAGCTTAATAATTCAGTTCACTCCCTTCTTTGATACCTTAGCTAGTAGTTTGTAATGGGTATGAGCAGTTATTCCGAAGGAATGAGTAAAGTTGTTGAACCACTTGCAATATGGTGGTTTCATTCCTTCAATAAAAATTTTAGTGGGCCAGGCATGGTGGCTCACCCCTGTGATACCAGTACTTCGGTAGGCCGAGACGGGCAGACTGAGCTCAGGAGTTTGAGACCAGCCTGGGCAACATGGCAGAATCCCATCTCCACAAAAAATACAAAAAATTAGCTGGATGTGGTGGTGGTGCACACCTGTAATCCTAGCTACTTCAGGAAGGCTGAGGTGGGAGGATGGCTTCAGGCTGGGAGGCGGAGGTTCAGTGAGCTGAGATCATGCCACTGCACTTTAGCCTGGATAATAGAGTGAGATTGTCTCAAAAAAAAAGTTTAAAAATTTTTTAATTAAAAAGTCAATTTTAGGCCGGGCACAGCGACTCACACCTGTAATCCCAGCACTTTGGGAGGCCGAGGCAGGCCGATCACGAGGTCAGGAGATCGAGACCATCCTGGCTAACGGTGAAACCTCGTCTCCACTAAAAATACAAAAAAAAAAAAAAAAAAAAATTAGCCGGGCGTGGTGGCGGGCGCCTGTAGTCTCAGCTACTCAGGAGACTGAGACAGGAGAATGGCGTGAACCCGGGAGGCAGAGCTTGCAGTGAGCCAAGATAGCGCCACTGCAGTCCGGCCTGGGCGAAAGAGCAAGACTCCGTCTCAAAAAAAAAAAAAAAAAAAAAATCAATTTTAATGCTTACTGTGTGGTAGTCTCTTTTCCAGGATAGGAGTCGGCACATTTTTTCTGTAAATAGCTAGATAGTAAATATTTTAGGCTTTGTGGGCCAGAAAGTCGTCATCACAACTACTTAACTCTGCTATTGTAGTATGTGAAAGCAGCCCTAGAGAAAATGTAAACAAATGAGTATGGCTGAGGATAGAGAGGAGAAAGTGCTTTTTTTATACTCTCAACAACCAGTCAATTCTGCAGTGGACACTGGCTGGGTGTCCTCTAATTCAATTCAGTTCATACACTATCTACCTGGAGATGTTACTGATGGAAGATATCCGAGTTACTGGCAGTGAATTTGTACCGGTCTGCAACAACCTCAGTTCTCGCCGCCTCAGGAGAAAGAATTTGACTAACAGGCATAAGGCAAGAAAAGAGACCGAGGCAAGTTTCGGAGCAGCAGTGGAAGTTTATTTAAAAAGTCTTTAGAACAGGAAAGCAAAGAAAATACACTTGGAAGAGACCCAAGCAGGCACCAACATCAAGTGCCGTGTTTAACTTTGATTCTAGGGCTTTTAGGCTGGCCCCTTTCCCATGATTCTTCCCTTAGGTTGGCCTGCCCCCATGCAGTGTCCTTACCCTTGGGAGGTGAGCATGCGCAGTGTGTTTAGGAAGTTGTACACATGCCTGCGGCTCTCTTCCTCTTTCCAGTGGTGTGCCCCCTGAAGGTCATACTCCGCCATTTTGTCTCTTAATACGCATGCCTGGGAAGTTGCATCTCCCTGGTGTCTGCATTCAGTTAACACTTCAGTGCAACAGATGTGGACCATCAACAAGTGAACTATCCCTGGTGCCCAGCTGCCAATTTATCACTTTTAGAGAGGCAATGTGATAATTGTTGAACCATCACCCAACATTCCTAGTGGGTGGGAGAATAGCCCTCTTCTGCTCCACGCATGCCTGTCTAACCACCTGTAAAAAATATAGCATCAGATCCCACAAGTGACGGCTCAGTCCCACAAGACTTCCCCCCTACCCACACCTCCAATGTCAGTTGCAAGCTCTGGGTGGTTTTACCTGTTCTTTTCACAAACTGTAAATCAGGGTTCCCATGAACCCTTCTTTGGGTTTAATTTTCTCGAGCAGCTCACAGAACCTAGGGAAACACTTAAGTTTACCAGTTTATTAAAAGGGATATTTTGAAGGATACAAAGGAGCAGCCAAATGAAGGTCTACATAGGATGAGGTCTGGAAAGGTCCTGAGCACCTGCACTTCCATCCCAGTAGAGCTGGAGTGTACCCCCTCCTGTCGCATAGATGCATTCTGCTATCCAGAAGCTCCACAAACCCAATCTTTCAGATATTTTTATAGGAACTTCATTACCTAGGCATGATTGATGAAATCATTGGTGATCAACTCAACCTTCAGTCCCTCTCCCATCCCCAGATGTCAGAATGGGTGGGGCTGAAAGTCCCAACTTTCTAATCATGCCTTGGTTTTTCCAGTGACCAGCCCCCATCCTGAAATTACCATCCAGTCATTAGTCAACTGATTAGCATACAAAAAGACACTTAACGCTTTGGAGATTCCAAGAGTGTTCCAGGAAAGGGGACAAAGACCAAATATGTATTTCACAATGTCACACTGCTAACAAAACCACTGAAGTGTGAGTTGTCATGTGTCACAGAAATTTTTTTTCAAGCATTTAAAAATGTAAAAACATTTATCTCTCATGAGCCATATAAAAAAAAATAAAAATCCACAAGCTGGATTTGGCTTGCAGGCCACAATTTGCTGACCCCTGTTCTAGGTGCTGACTAGACAGCAGTAGCAGGAGAAAGAAAAAAAAAAAAAGATGAAAATCCAAACTTTGCTGAGCTTGCGTTCATTCTAGTGGATAAAAGTACGTCCACAGAATGCAATTCTCTTTCCACAATGGTGTGGAGCACAGGAGCCTGGAAGGCCATTTTAGAGGGCATACCACCCAACTAAGAGGTTTGTTGTTGTTGGCTTGCATGCAATTTCCACAGGAGTGTACACAGCACTGTTATACCTTGGTATGTGTGCTTTCAGAGAACCAAGGAACACTTTTCCTGTTAAACCTCGGTAATGTTGGGCAGGGTGGTTTGTGCCTATAATCCCAACACTTCAGGAAGCTGAGGTGGGAGGATGGCTTGAGCCCAAGAGTTTGAGACCAGCCTGAGCAACAAAGTGAGACCCTGTCTCTACGTAAGATTTAAAAAAGAAAAAAAGGAGGAAAAAAAAAAGCCTGGTGTGATGGTGCCTTCCTGTGGTCCCAGCTACTTGGGAGGTTGAGGTAGGAGGATCACTTGAGCCTGGGAGGTGAAGCTGCAGTGAGCCATGATCAGGCCGCTGCACTCCAGCCTGGACAACAAAGTGAAACCCTGTCTCAAACAAACAAACAAATAAATGAAGCTCTGGAGACAGAACTTTCAGAGTTTCTTTGTTTTTGTTTTTGTTTTTTAGACAGAGTCTCATTCCATCGCCCCTGCTGGAGTGCAGTTGCACAGTATCAGCTCAATGCAACTTCTGCCTCCCAGGTTCAGTGATTCTCATGCCTCCCAAGTAGCTGAGATTACAGGCATGACCCACCACGCCTACTTAACTTTTGTATTTTTAGAAGAGATGGGATTTCACCCTGTTGGTCAGGCTGGTCTCTAACTCCTGACCTCATGAGGGTGATCTGTCAGTGTTGGCTTCTCTTTTCTTTTTCTTTTTCTTTTTTTTTTTTTTTTGAGACAGAGTCTCCCTCTGTCACACAGGCTGGAGTGTATTGGCATGATCTCAGCTCACTGCAACTTCCACCTCTTGCAGAACTTCAAGCAATTCTCATGCCCCAGCCTCCCAAGTGGCTGGGATTACAGGCGTGCACCACCATGCCCAGCTAATTTTTATATTTTTAGTAGAGATGGTGTTTTGCCATGGTAGCCAGACAGGTCTCAAACTCCTGGTCTCATGCAATCTGCCTGCCTTGGTCTCCCAAAGTGCTGGGATTATAGGCATGAGCCACTGTGCCCAGCCCAGTTCTATTAATGTATCTATAACAAAGATAATTTAGAGGTCTGAGGTTGAGATTATTTTCATTGAATACTCTGAAAGATTTGTGCTTAAGATATAGCCTGTTGAATGTGGGGAAACAGGATATTTTACAAGGCTGGCTTTTAATTTTTTCCCCTTTTCTTTCCCTTTTTCTCCCTCACCTTTCTGGTTCTTTCACCCTGAGCTATTGAAATTTCTTTTCTGAATATAAGGCAGTTTCTCAGGCTTGTAGCACTTGTATGGAGACTTGGAACCTGATTCTTTTTTGGAATGACCAAATCTCTTATAAGTATTCATATCTTATAGCTAATGTTTGTGCACTGGCTAATTTCGAGGGGTTAAATTTTGAAAGAATTAATAAATTACTTTTCTGCTAAATTAGCTACTATTAACAGGTAGCCATTTTTTAAAATATTCTTAATATTTAGAGACTAAACTTTAGTCCAGGGGTGTCCAGTCTTTTGGCTTACCTGGGCCACACTGGAAGAAGAATTGTCTTGGGCCACACATAAAATACACTAACACTAACGATAGCTGATGAACTTAAAAAAAAATTGCAGAAAAATCTTAATGCTTTAAGAAAGTTTACAAATTTGTGTTGGGCCACATTCAAAGCCGTCCTGGGCTGCATGTGGCTTGCACGTTATGGGTTGGACAAGCTTGCTCTAGTCAGTGTTTACACTTTAGAAGTCCTCACTTCCCCTTCCCAAATTCCATTTGGTGAGTCCCAGGAGAGACTCCCATGAGCTCCACTCCATGGTTCCCATGGGAAAGGCAGCCTTCTATTCCTAGAAATGGAATGTGGTGCTCTGTGCTGTTGAATTGCAAAGCTTTGTGGAACAGTTTTAGTAATATATCTGGAAAGGCTTCTGGCACTTAGAAATTAAAAAGCACTCCATGAATATAGGGCAGCATTAGCATATGCATATTAAAATCTAGTCACTCCTCAGTTTTTTTATTTTTTATTATAGGGAACAAAGAAGTATAAAGTATAAAAATTACCAAAAAAAAAAAAAAAAAAAAAAAGGAAGGTCAAATGGCTATTCTGGAATTTTCTTTTTTTTCTTTTTTTAATTTTTGTTTAATTATACTCTAAATTCTGGAATACATGTGCAGGATGTGCAGGTTTTGTTACATAGGTATACACAGGCCATGGTTGTTTGCTACACCCATCAACCCATCATCTACATTAGGTATTTCTCTGGAATTTTCAACAGATGTAGGGGCCAACAGGTATGGGGGTTATGGTGGCAAGACAGGGTTTGAGACTGGGAGAAGAGGAGGCCTGGCTAACAAAGGTGGTCTTTCTCTGTAGATGAAACATCACAGGTAGCAGCCCTCAGAGACAATAGATGACAAATGTTTCTTTCAGACCTTTAAATGTGTCAGACACTCAGCCGGGTGCTGGTGGCTCATGCCTGTAATCCCAACACTTTGGGAGGCCACAGGGAGTGGATCACGGGATCAGAAATTGGAGACCAGCCTGGCCAACATGGTGAAACCCCGTCTCTACTAAAAGTACAGAAACTATCTGGGCATGGTGGCGGGCACCTGTAATCTCAGCTACTCCGGAGGCTGAGGCAGGAGAATTGTTTGAACACGGGAGGCAGAGGTTGCAGTGAGTGGAGATCACACCATTGCATCCCAGCCTGGGTGACAGGGTGAGACTCCATCTCAAAAAAAAAAAAAAAAAGGTGTCAGACTCTCAGTTCATCCTTTCTAGATCCAGACAAGGGAGGGCCTCAGAGAAAGCCTGCTGCATCAGTGCAGATTCTATACAGATGCGAATCTCCCCCACACAAGACAGTTTTGCAGGACTACTTCTGTTTCAAGTCCTCTGAAAAACCATCTCAAAATAGCTCAAAGAAATATATTTTGGAAAAAAGATTTTTATTTCCTTTAGTACCACCCCCAACCCTGCCCTACCTTTTGAAATTTTTCTTTCAGAAAGTTTCTCATGTTAAGAACCAACTTGATAGCTTTAGAGAGATTTGTTTTAGAGGCTGGTAGATAAGAGATTGGAAAGGAGGTGAGGAACAAATTGGGATAAGCAGAAGAGAGCAAATTTAAATAGATCATCTCATATCTTCTTGAATTAGTTTCTTAGTCCTGAGAATAGGTCAGTTCAGTTAAATTGCTGTGTCTCATTCCAAGAGGTGGTATCGTAGATGAGCTAGGGTTCTATATATGATGCAGGCAAACAGATCTTTAATAAAAGACATTTTATTGGAAACAGAAGAAAAAAGTTAATTCATAGAGTTGTCTATAAACTAGTTCTAGAGTTTCAAGTTCTGGATTTTCTGGCTTTGTACATTTTCCTATACTATAGAATCAGGTGTTCTAGTGAACTTTTTAAGTAGTCCATGCATCAACAGACACAAAGGCTGTTTATATTGCAAGTTGCTGTGGTGATTTCTCTGGAAGTTTATATCAAGTTTTCTAGCTTCAGTTTGTAGGGCATTAAGAAAAGCAGTTTTATTTTTTAGTGATTTCAAGTCAGAAAAATAGGAGAAAAATTAGAAAATGTCGGTTTGGAGACTTATAGCCAGGAAAGAATTTAGCATTTAGATCAAATTGTAGACAAATAATAACTAAAAAACAATGGTCAGGGCTAGAATCTAATGTCACATGTACTATAGTTTTCTTCTAAAACATATTTTTTCTCTATAATCTCCCATTTGTACCAAAGATAAATCATAGTGAAACCAATACATTTGCAAAATAAGTTTTAGTCATATTGTACTTAGCCTGATTATTTATATAAAGTACAGCAATAATAATGATTGGCCATATAGGGTCTTTTCAAGTTGGTTTTGCTGGAACTTTTTCATAAGGAATCTCAGATTAGACTTTAAAAATGCTCTTAATGTTTAGGAGCCAAGCCAAAGTTTGTAATACTTGTACAGATTTGGTGAATTAATTTCTTTCTTTCTTTCTTTTTTCTTTTTTTTTTGTTCCTAAAATATCTTGAAGTTCCTGTACCTGTCAAAAAGTGACATTTTTTTCTTATCACAAGGTTAGGAACCTTGAAAGGGAACAGTTGAGGCAAGATAGTAGGTTAGTCTTTAGATAAAGAAAATGTGGTACCTATACATCATGGCATACTATGCAGTTATAAAAAAGAACTAGATCATGTCCTTTGCAGGAACATGGATGAAGCTGGAAGCCATTATCCTCAGCAAACTAATGCAGAAACATGTTCTCACTTATAAATGAGAGCTAAACAATGAGAACACATGGACACAGGGAGGGGCCTGTTGGGGGAGGGCAGGAGTGGGAGGGCATTAGTGAAAGGAGCTGCTGCATGCTGGGCTTAATAACTTGGTGATGGGTTGATAGGTGCAGCAAATCAGCATGGCACGTTTACCTATGTAACAAACCTGCACATCCTGCACATGTACCCCAGAACTTAAAAAAAACAAAAACAAAAACAGATGACTGGACACGGTGGCTCATACCTATAATCCCAGCACTTTGGGAAGCCAAGGCAGGCAGATCACAAGGTCAGGAGTTCAAGACTGGCCTGGCCAATATGGTGAAACCCCATCTCTACTAAAAACACAAAAATTAGCCAGGAATGGTGGCCAGCACCTGTAATCCCAGCTACTTGGGAGGTTGAGGCAGGAGAATCACTTGAACCCGGGAGGCAGAGGTTGCAGCGAGCTGAGATTGTGCCATTGCACTCCAGCCTGGGTGATGGGGCAAAACTCTGTCTCAAAAAAAAAAAAAAGATAGTAGGCCACTCTTTTTTAGTCTATTGGCTTTAAAGTCATCCTCAATTCCTCAAAGCAGTCTGGTCACATTTAAAATGTGACATTCCAGTCAAAGCCTTGGTAAAATAACCAGTGTCTGTAATTGTGTCCTGTCACTGAAGAAAATAGATTCTTATTAAACTTACACAAATACATCTATTGCCATAAAATAAAAATACTCACAAATAGTTTCTGCATTCTGGAGGAATCGGGTAGAGAGAAAGGTAAATGTTTCAATTTTGTTCACAAAAGTTAACTTTACTCAATTGCTGTAAGCAATATAAGAGGAAAAAAATTTCTTGACTAGAAAATAACATAAAAAGAACAAGTTTTTTTTTTTTTTTTTTTTAGACGGAATTTCACTCTTGTTGTCCAGGCTAGAGTGCAATGGAGCGACCTTGGCTCACCACAACCTCTGCCTCCCGGGTTAAAGTGATTCTCCTGCCTCAGCCTCCCGAGTAGCTGGGATAACAGGCATGCACCACCACACTTGGCTAAGTTTGTATTTTTAGCAGAGACAGGGTTTCTCCATGTTGGTCAGGCTGGTCTCAAACTCCTGACCTCAGGTGATCTGCCTGCCTTGGCCTCCCAAAGTGCTGGGATTATAGGCGTGAGCCACTGTACCTGGCAAGAACCAGTAATGTTTTAAAGTGAAAACTTTAAAATCATTTGCCTTGCATTAGTTCAGTTTCATGTAATTAGTTCTTCTGCTTGATGTTAGGTTAGCATTTTATGAGTCCAGTTTTTCTCTTTGAAGGTTTTAGAATTTTTACCCGATCCAATTATATGATCTCACAGTCATAAGCAGAGGTCATTATTTCAGAGTATCTGTCACTTTCCTATCCATGAATTTACTTGAAGAAGCACAATGTTTGAATAGTAGCTGATTATAAACTGCATTTTTGTGAAGAAACAGAGTGAAACAATAGTTGTGAATAACCAAAATTTAGAATAGCCATCATTAAAGATACAATTGACAAGGAAATTTGTTATTTCTGTAGCAAACAACAATTTAACAGGATAATCATAACTATGACTGATAACATATAACAAGACATATCAAAATTTTTGGAATCTAACACAATTTTGGAACACATATTAACACATTTATACAACTATAACTCAGAGATTGTTAAACACTATTTCTTATTAACAATACTTCCTGTATGACTTTTACATACCAAATAAGACTAACATGTCTCTGTTGGACTTCCAGGGGCTTTTTTTTTTTTTTTTGGAATGTCTAAAAGTTAACTTGAGTTCAAAAGGACATGTTAGAATTAATTTTGGGAAGTTTGTCAAATATCAATGGTTTGAAACACTTGATATTAAAAAAGAAAGGTTTGGCCAGGCACGGTGGCTCATGTCTGTAATCCCACCACTTTGGGAGACCAACCAGGCAGATTTGGTGTTTGAAACCAGCCTGTGCAATGTGGCAAAACTCTGTCTCTACAAAAAATACAAAAATTAGCCAGGTATCGTGGTCCACACTTGTAGACCCAGCTACTCAGGAGGCTGAGGCTGGAGAATCACTTGAGCCCAAGGAGATCCAGGCTGCAGTGAGCTGTGATCATGCCTGGGTGCACTCCAGCCTGGGTGACAGAGCAAGACTCTGACTCAAAGAAAAAAGAAAGAAAATAAATTTTTAAATTATTGCTTTGGCTAAATGACTACTATTTTACAGTTATGTTGATCCTATCTTGATCAATTCTTTTAAACTTTTTGTTGTTGTTGTTTTTATGAGACAGAGTCTCACTCTATTGCCCAGCTGAGTGCAGTGGCATGATCATGGCTCACTGCACCTCAGCCTCCCAAACAGCTGGGACTACAGGTACATGCCACCACACCTGGCTAATTTTTGTATTTTTTATAGAGACAGGGCCTCTCCATGTTGCCCAGGCTGGTCTCAAACTCCTGGCCTCAAGCAATCCACCTGCCTCGGCCTCCCAAAGTGCTGGCATTAGGTGGGATCCACCATACCAACCTTAAAGATTTGCAAAGCAAAACCTTTACTCCTTTGATGGGGCAGTTTTCCAAATAATTAAAAGATTTCATAAAGACAGAATAAGAAAATGTGCTCCTAGTTTTGGGGTGGGGGAGGGGTTGTAGTTTATTTAAAAGGTGAACAAAAATATTTTATTATCTATTATTAATATGACATAAAAATTTTGTTGAAAAGAACAAATTTTATCCTTTTTATGTATCCTTAATATTAAAGTTAATTTTAAGAAAACTTTATAAACATCTAATTTTAGTTTTGGCAACACAAAATAAGATTCTGTAAATAAGATTTTATAAAATATTTTATTTCATTTCAACTGTATTTTAAATTTAAAACAACTTTTTGAAAACCTTTACACTAGAAAAAATTACTTTCTTTTTAACAAAATCCATATGTTGATGTCTTTTTGTAATGTTTTATTAAAAAGACATTACTTTTCTTATATCTATACTTTGTGTATAGAATTTTAAAATATTTAGTAGTTTCAATAATATATTAATTACAATTTTAGCTCTTAATAACCCTGATTTTTAATGGAAAACCTGGGAAGTAAGTAACTGTGATTGTTATGTGTCAGGTGCAGAGCCAAGTACAGAGAACAGGACTGTGAAGACAGTATCTGGAGGATCTGACCCCTATTAGCATAGCCTGGAAACAGCTGGACCAGGGAGAATAGGGCCCAGGCACTGTGAACACACATGTGTCCCCAGTCCTCATCATGGCCACTTGTCTAGACTCCAGAATCTAAACACTCAAAACCAAGACATAAGTTCAGAGACAAATTAAGCTAGTATTAATATTACAGAAATAAGAGTTTTATGACCCTAAAACATCAACTAGAGACAATATAAACCAGTCTGACCAACAGACCCAGGCAAACATGTCTGAATTAAATTTTGAAGATGTTTTTATTTTATTTTACTAATAATTTTTAAACTAGCTTTATTTATTAAAGATTTCTAAAATCACACTAACTTGAAAGTATTTGGACATACTTACGTTATGAGTACTTATTAATTTATGTCAATCTGGTACCATGTACACAATATGCAAACACAGACATGTACATATGTGCACAGAAAAATACACAAATATAGATTTTGTAGCTTTCGTTTAAAAATTTTAGCCGTGAAACAGGTAA
Source organism: Homo sapiens (assembly GCF_000001405.40). Lineage (NCBI taxonomy): Eukaryota > Metazoa > Chordata > Mammalia > Primates > Hominidae > Homo > Homo sapiens. Next base: position 175,927,823 of record NC_000001.11, on the reverse strand, counting down.
AACTCACTAGTTTAAAAGGATAGTTAAATTTTGCCTCTGTAAATGGAATGGGTTAAAGTTTGTTCCACATGGCTAGAAGCCCTTATCACATTTTGGAGTAAACAAGGTAGCAAATTTACATATTAAAACACAGAGAGAATTTAAGCTCTTTAAAGAAGTTTGGGTATATTAAAGGAAGATTAAAAATGGGTATCAAGGTAAAATCATAGGAATAAAAATAAATCATAAGAATTTACCATAAGATTTTACAAGGAAACCAATTTTATTTATCAGTTAGTTTTAAATTTAGTCTTCATTTTCCAACTAGGCCACTGAGCTCAGGGCAGAACCCAATAACAAACGGAGCGAAAAAAGCATATGTAGTTTTCAGGGACTGCTGTGGTTTGTTTATCCCCACGAAGTCTCATGTTGAAATTTGATTTCTAACATTGGAGGTGGGGCCTGATGGCAAGTGTGTGGATTGTGGAGGTAAATCCCTCATGGATGGCTTGGTACCATTCTCATGGAAGTAAATGAGTTCTCTAACCCTTTGTTCCTGTGAGAACTGGTTGTTGAAAAGAGCCTGGCACCTTCTCCTCTCTCTTGCTTCAGCTCTGTCACCATGTGAGCTCTGTACATGCCAGCTCCCTTCCTTTTCTTTTTCTTTTTTTTTTTTTTTTTGAGACAGAGTCTTGCTCTGTCACCCAGGCATGCAGTTGCACGATCTTGGCTCACTACAACCTCTGCCTCCCAGGTTCAAGCAATTCTCCTGCCTCAGCCTCCCAAGTAGCTGGGATTACAGGTGTGTGCCACCCCACCTGGCTAATTTTTGTATTTTTAGTAGAGATAGGGGTTTCACCATGTTGACCAGGCTGATCTCGAACTCCTGAACTCAGGTGATCCGCCTGGCTTGGCCTGCTGAAGTGCTGGGATCACAGGTGTAAGCCACCACACCCCGCCTACCCTTCCTTTTTTACTATGAGTGGAATCAGCCTAAAGCCATTGTGATGGTTAATATTGAGTGTCAACTTGATGGGAATTGAAGGATGCAAAGTATTGTTCCTGAGTGTGTCTGTGAGGGTGTTGCCAAAGGAGATTAACATTTGAGTCAGTGAACTGAGAGAGGCCACCCCACCCTCAATCTGAGTGGGCACCATGTAATCAGCTACCAATGTGGCTAGAATAAAAGCAGGCAGAAGAACGTGGAAGGACTTGACTTGCTGAGTCTTCCAGCCTTCATCACTCTCACATGGTGGATACTTCCTGCCCTTGAACATCGGACTCCAAGTTCTTCAGCTTTTGGACTCTTGGACTTACACCAGTGGTTTGCCAGGGGCTCTCTGGACTTTGGCCACAGACTGAAGGCTGCACTGTTGGCTTCCCTGCTTTTCAGATTTTGGGACTTGAACTGGCTTCCTTGCTCCTCAACTTGCAGATGGCCTATTGTGGGACTTCACCTTGTGATTGTGTGAGTCAATACTCCTTAATAAACTCTCCTTCCTATATACATCTATCCTATAAGTTCTGTCCCTCTAGAGAACCCTGACTACTACAGCCATCATCAGAAGCAGATAGTAGATCCATGCTTCATGTGCAGCCTCCAGAATGGTAAGCCAAATAAACCTATTTTCTTAACAAATTTACCCAGCCTCAGGTATTCCTTTACAGCAACATAAATGGCTAAGACAGAGCCTAATACCTAAATATGTGGAAAGCAGGTGCAACTGGAAGGCAGACACCCAAAACTTCAAGGGTCCGATTTTTACACTGTCGTTTGGCACCCTAAATAGAAGGAAATGTCATGGGACTGGAGAGTGTATTGCTTTCAGAGTATACCTTACTGTAAGGACATTTCTGTAAGGCTGCTGGGTGACCTCATGTTAATCAGCCCACTCTGTGATCAGCCTGTCTCTCATGGGAATCTTATCCCTCAGTAGCAAGTGTTTCCACAGCCTCTAAGTGTTTAAACTGTACCCTTTTTATCTGAATTCACAAAGAAATAAGTAGCCCCTTGTAGAAATAACCATTTACAGCAACTGCTGTCAGCCACCTCCAAAACTATGGTTCTCACCAGTGACTAGTCAGTCACCATACACACAAAGGTCAAGTTTTCTTTTACAGTACAATGTAATTCCTTGTAACCACCCCCTCAACCACCACCACCACCACCACCAAAATGAAAGAGATCAAGGAATTTAATACAAAAGAGGGTAGAGCTTTAGACCTGACAAAAACTGGCCCAGGACTTTAGGGACTCCAGGAGGAAAACAGAAGACCCCCAAAAGAGGATGTGTGGTGTTTTTGCTGTGTTTCTCAAGGAGTCTCAGGGTTGCTAGAAGTCTCTCAGATTTTTCTTAATGTGGTCAAAGGTAGAAAAAAGGAAAAGTAATACAAGTGGAAATAAATGGAAGAACAAGTCTTAGATGAGCCAATTTGGGGGAGATTTTGAGCTTTTTAAAAGGCCAATGAAGTTTACATGTTTTTGGTTTTGGGGTTTGTTTGTTCATTTTAACAAAAATCATACCAATATGAATGGAAGCAAATGAGAACTAAACCTAATTTAAAATGGGTTTCAGTTGACTGAAAATAACTTCTCAGAAACAAAATCCAAAAGAGAAAAAGCAAAAACACTTCTAAAAAATATATTTGCCACTTAAATATCAGCTTTTAATTAAACTTCTGACCGTAGAGATATCTTCTAAAATCTCTGATTTTCAGATGTTAGCAGCAACACACAGCTGATATTCCTGGCTTTTGCACTTTTTACCAAAGGTGATCTCCCAAGTGACTTACCAAAATCAAAGTCTTGACCAAGGTTATGACTTAGTCAAAGATGCATGAGGCCTCTCTAAAGAGATGTAAAGCAGTCCTCACAAGATCTAGAACCACCCCAAAGAGAGTTAAAGAAAGGAAACTTTCACTAGCTGCAAATGGAGTACAACCCACATCTGTCTGGCCATATTCTCTAGGATCTCAGCTTCTCAGCTGACTGTGAACACATAAAGACCCAAAAAGACTCGTATGCCCCCACAGACAGAAGGAGACAGGAAATCAAAAGCTGTTTAAAAGGGGAAAAGAATCAATAATCCTAAAAAGTGAAAAGTGACACAAATATCAAACCAAAAGGGACTGGTTTCCTGACTGAGAAGCAAACCCAGGCCAAAGTGGTGAAGCATGGAATTTTAACTAGACAACAAGGTGGAGTGGCTGTCATTAAAATACAAGGGATTTTAACTTTATTTTAAGTCAGATTTTTGCTCTTCAATTTTGTCAAGACAATTTTTAAGGCTATCCACGACATTATTATGTGTCTTTTAAAAAATATGACCATTTCTCCGCCAACCATAGTCTATGGACCTTTTTACATAATTGAATATTTTCAATTATTGACATTTTGTGTCTAAAGGTTGACTTAACATGAGATATTTTCATGCAAAGTCTTCAGTGGTTGTAGAGTCTATTGTTTTGTGAATAAACAAATCTGAATCTATTTTATATGATATTAAAAAATTTGATCTCATAAATACAAACAAGACAATTGCTTAGAATGAGAGTCTAAAATCTTTTTTTAATTTAGGGGTCTTTCCAATTTAACAAATCCATCATTTGGCCACTGACGTTGAGAATTTCCAATGGTGTACTTATTTCAATAGCAACTTAATTCAATAAGTCTTTTTATCGAAAGCCCAGGGGGTAATTTACCAGGTTTAGAACAAGTTTTTAGTTTTCTGGAGAGGGCATAGAAGAGATGGTTTCAATTATCCCCCAAAATCTACTCCCAGGAATAGGCTAAAATACTAAAAGACTCTTGTTACCACATGTGGTTAAGGATGGTGTTTGTGTGTACAGTGCCTCCACTATCCCACATATTTGTGGGAGGCTGCCAGTCACAGACACATTAATCTGTGACATTGGCTATGCCCTCCTAGGATTGGACTTTCCCAGGGACAGCAAGGGTTGAGACAACAAAAGCTCCTTGTGAATGGGACCTTCTATTAAGACAAATCCCCCTGAGAGTTTGACATGTTCAGAACAAAAAGTGTGTGCTGGCAGGGCGCGGTGGCTCACGCCTATAATCCCAGCACTTTGGGAGGCTGAGGTGGGTGGATCACGAGGTCAGGAGTTCAAGACCAGCCTGGCCAACATGGTGAAACCCTGTCTCCACTAAAAATACAAAAATTAGCTGGGCGTGGATGGCAGGCACCTCTAATCCTAGCTACTTGGGAGGCTGAGGCAGAGAATTGCTTGAGGCAGAGAATTGCTTGAACCCAGGAGGTGGAGGTTGCAGTGAGCTGAGATCAAGCCACTGCACTCCAGCCTGGGTGAGAGAGTGAGACTCCATCTCAAAAAAAAAAAAAAAAAAAAAAATAGGGTGTGCTGATATGTCTCAGGGTTCCAAATTTTTTTAGGCTGGCCACCAATTTGAACCAAAAACTGTATCCCTCCCTCTGCCATGATGGCAGAGACCAAGAAACAATGCTCCCACTTGTTCACAAGCCAAGCTCTCAAGGACATAAAACAAGATAAGAATGGAACCTCATCTGGTTTTTATATCAAAGACTCACAGCAGTTTGTCTAAATAAATGCCAGTCTGGTCAGAACTGCGAAACTGGTCAATCCACAGGGCTGGCCTGAACAACAGACATATGAGGGTTTTAGGTTTGTGTTCTACCATATGGTACCCCACTTTATGATAGGCAACACAAAAAGACAAAGAAAAATACCATTTTGGGGAGAAAAAAGATTCAACAATATGAATATTTATACCAAAAGGTACACCAGAGTCACTACACCAAAGACTAGTCACACAAATCCTTTTCTCCCATTAGTCAAGATTTTAAAGGGGCAAAAGAAACAGTGATTTTTACCATCCATTTGACCAGACTACACAGAGAGAGAGGCAAGGAGCTTAGCTGGTAGAAATTTCTTACCCTTCTGCTGGCATGTCTGATCCTGAGTTTTCTTGTCTGTGGCTTCCAGAAGAGCAGAGTTTTGGTATCCTGCTCACAGTGCCAAAACTATAGGGGCCAAGGGAAAACTTCCCCTTTGCCCTGTGAAGGGTCGCTTAAAATCAGCTGACAAGAAGGCAGATGAATAGGAGAAATGGCATACAAATCTATTAACAAGCAGAGGAGAGAACCACAGAGTGATTGCCCCAACCTCCCAATAGGGTTCAGAAGCTTATATACCATACTGAGGTTACAGAAAGAATAGGGGCTTGCAGCCTGGCCCAAAACAGGTTATGGTGGTTGCTATATTTGGATGTTTGTCCCCCAAACCCTCATGTTGAAATTTGATACCCAACCTTGGGATTAGGGCCTAATGGGAGGTGTTTGTCATGGGGGTAGAGATTCCTCAGGAATAGCTTGGTGTCTTTCTCATGGTAATAAGTGAATCCTTGCTCTAATAGTTTTCATGAGAGCCAGTTGTTAAAAATAGCCTGGCACCTCCCCTCTCTTGCTTTCTCTCTTGCCATGTGATCTCTGCACATGCCGTCTCTCCTTTATCTTCCACCATGAATGGAAGCAGCCTGAGGCTTTCACCAGGCACCAGACACACTCTTCCCAGCCAGCCGAGTTGAGAGCCAGATACACTTTTTTGTTGTTGTTGTTGTTTTCAAATGTTTATTTTATGTACAAAGAACTATCATGGCTTTTCATTGAGTAGATGCCTTGGATGATCCTTTGAAGGAAGATCATTTAGTCCAATTTAATGAAACCGATATCCTTCGCGTACTGACGGAAACACTGGGGGCACATATTGAGGCCATATTTCTGGATCAGACCCTGCCGGTTTGAACAGACGCGACAAGAGCGAGAACCCTGGCCGAATTTTCGCGGGTGGCTCCAGTACAGCTGCTGGTGACCCACCTTGCTCTCAGGAGTGCAATGAGGTAAAAGGCCAGATACACTTTTTTTTTCTTTATAAATGACTGAGTCTTATGTATTCCTTTATAGTGATACAAACAGATGATGACAATGGTAAATCTGACTATGGTGGTAAGACAGGGTATAGGAGGGGAAGAAGAGGAGGCCTGACTAGCAAAGGTGGTCTTGCTCTGTAGATGAATGAACCTCATAGGTAGCTGCCCTCAGACAGAGTAGATGGTAAATGTTTTTTCCAGACCTTGAAAGGTGTCAGACTCTCAGTTAACCTTTCCTACATCCAGACAAGGGAGGGCCTCAGAGAAAGCCTGCTGCATCAATGCAGACTCTGTACAGATGCAAATCTCCCCTACACAAGACAGCTTTGCAGGACTACTTCTCTTTGCAAGTTCTCTGAACAACCATGTCAAAATATGTCAAAGAAGTATGTTTGGGGACAAAACATTTTTATTCCCTTCAAACAGGCGTATAAAATGGCTTTATTCCTTATGCTGTTTGAACATAGCATCCGCCTATTTCTGTGTGAGCTGACCCACCGTAGGCCATTGTATTAGCCTCTTTTCATGCTGCCGATAAAGACACACCTGAGACTGGGAAGAAAAAGAGGTTTAATTGGACTTACAGTTCCACATGGCTGGGGAGGCCTCAGAATCACGGCGGGAGGCAAAAGGCACTTCTTACATTGAGGCAGCAAGAGAAAAATGAGAAAAGCAAAAGCAGAAACCGCTGATAAACCCATCAGATCTCATGAGACTTATTCACTACCATGAGAATAGGATGGAAAAGACCGGCCCCCATAATTCAATTACCTCCCCCTGGGTCCCACCCACAACATGTGGGAATTCTGGGAAATACAATTCAAGTTGATATTTGGGTGGAGACAAAGCCAAAACATATCAGCCATCATCGCAGGTTCAATGAAAAGCTAGTTTAGGAAAATGCTCAAATTAAGATTTCTGAAATATCCCCTTTCCTACCACATGTCCAGTGCATTCTCTCACCGGAGAGTAGGACTTAGGTGGCAGGGGCTGAACCAGCATCACCTCTACTAGTCTTCTTATATGCAGGCAACAAGACTGAAGAAGGGAAAGTGAATTGAGATTGCAGGCAAGAGATAAGGTTGTTTGTCAAGAAAAACCCCGATATTGATCATATCTATGGAGCCACAAGTGGAAGCCAAAAGTGGTCTTCCCAGTGTGTTAATCTCTGGGAGGTGTTCTTATCTTCCAGCATCTACTCCCTTCTAGTTATCTAATTGCATTGTAACAAATCTTTATGACAGAAGTGGAATGCCTCTTTCTCCCTCCCTTTCCCCACCTCCCCTTGGTATGTGATGGTAGACAGTATAGTGACTTCGAGTGTTTATTTAACTGTGCATGCTTTTTCTCCATCGTCTAAACATCCGCCAGGAACCTTGACATTAGTTTCACCTCTCCTCTGGGGCTGAGAGATGGGAAAGAAGCGTCAAGAACTTGAACAGAAATCCAGCTCTCAGTACATTGCAGTAAGTAATCACTTTCTTTTTTTCCTTTCAGAGTAAAAAAACCTGTTTCAAACTCTCTTCAGGGCAACCAATGAATTAAATATCCTACTCATTGCAGACATGCTTCATATTTCACCATGATGGGCAGTCTTAAAGTCTCTACTTAACTATTGATAGCCATTGAGATCCCAGTAATTCCTGAGACACTCATGGCAGAATGGTTCTAATTATTAGACAGCTTTTTCCTAGACTGAGCTGAAATCTGTCACCATGGAATATATCTTTCCCTTCCCCACTAGGCCTAGTTTTTCTCTGTATTAGTCATTCTGCCAGGCATTATGGAAGATATCAAATAGTGAAGGGCATGATCCCTTCATGGAGCTTTAGGCAGGTAAGATATACCGCATGGAAAATAATTTATACATAATATAATAATCCTATGAAGTAAGTATTATGCTTTCTTAAAACAAATGAGGAAAACACATTCAAAAATGTTAATTGCTGCATGTGTTATAGTGAAATGATTGTTCAGCCGGGCGTGGTGGCTCACAACTGTAATCCCAGCACTTTGGGAGACCGAGGTGGGTGGATCACCTGAGGTCAGAAGTTCAAGACTAGCCTGGTCAACATGGTGAAACCCCATCTCTACTAAATATACAAAAAAATTAGCCAGGCATGGTGGCGGGTGCCTATAATCCCAGCTACTTGGGGGGCTGAGGCAGGAGAATCGCTTGAACCCAGGAGGCGGAGGTTGCAGTGAGCCGAGATTGCACCACTGCCCTCCAGCCTGGGCAACAAGAGTGAAACTTTGTCCAAAAAAAAAAAAAAAAGTTTAAAAGGCAGAATTACTGGAGTGCTAAATGGGTTGTATAATGGATGTAGGATTTGACTGGCATTCTAAAAATTTGAGTCATATGGGTAGTTTACTTCCCCTGATCAAGTAGATGTCAAGGGGCACAGCTGAGAGCTATCTTCAAGGAGGACAATGTGTGCACATGGTGACACTGTCTGTTAAGACACTCAGGTGTTGTCTAGATCTGATGATAAATTAATTAGTTTATGGTATTATTTATCTGATGATTAATTTATAGCAGGAAGGACTTCAGCTAGGCAAAAGAAAGAACTATGAACCTAGCTGGTTGCTAAAAAACTGGAAGTTACTACCAATGGAAATGGGTGACATCTCCATCCTTGGAGATCATCAGAGGTGACCAGACAACTACAGGTTCTAATGATTTCAACATTCAGCTGCCCGAAGGCAGGGGCCTGGATGGAATTTTTCTTTCTGGTACCTTTCAGATCTGAGAATCTGATCCTAATTCAGAGGTAGAGGAAAACAGGTAAAATATTTCTCTCCCTAATGTGATAGCAAGTAAAAATGAAAAATAAAGGGCCTAAGGCTGGCTGTGATGTCATTCACCTGTAGTCCCACCTACTTGGGGAGCTGAGAGAAGAGGAGTGTTTGAACCCAGAAGTTTGTCGCTAGCCTGGGCACATAGCAAGACCCTGTCTTTATAAACAAAACAAAATAAAATAAAAATTTAGAAAATAATAGAAGACCTAATTCTCCTTCTTGAAAACAAAAATAAGAGAAAAGACACACCCCCATCAACCCTGCCCTGCAATCCTCAACTCTTTTTTCAGAACTTTTCTGTCCTTCCTTTTCAAATGTATATAAATCTTCTCTTTGGCTAAATAAGTTTCTCAACTCAGGAATGTTTCCTGCAGGGCCTGGGAGTCATCTTTTTGAAATGCAAACATCACGGAAGATAGTGTCCCTATCTCCGAGTTCCTGTGGGAGGGTTAGAGCCTAACTTCAGTGGGTACCTTGCCCCAATTTGCAAAATTATCTTCTGTCATAAAGATATGGAAATTTTGTTTTTCCTCCAAATAAAGCCAACACAGGTGGTCTCCCCAATTACCAAGATAAAGTTAGGACAAACTGTGTGTGACAAAAGGTGTTGTCTCTTACTTAAGGACTAGTGATTGTTTATCTTGGGAGCATGAATGTACTGGGTTGTATCTGCTTGGCTGTACAAGGGGGGAGTTTCCTTTCTGCCTTTGCAATCTCTTAGCAATTGCATGTGATGCACATCACATTCTGGTTTAATGGTTATTCAATAATAAAAATAAACGGTTATTCAATAATAAAAATAAAAATGTTTTATGGCCAGGTGCAGTGGCTCATGCCTGTAATTCCAACACTTTGGGAGGTTGAGGCAGGAGGAGTATTTGAGTTCAGGAGTTTGAGATCAGCCAGGGCAACATAGCAAGACCCTGTCTCTATTTTTTGTATAAAAATTATTTAGGCTGGGCACAGTGGCTTACGCCTGTAATCTCAGCACTTTGGGAGGCTGAGGCAGGTGGATCACCTGAGGTCGGGAGTTTGAGACCAGCCTGACCAACATGGAGAAACTCCGTCTCTACTAAAAATACAAAATTAACTGGGCATGATGGTGCATGCCTGTAATCTCAGCTACTCAGGAGGCTGATGCAGGAGAATCGCTTGAACCCGGGTGGAGGTTGTGGTGAGCCAAGATCGCATCATTGCACTCCAGCCTGGGCAGCAAGAGAGAAACTCTGTCTCAAAAAAAAATTATTTAAAAAATTAAATTTAAAAAAAGTGTTTTGTTTCTCTACTACCTTTGTGGAGGGGATTTCTGGGTTGGACAAGATCTTGGTTTTTTTATTTTCTCAATTTTTGTGAATGAAGGTAAGATGACTGGCAGTTTCTGAATAAAGTGGACAACTGAAGGTCTGTGTCCACACAGAGTCAGGTAAGAGACCCTGATTTTTAAAAAGTCTCCCATCTACCTCTCTACTTGTTTGGAATACTAACTGGATGATACCAAATTCAAGCTGTTGCTACTGAATAAACATGGGAAGTACAGGCTCTAAAATCTCATCAAGATCACCATTAGGTTCATGGTAGAAAAATATGGGATGCCAGGAATGTTGCCTGTAGGTCTCTCTTGAATGGCTAACATATCTCTCACACATTTGGAATGGATATACACATCAGATCCTAGTCCTGCAGTGGCCTAGGGATAGCTCTTTTGATTTGGATAAATTACCGCATTTGCAGAAGTTCTCGGAAGGGCTTTATGTCAAGCAAATGAGTTACTGGTATTTGTGGGATGAATATTATTCTAAGAGGAAACTTAAAAGTGATTTAGATAACCAGAGAGAAAGACTGAAAAAAAAAACAATAGAACAGGAAATACAAAAATTAAGAGCACTTTCTCCTTCACAGAAACCTCCTCCTCCATTGCTTATTCTTGTTCCCTCTGTTCCTGCTGCCTCACTTTATCCCTCCTTGTCTCAGACTCCTGGAAAGGGATGTGTGATGAGCTTTTAGACAAGGGGTTTTCCTGTTTAGGGGGTTCCATGAGAAGAGAAAAAAGGATGTCACTTTTCCAGCTGTAAATGAGTTACCTGCCCTGCTTGAGGACGTAGAATTGACTGCCCCCTGGCCTATCCCCAAGTCCACTTCTTGCCTTAGACCAGATTTCACCTCCAGGGATCTCTTCTCATCCACACACCATTTAGCTAGAAAGGTGAAAAAGATGAAGATAAATAATCAATATCCTGGAATAATTGAGAACTCAGATAAGAGACTGTGTCCCTGTATGAAGGCAGCAGGATGGAGAGTTACTTGGAAAAAGACAAACAAAAAGATATTAGGTTCATAAACACCAGTATGGAAAAACAAACCAAGGTGCCATATAATCCTCCCTTTTTCCTATTTTAATGCATAGAAAACCAGCCCTTTTTACTCAGATCACCAGCAAATCTGAGGCCACCGAGAAGCTCCCCAGGCCCCTTGGGCGCAAAGGAAACATTAAGCATCTATGTGCTCTTCTCCCCTGCCGATATCATCCATCTGAAGGATTTTTCCCGTACCCTGGGAAGATACACAAAAGTTTGCAGAAATGCTCCACAGCTTGTTTTTAGTTTACAGCCCTGCACATAGGGATGTGCACTGACTCTTGTGGGTAATCCTGCAACCAGCCCATTTTGCTTGTTTGAGGACCTGGAGATGATCCACCACCTAAGGTGGCACTGTGACCAGAGGAAATTGATTACCACTCCCCTACAACTACGGAACTGAGCACGTTAGAGATCCATCCAGAGCGATTGCTAGAAGCAATCCACTAAAGGTAAGCTGGGAGAAGTTGCAATGGTGTACCTAGAAGAAGAATGAGTCCTCCATTGATTTCCAGCAGCAGTTTTTGGAGGCTTTCTCAGAATTTACTAGCATGGACCCAGGAGGAGATAAAATCACTCCCTAATCTTGGCAACCTTTACCTCTGCTCTCTTGCTGACTAACCAAGCCCAAATTAAGCAAAAGGTGTTAGGATAGCAAGGACAGACTATTATTCAAATCCTAGCAGCAGCCACTACTCAGTTTAGGGTTAAGACAAAGAAGAAAAGCAGAGATTAAAGACTGCTGTGTTGGCTACTCAGTGAGAATTATTACTAAGGAGGATAATCCCTATACCGGGCAAAGTATAAATATAGCAAAGGAACAGGAGAAAACTGAATGTTATTATTGCAAAATACCAGGACATTGGAAGGACTATAGAAAGAGACTCGGGAGGATACCAAAATTGCAGAGACAGGAGAGTCAGGAAAGCCTAGAAAGATGAAACCCTCAACTAGGAAATAGTTGGCAAATGGCTCAAAATTGACAGATTGGGGGTATCTCAGAGGTGGGAAGTGGTAAACCATCTATGTCAAGGACTTTTACTGAACCCCATCCATCCTTGGCTTTTCTGGTAGATATTGGTGCTACTTATTCTGCAGTTTCCTCAGAAAATTCCTGCTTTCCATCTGGCAACTGATTAGTACAAGTTGTTGGTACTTTGGATCAGCCTCCATTTATTCCTTTTTCTCTTGGATTCCCAAACAGACAGGTGCTCTTACTGAGGTACCTTCATTCTGACTTTCTCCTGTATCTCCTATAAACCTATTGGTGAGAGACCTACTCTGCAAATTAAAGGCTACTATATTTTGTACTCCAGATAGCCTATTGGTGAAGCTCCTTGAACAAAAGAGCACCTGAGATGGTTACTATGTTCCTCATAGAAGAAAAGGGACCAGGCATGGTGGCTCATGCCTGTAATCCCAGCATTTTGGGAGGCTGAGGCAGGAGGATCAGGAAGATCACTTGAGCCCAGAAGTTCGAGACTAGGCTGGGCAACATAGGGAGATCTGTCTCTATTTAAAAAGAAGGAAAACAAGAAATTATTTTATTTATTTATTTATTTATTATTTTTTGAGACAGAATCTTGCTCTGTTGCCCAGATGGAGTGCAGTGGCGTGATCTCAGCTCACTGCAACCTCCACCTCCTGGGTTCAAGTGATACTTGTGCCTTAACCTCCTGAGTAGCTGGGACTACTGGTACGTGCCACCGTGCCTGGCTAATTTTTGTATTTTTAGTAGAGACAGGGGTTCACCATATTGGCCAGACTGGTCTCAAACTCTTGGCCTCAGGTGATCTGCCTGTCTTGGCTTCCCAAAGTGCTGGGATTATAGGCATGAGCCACTGAGCCTGGCCAGCAAGGGAATAATTTAAAAAGGACATTCACCCTGTTATACTACCATACTTCTAGTGAAAAAGGAAGGTAAGTTTCATAGAGATATACAGATTTGCATGAGATCTTGGAGACATAAATAAACTTACTGTTCCATTAACTCTGTGGTCCCTAACCCTGTAACTATTCCAACTTTGGTACTGTCATCTACAAATATTTTTTTCTGTGATTAGTCTATATTTTGCTTTTTCTTCTGTTCCTCTAGTGGGCAAGTCTAAATGTATTTTGCTTTTACTTACGAAAGAGCCCAATATCTGTGGCAAATAATTCCTACAAATAATGCCTCCCTACTATTTTCTCTAGTTATTTTGAGGAAAACTTAGATAAATTTGTTCCACCAGAGGAATCTATAATTAATCAATGTGTAGATGATTGGCTGGTAGCCTCAGAAACTAAAGAGCAACACAAAATGTATTAAAGCATCTATTGTCAGCTGAAGACTGTAAAGTGTTACAGTCTAAGAGTCAACCGATTTTGAATATCAAACAGCTTTCTATAGAGAAACAATTGAGACAATTTTGGGGATTAGTAGGACATTGAAGACAATGAATCCCAACTTCTGCTGAGTGTGCAAAACCTTCGATGAGCAATTGCATGATAACTCTCTCTGGCCTTTAAAATCTGAGGAGGCTTTTGTACAACTGAAATTAGCTATAACTTCTCCCCTAGTCTTGAGGATTCTCAATTTTGAAAACCTTTCCACTTATTTTGTTATGAAAATAAAGGTGCTGCTAGTGAAATATTAGCTTAAAAGTTGGGATTGAACTATAGGGCAATAGTTTATTTATCAGTTCTAGGAGCCACTGCACTGAGAATGCCTGGGTGTCTGCAAGAGGAAGAGGTAGCCAGCATTCTTATTGGAAAAGCCCAAAGTCTTACCTTGAGTCACATGACTTATTTGCATGTCCCACATGCTGTGACAGCAATCTTACAAGTCCATAAAGCCTAGCATTTGTCAGTATGCCATTGAACTAACTGTGAGCAAGCATTATTAGGTAGTCCTAACATAGTACTTGGGAGGTGCAATCTCCTAAACCCTACTACCCCCTTATGAGATTCTGATTAAATAGATGATCATGACTGAACAATGGTAATGGAAGATATTAAGCCCTGGCCTGATTTATTAGACTTCCAGTTTCAAAATGCAGATTTGAGTCATGGTCCTGGGCTAAGAAAGGATGACTGAAGACTTTCTGTGGTGTGGTGACTTCTCATGAAATTTTGGAAGCTTATGTTTTGTCTGGAATTAAATCAACACAAGCAGCTGAGTTAACAGCAGTTACTAGAGCTCCAATTCTTAGTTATGGACTGGTAAATTAAGTTTTACCTAAAGCTGCCTTTTTACAGATTTTATGTTCAGCCTAAAGGCTTTTCTATACATAGTGAACTGTAACCTAACTGGATGTGTAAACAGACTATAACCTACTCTTGGGACAAGAAGCCAAGTCTCAGCCCATCACAGCAGCCATACTTCAACCACTCACAGGTGACCAACTATTCAAACCGTGTTCAAATAAAGCAAATGCCAAACTGTAACCAGTTTGGCTGCTTCTGCACCTCACTTGCATTTTGTGTACATCATTTTCCTTTTTCTCTCCATAAATCCTCTCCAACCACACGGCAGCACCAGCGTTGCTCTGAACATATTCTGGTTCTGGGGACTGCCTGATTCACAAATAGTCCTTTGCTCAATTAAGCTCTGTTCATTTGTCCAAAGGTTTTCTTTTAATAGATGGTGTCAGAAGTAGAATCTGAAATACAGCTTCTAGTGACCCCCAGGAGCATCAAGTAACCAAACAAGGTACCTGCTGGCCCTATTTTGTTCATTGTTTTCTCACAGCAACTGTGAATCATGGGTAAGCTCTCTTGGATTCTGTAGCTACATGGATTTGTGTTTTGAGCTACCTGAGCTTGTTAGAGCACATTTTTATCCAAACTGTGTTCTGGAGTTTACAACAAAATCTGTACTGGGTCTAGGATTAGATTGGATCTGATAATTAACTGCTTGCATCCAGTTAGTTGTCTTGGCTGTCTGACCGTGTCAGACAGGAACTGTCAGTAAATCGCAATACTGCAGGGGGTCTAATTTTTGGCTTCCAGAAATTTTTCAGATTTTTTGTGTTCTATCCCCTTGGTTGTTGTTGTTATTGTTGTTTTTCTTGCACTGTTAGGTAGGGGAAAATTCATTGGCTAAGTTGATCAAGGGGATCTAAATGGTCAAGGTAAAAATGGAATCCTTAATTTCTGAAGAACTGAATACTCCCCCTTCTGACTATGCCTACATTTACATGTATAAGTATTAGGCCCTAGAAACAGCAAATGCTTACAAAAATGGTGAAATGTTACTAAAGATATTTTAAAATTACAGTGGAATGTTCCAAATGAAAAACATTGCACTTTAAAAAGTGCATTTAAAAATGAAAGCTCCCAAACTAGGCTAACCCAGGGATGCCTATTTATGTGCAGAAGTTTCTGAAAAGATTTCAATGTTTTTATTACCTCTTTTAAAAGACCTTTATAAAAGGCAAATAAAAAGCTTAGGCAATGAATTGATAGGAAAAATGAAATCTGCTAACATTTTGGCTTAATAATTATTCCACCCCCAAATGTAAAAAGAAAGCTATCCTGGATAAAGGGTTTATAAAAGGTAGGGCCTCAGGTAAAGTAGACTTGCTTTTTCAGAGCTATTTGTGCTGAGTCCAGACGTACAGAATGCTTTCTTTGCCCTATTTCTCAATGTACTCCACCCTGAACTTAGTAATTTTAGTGAAGAAACAGTAGCTAAGTTAAAAAAAGAAAAAAAAAACCTGCCTATTGAACTAAATCATTCTCCAAAATATACCTTTCTGACATTTAGCTGGCTGCTTTGAAATGCTTTTGTAAATAAAAGTTACATCTATAAAGGAAATCTTCATTTGTAAGAATGCCTGCATCTGTGCACTTGGAAAAGAGGGAGGACTGAGTCACTAGAAACTCTTATCATTGGTTTAAATTTATAAAACAAATCTTACCTTTGTTT